>NC_000011.10:40060000-40363030 GCF_000001405.40 Homo sapiens | reverse complement strand
TGGTACTTCTTTCTTTGAGGCATCACTACACTGTCTTCCACAATGGCTGAACTAATTTACACCCCCACCAACAGCGTGTAAGTGTTCCCTTTTCTTTACAACCTTGACAGCATCTGTTATTTTTTGGCTTTTTAATAATAGCCATTCTGACTGGTGTGAGATGGTATCTCATGGTGATTTTGAGTTGAATTTCTCTAATGATCAGTGATGTTGAGCATTTTCATGTACTTGTTGGCTTCACGTGTGTCTGCTTTTGAGAAGCGTCTGTTCGTGTCCTTTTCTCACGATTTATTGATTGATTGGTTAATTGATTGAGACTGAGTCTCACTCTTGCCCAGGCTGGAGTGCAATGGTGGGATCTCAGCTCACTACAACCTCCACCTCCTGGGTTCAAGCAATTCTGCCTCCTTGGCCTCCCAAGTAGCTGGAACTACAGTCGTGCCCCACCACACCTCACTAATTTTTGTATTTTCAGTAGAGACAGGGTTTTGTCATGTTGGCCAGACTGGTCTTGAACTCCTGACCTCAGGTGTTCCACCTGCCTTGGCCTCCCAAAGTGCTGGGATTACAGATGTGAGCCACTGCACCAGAATATTATTTAATGTTTTTTTTTCTTGTAAATTTGTTTACATTTCTCATATATCCTGGATATTACACCTTTCTCAGATGTATAATTTGCAAATTTTTTTCTACCATTCTATAGGTTGTCTGTTTACTCCATTCATCGTTTCTTTTGCTATGCAGGAGCTCTTTGCTTAATTGGATCCCATTTGTCAATTTTTGCTTTTGTTGCAATTGCTTTTGGCATCTTCCTCATGAAATCTTTGCCCATGCCTGTGTCCTGAATGGTATTGCCTATATTGTTTCCCAGGGTTTTTATAGTTTTGAATTTTACATTTAAGTCTTTAATCCATCTGGAGTTAATTTGTGTATAGAGTGTAAGGAAAGGGTCCAGTTTCAATCTTCTGCATATAGCTAGCCAGTTATCTCAGCACCATTTATTGAATAGGGAATCCTTTCCCCATTGCTTGTTTTTATCAGGTTTGTCAAATATCAGATAGTTGAAGGTGTGCAGTCTTATTTCTGGGTTCTCTATTCTGTTCCATTGGTCTATGTGCCTGTTCTTTTACCAGTACCATGCTGTTTTGGTTACTATAGCCCTGTAGTATGGTTTGAAGTCAGGTAGCATGATGTCTCCAGCTTTGTTCTTTTTGCTTAGGATTGTCTTGACTATTTGGGCACTTTTTTGGGTTCATCTGAATTTAAAAATAGTTTTTTCTAGTTCTGTGAAGCATGTCAATGGTAGTTTAATGGGAACTGGTAGTTTAATAGCATTGATGCTATAAATTGCCTTGGGCAGTATGGCCATTTTAACAATATTGATTCTTCCTATCCATGAGCATGGAATGTTTTTTCGTTTGTGTTATCTCTGATTTCTTTGAGCAGTGGTTTGTAATTATCCTTGTAAAGATATTTCACCTCCCTGGTTAGCTGTATTCCTAGGTATTTGCCATTAGTGGCAAAAACCGCAATTACTTTTGCACCAACCTAATATTCTTTTTGTGGCAGTTGTGAATGAGAGTTTGTTTGTGATTTGGCTCTCAGCTTGACTGTCGTTGGTGTATAGAAATGCTGGCAATTTTTGCACATAAATTTTGTATCCTAAGACACTGTTCAAGTTGTTTATCAGCTTACAAAGCTTTTGGGCTGAGACAATGAAGGGATAGTTTGACTTCCTCTCTTTCTATCTGAATGCTGTTTATTTCTCTCTCTTGCCTGATTGCCCTGGCCAGAACTTCCAATACTATGTTAAATAGGAGTGGTGAGAGTGGCCATCCTTGTCTTGTGCCAGTTTGCAAGGGGAATGCTTCCAGGTTTTGCCCAGTTAGTATGATGTTAGTTATGGGTTTGTCATACATGGCTCTTATTATTTTGATGTATGTTCCTTCAACACCTAGTATAGTTAGAGTTTTTAACATGAAGGATGTTGAACTATATCAAAAACCTTTTCTGCAGCCATTGAGATAATCCCGTGATTTTTATCTTTAGTTTTTTTATGTGATGAATCACATTTATTAATTTGCATATGTTGAACGAAACTTGCATCTGAGGATGAAGCCTATTTTATCATGGTTAATAAATTTTTGATGTGGTGCTAGATTCAACTTGCCACTATTTTGTTGAGAATTTTTACATTGATATTCATCAAAGATATTGGCCTCAACTTTTCTTTTTTTGTTGTGTTTCTGCCAGGTTTTGATATCGGGATGATGCTGGCCTTATAGAATGAGTTAGGGAGGAGTCCCTCCTTTTCAATTTTCTGGAATAGTTTCAGTAGGAGGAAACAGTTTTTATCTTCAGATATGCAAGGATGAGCTCCTCCCCTTTGTGCTCTCCTGGCCTCAATGTGACTGAGACTGATTAGAATGACTTCATCCTCGTATCTGCAACTTGCACAGTCTAGAGTTCATTAGACCTCACTATTGAGGCAAGACCCTCTGAGGTCCCTATTCAATGCCCCATTTGTTAAGAAATAGTTGGTGAGAATGTAAACTTTTCCTGTTTCTGTGCACGCAGCAGAGTGTTTTCCACCTGCTACTTTCTATTGATCCGTTTTCCAGACTTGGTAGTTTCCCGGACCTCTTGTGTAATCAGTACTCATGTAATGATTGGCAGAGAAATCTCAGCAGATCTCTGTATCACTCTTTGCTACTTGCCCCTCTCTGATATTCTGCCTTTCAAATTCTAGCCTTCTTTGCCTTTCTAAATACTGTCTTCTAAACTCAAGGAGAAGGCTCTGTTATTGTAGCCTGGAATTTTTCTCCAAATGGTCAGTCAGAATAATCATAGAGATCATTTCATTTGTTTACCTTCTTTCAAAGAGTCTCTCATACTGCCTTTCAACATCTGCAAAAGATTTTTTTTCATATAGTTTCTTCACTTTTTATTTGTTGAGTTATGGAGGCATACAATTTTTAAGATTGAATATTGTTTTTAATCTAGAGAGCAGCCAGGTCAATTTTCAGCAGTAACCACTTTAATGTTTTTAAAACTCTAATTCAATAGGCTCTCAAAAACTTGCCCTATTAGGTAGGGATGAGGTGTGGATTTCACTTTTTTCCCTTGAATCTCATAGGCATTATGATATCAGATTGGGAGAGAGTATTCCAAAGCTACTAGTCAAAAATTCTTTCAATTCTAACTCTAATTTTCAAATAGATAATTTTTAGACGGCATAAAATGCTCATGGAAATGAATTGGGAAAGATGAGGCTATTCAGATTGGGTTGATTCTGACTGTTTACAGCTTTTAGCGCTATGTTAGAGAACTTGAATAATATCCTGTAGCAACTGGGAATCCAGGAGATTTTGAAGCAGGAAAATATTCTCATACAGCTATGCCTAAGAGGATTAATCTAGTCACAAAATAAATTGAGATGGGGAGATTGGAGGCAAGGATCCTTAGATAGTATAGTCATGAGATAAGGACCAGAATTAGCATTGTGATGTTTTGTATACACATCCCAACTAAATTAAGAGATGCGCTTAATTGATGAGCAGTGAAATTAACATTGAGGTTTCATTACAAATAATGGATGGCTTTGGGGAAAAAAAGTTCTGTCTACTGAGGAAGCTGAACTCATACTACTGGGATGCTCCAAATAATATGACAGTTTATTTCCCAAGCAACCAGAATATGACATGCACTTCTACCACCTGGATCTGTTCCCCAGAGCAGAGGCTTTGTCTCTGGCACAGAAGATAGGATGTTTGGCTTGCCTAATTCATAGCTTGCTATTCTAATGAAGGCCACATACTGGTATCCTGCTTTTGAGAGGTGCACATGTATCTCAACTTCTTTTCAATAATGAATTAGTTCTTTGTATCAGTTGCCAACACCTTTGCTTAAACATACCCGACACATTACATAAGGGAGAAACACCAGCTTTCCTTTTTTTTCCCTAAACAATTTATCAGATTGACTATTTTGTTAAACAGAAGGAGATTAATTAAACTGGCTTTTTAAGCTGATGAAAATCATTAGCATAGTCAAGTAAACTATTTATGATTGTTTGGGAAGAAGAATAAGCATGGGAATCAGTAAAAAGCCAAACCAGCACCAGCTCACATTTGAGAGCATTTGTTAAAATTAAATAAATAAATAAATAAATGAATGAATGAATAGCTTCCTTGGTGTTTTCCCAAGGCCAAGTCTCAAAGGATGATTACTATCAAAAACAGGAGCATAGAGGGTTTTCAGAAAGGGAAGGAGAAATATTTGCATGTGGAATCAGAAAAATGCCCAGTGAGTCTCCGCAGGTGCACACACATTTTGGAAAAAAGTTTCAATGAAAAGCACACAAAGAGACAAACCTGTGGCACCATGGCAGTGATCAGTAATACGCAGGCAGCTTAGTATAGGAGACGGGAGGTTATATTAAGAGATTGGGGACCAGGCGCAGTAACTCATACCTGTAATCCCAGCACTTTAGGAAGCTGAGGCAGGTGGATCACTTGAGCCCAAGGGTTCAAGACCAGCCTGGCCAACACGGTGAAACCCCATCTCTACTAAAAGTACAAAAATTAGCCAAGCACAGTGGTATGCACCTGCAGTCCCAGCTACTCAGGAGGCTGAGGTGAGAGGATTGCTTAAGCCCCGGAGGTGAAGCTTGCAGTTAGCCAAGATCCCACCGCTACACTCCAGCCTGGGCAACAGAGTGACAGAGTGAGACCCTGTCTCAAAAAAAGGAGTTTGGGGAGGGAAGCTTTACCTCACCTCTCCAAGCCTTACTTCTCTCTATTTCCTTTTTTGTTGTTGTTGTTTTTTGTTATTTATTTATTTATTTTTGAGACAGAGTCTCTCTCTCTCTCCCAGGCTGGAGTGCAGTGGCACAATCTCAGCTCACTGCAAGCTCTGCCTCCCGGGTTCAAACAATTCTCCTGACTCAACCTCCCAAGTAGCTGGAACTACAGGCATGTGCCACTATGCCTGGCTAATTTTTGTATTTTTAATAGAGACCTGGTTTCACCATGTTGGCCAGGATGGTCTTGATCTCCTGACCTCATGATCCACCTGCCTCGGCCTCCCAAAGTGCTGGGATTATAGGTGTGAGCCACTGTGCCTGGCCACTTCTCTAATCTTTAAAATAGGAAGACTGGACTTAATTTGAGTTAAGATCCCTTTTACTTCTAATTCAGAGTGATTATTTGTATCATGCCCAGGATGTTACAACCTTAACATGTACAAGGAAAGGGATACGTTGTAGGCTTTGTAGAACTGGATGGGCAGGCTTGCTGTGTGGATACCTTTTGAATATACCTCCATGACTCTGTGCATATGAGAGAGAGAGAGAGAGAGAAGGGTTTTTCATTTTTGATAAGACATACATTTGTTAAGAGTGTCTATTTTTTTGCTGGGTAATGGAGTTTTACAGAAGGAAATAAATGATTTGTGTCTATTAAAGAAGCAAGAGCAACAACTACACATTTTTGAGAGCCCCATTAAATGTGTTCTGTTTCCTGCACCGTCTCTGTTCATTTGGGTGAGAACTGAAGTGCACATTAAAGGCTGAATTAAGTGAAAGGCTAAATGAACCAATTAATTCTTTTTTCTCCAATACAATGAAGGTGCCAAACAGAATGTAAAGCAGCCCAAAATTGACCCTTGTGTATCTCCTAATGTGACTTCTTGATAGGCACAGAAAGCACGCCCCTGTTCTCCTCCAGTCTCAGAGCTATAAACACACTGAAAAGTAAAGAGGCTTTGACAATAAAATATAACCATATTTTTAATAAAATAGCAGTCACACTGAATACATGAATTTTCCCCAGTCCCCTATCTTTGGCTGACTTTGGTCTTTAAAATTCTTGCCCTTTCCCCCTTCAAAATAATGTCAGTATTAACCTAAAATTTCTTAATATTTTAACCTCTAAAGAGCATAATATGATACAAAATTTGTTCACAATTTTAGGGATAGCAATAGAATATATGGTTTACAGTGTGCTCATAGACTTTGTATTCAAGCAAGACTGGTGTTTAATGGCAGCTTTGTGACCTTGAACAAGTTACTTAATATGGTTGAGCTTCAGTTTTCTTGTCTGCCCAATGGAACAATAACAGCCTTTCTTCTAATGGTTGGTGTAAATGTATAAAGTAATTCATGTCAAGTGATTTTAAAAAATCAAATATATATTAAACACTTGAGGAATGAAAGTTTTCATTACTGTCTGCCTCATGCTTGGGAATGTATATTAGTATGGTTTCTTCATGATATAATGTAATAAATAATTTAACTCCAAGGCAACAGAAAAATCCCCAGTACCAAGTTACCCTCTATGACTGATACTGGCATGTCACTGTGTTTTGTTTTTCCAGGATTATCTACTCTTCTTTCATCCCGTGATACAGCACAGTCAAATTCCTCATAGGTTCAATAGAATGAGATCACCTAATGACCCAGGCAAGACCCCCTTATTGTCTAATAAGGAGTGGCAGACTGCTTAAGTCCCAGTTCTACCCTTAGCGGCCAGACATTGAAGTTCCTTCTACCTCTCTAACCTACCTTGAAATAGGAATAGCAATAACAACATCATAGAATAATTGTGAGAAATAGATGAGTTAATATAAGTATCTTTTTTAAACAAATGCTTAATAGAATGCATACTATGTCCCACGTAATCCTTTAAGTGCTTGTGATACTAAGTTATGTAATCATCATAACATCGGAGGTGTTCTGGAGCTGGCTCATTCTGACGCATAAGAGCCAATTATTAAATATTCAAGAATTTTGTGAGCTGTTTGTGAAACTGTTGATAGCATGAAATAGGTACTGGTAGGAGTGTTTACGCCTTTGAAATTGGCAAAGACCACATAACTGGACAATCCTGTGAGGCAGGTGCTTTCATCATCAAACTGACTTTACAGCCGAGACCCTGAAAATATAAGAAATGTGCCCATAAATCACAGTCACTGAGTGCCAGAGCTGAGAAACACACCCATTGAGTCTGACTTCTCAGTTTATGCACTTAATCTCATACTATACTATACTATACTGTACTATACTATACTATACTATACAATACTATACTATACTATGAATGTAAAACACTGCATAGCAAGGGAGGAGATGAAGCAAAATGGCTGAATAGAATCTTCTAGTGATTGTCTCTCCAACAGGAACACCAAATTGAACAACTATCTACAAAAGAAGGCACATTTATAAGAGCCAAAAATCAGGTTTGTGATCACAGTACCTGATTTTAACATGATAACAAGGTAAGAGGCACTGAGGAGAGTAGGAAAGAAAGTCTTGAATTGCCTATACCACCCCTCCACCATCCCTCAGCAGCACAGCATGGTGCAGAGAGAGAATCTGTGCTTGCGGGAGGGACAGTGCATTGTGTGTGGAACTTAATTGGAACTCAGTGCTGCCCTGTCACAGCAAAAAGCAACACAGGGAAGAATTCAGCTGGTGCCCATGGAGGGAGCGTTTATATCAGTGCTACCCAGAAGGGAATTATCCATCTCAGTGGTAGAAAACTGAGTTCCAGTTAGCCCCACCACCATAGGTTAAAGCACTCTGGGTTCCTAAATAAACTTGAAAGGCAGTTTAGGCTACAAGGGTTATAATTCCTGGGCAAGTCCTGGTGCTGTGGTAGGCTCAGAGCCAGCAGACTTGGGATACATGTAATCTAGTGAGACACCAGCAGTGGTGGCTAAGGGAGGGCTTGTGTCACCCCTCTCCCAACCCAAAGCAGTGCAGCTTGCAGCTCCAGGAAAGACTTCTTCATTTTGCATGAGGAGAGGTGAGAAGAGAGTAAAGAGGACTTTGTCTTGCAACTTGGATACCAGTTCAGCCACAATAAAATAGGACATCAGGCTGAGCCCTCAGACCCCTCCTTCCAGGCCCTCGCTCCTGGACATTTCTAAATACACACTGCCCTGAAAAGAAGGGCCCAGTCCTGGCACGATTTAGCACCTGTTGATTAAGCAGCCTTTGGGACTTGAATAAACATCAGTGGCACAAAGACAGTACTTCCCGTGGGCCTTGGGTAAGACCCAAGGCTGTGCTGGCTTCAGGTGTGACCCAGCACATTCCTAGCTATGGTGGCTATGGATAAAGATTCCTTCTGCTTGCAGAAAGGAGGGGGAAGAGTAAAGGGGACTTTGTCTTACAGCTTGGGTACCAGGTTGGCCACAGTAGGGTAGAGCACTAAATGGGCTCCTGGAGTCCTCAGGTTCAGACCTTGGCTCCTGAGCAGCACTTTTGAACCCACTCGGGGCCACAGGGAAGCCGACTGTCCTGAAAGGAGAGACCCAGGCCTAGCAGCATTCATGACAAGCTGATTAAAGAGCCCTTGGGCCTTGGATGGACATCGGCAGTAGCCAAGGAGTATTTGCCATGGGCCTGGAGCAGCAGTGGCCATGAGGAGAGACTCCTGCTTGAAGAAGGGAGAAGAAAGGATAGGAAGAACTTTGTCTTGCAGCTTGGGTGCCAGCTCAGCTACATTAGAATAGACCATCACGTAAATTCCTTAGTTTCCCGAGTACAGGCCCTGGCTCCGAGAAAACATTTCTGTCTCTAACCTGGGCCAGCAGGGATCTCACTTCCCTGAAAGGAAGGACATAAGCCTGCCTGGATTTGCCACCTGCTGACTGAAGAGCTCTTGGACATGAGTGAACACTGGCAGGAGCCTGGCAGTGGTTGCCAGAGGTTTTGGGTGAAACCCAGTGCAGTCTCAGTGGTGGTAGTCACAGGGGTGTTTGTGTCAGCCCTCCCGCAGCTCCAGGCAGCTCAGCATGGAGAGACAGATTCTATTTGTTTAGGGTAAAGTAAGGGTAGAGAACAAAAGTCTCTGCCTCATAATTCAGGGAATTCTCATGGATCTTATTGAAGATGACCAATATGGTAGCTCCTTGAGTCTGCAAGAGTCACAGAATTACTGGATTTAGGATGTCCCCTTATGCAGATACAGCTGCAATAACCAAAGAGTTAGATCACAACACTCAAGTACCTTTGAATACTTGGAAACCGTTTCTAAGACAGATGGGTAGAAACAGGCCCAGGCTACAAAGGCTACAATAAATACCTAACTCTTCAATGCCTAGACATCAAAGAACATTCACGAGCATGAAGACCATCCAGGAAAACATGACCTCACTGAATGAAATAAATAAGGTGCCAGTGACCTAACCTGGTATGACAGAGAATTCAGAACAGCTGTTTAGAGGAAGCACAATAAAATTGGAGATAACAGAGAGAAGTAATTCGAAATCCTATCAAATAAATTTAATAAAGAGATTGAAATAATTTTCTTGAGACAGAGTCTCGCTGTATCGCCCAGGCTGGTGTGCATTGGCATGATCTCAGGTCACTGCAACCCCCACCTCCCAAATTCAAGTGTTTCTCATGACTCAGCCTCCCAAATACCTAGAATTACAGGCACGTGACACTAGGCCTGGTTAATTTTTGTGTTTTTAGAGATGGGGTTTTGCCATGTTGGCCAGGATGGTCTCAAACTTTTGGCCTCAAGTGAACCGCTACCTCAGCCTCTCAAAGTGCTAGAATTACAGGCATGAGCCACTGCACCTGGCCTGAAATAATTTTTAAAAATCAAACGGAAATTCTGGACCTGAAAAATTATATAGTAAAAAATGCATTAGTTTCTCAAGAGCAGAATTGATCATGCAAAAGAAAGAATTGGTGACTTGAAGCCAACCTATTTAAAAATAGACAAGCAGAGAAGACAAAAGAAGAAAGAATAAAAAAGAATGAACTACAACTACAAAAATCTAGAAAATAATCTAAAAAGGCAAATCTAAGAGATATTGACCTAAAAGAGTAAGTAGAGAGAAAGACTGGGGTAGAAAGTTTATTTGAAGGAATAATAACAGAGAACTTATACCTAGAGAAAGATATTAATATTCAAGTACAAGAACATTATAGAGCACCAAGAAGATTTAACCCAAACAAGACTACCTCAATACATTTAATAATCAAAGTCCCAAAGGTCAAGGATAAAGAAACAATCCCAAGAGCTGCAAAAGAAAAGAAACAAATAACATACAAAGGTGCTCCAAAGCATCCTGCATCAGACTTCTCAGTGGAAACCTTACAGGTCAGGCAAGAGTGGCATAACATATTAAAAGTGCTGAAGGAAAAACTCTTTTATCTCTGAATAGTATATCCAGTGAAAATATCCCTCAGATATGAAGTAGCTATATTTTCTCAGGCAAACAAGAGCTGAGGGATTTTATCAACACCAAAACTATCCTGCAAGAAATGCTAAAGGGAGTTCTCCAATCTGAAAGAAAAAGATATTAATGAGCCATAAGAAATAATCTGAAGACATAAAACTTATTATTGAAAGTAAGTTCACAAACACAGAATATTATAACACTGTAATTGTGGTGTGCAAACTACTCGTATCTTGTCAACTCAAGATGAACCTATCAAAACTAATAACCACAACAACTTATCAAGACATAGTATAAGAAGATATACATATGTAACTAACCTGCACATTGTGCACATGTACCCTAAAACTTAAAGTATAATAATAATAAAATAAAATTTAAAAAGAAGATATAAATAGGAACAACCAAAAGTTTAAAAGCGGAGTGGGATGAAGTTAATTTGTAAAGATTTTATCAGTTTTCTCTTTGCTTGTTTGTTTGTTATTGCAATTAGTATTGTGTTGTCATGTGTTTAAAATAATGGTTTATAGGATGTTATTCACAAGCCTCATGGTAACATCAAATTTAAAAAACCTACAACAGATCCACAAAAAATAAAAAGCAAGAAATTAAAACATACAAGAAAAAAACACCTTCGAAGGAAGTAAGGAAGGAAAGGAAGGAAAGGGAAGGAAGGAAGGAAGGAAGGAAGGAAGGAAGGAAGGAAGGAAGGAAGGAAGGAAGAAAGAAAGGAAAAAAGGAAGGAAGGAACTATAAAACAACCAGAAAACAAATAACAAAATGGCAGGAGTCTTTATTTATCAATAATAACATTGAGTGTAAATGGACTAAAATTTCCAGTAAAAGACATAGAGTGGCCGAATGAATAATTTTAAAATATTTGTTACCTACAAGAAACACACTTCACCTGTAACATCTATAAAGGCACACATAGGCTGAAAATAAAGGGATGAAAAAAGATATTCTATGAAAGTGAAAACCAAAAAGCAAGAGTACTACACTTATATTAGACAAAACAGACTTCAATACAAAGCTATAAAAAGAGATAAACAAGGTCATTATATAGTGACAGAGGTCAAATCAGCAAGAGGATATAATGATTGTAAATACATAGGCACTCAACACTTGATCAACCAGATATATAAAGCAAAATATATTTTGTTAAGAGTAGTCAAGTTTAGTAGTGAGAAAGGGGGGAAGAGTATAACAAGGAATTCAATATGTAACTGACTGTGATCAATTGAGATAACTGACTACCCTAGGACTAGTCTAAAGCAAATATTAGAGCTAAAGAGAGAGACAGACCTCGGTACAACAATAGCTGGAGGTTTCAGCATCCCACTTTCAGCTATTGGACAGATCGTCCAGACAGAAAACCAACAAAGAAACATTAGACTTAATCTGCACTATAGACCTAAAGGACCTAATAAATATTTATGAATATTTCATCCAGTAGCTGCAGAATGCACATTCTTCTCCTCAGCACACAGATTATTCTCAAGGATAGAACACATGTTTGGCCACAAAACAAGTCTTTAAAATTTCAAAAAAAAAAAATCATATCAAGTATCTTATTTGGCAGCAATGAAATAAAACTAGAAATCATCATAACAAGAGAAACATTGGAAACTGTACAAACACATGGAAATTACACAATATGTTCCTGAATGATCAGTGGATCAGTCAAGGATGCCCACTTTCACCATTACTATTGAAAATAGTACTGGAAGTCCTACACAGAACAATCAAACAAGAGAAAGAAAGGGCACTTAAATTAGAATGAAAGAAGTAAAAGTATCTTTGTTTGCAGATGATATGATCCTATATTTGGAAAAATTTGAAAACTCCATCAAAAAAACTGTTAAAACTAATAAATTCAGTAAAGTTGCAGGATACAAAATCAACATACAAAAATCTGTCACGTCTACATGCCAACAGCAAGCAATCTGAAAATGAAATCAAGCAAGTAACCCCATTTGCACTAGCTACAAGTAAAAGAAAATACTTAAAAATTAACCAAAGAAGTAAAAGATCTCTACAATGAGAACTGTAAAACATTAATGCACGAACTTGAAGAGAACACAAAAATAAATGGAAAGATATTTCATGTTCATGGATTGAGAGAATCAATATTATTAAAAAGTTCTTACTTTCCAAAGCAATCTATTGATTCAATGCAATCCTTATCAAAATACCAATGGCACTCTTCATAGAAATATGAAAAATAATTCTAAAATTTATATGGAAACACAAAACATTAAGAATAGCTAAAGCCATTCTGAGCAAAAAGAACAAAACTGTAGGAATCATGTTACCTGACTTCAAATGATACTACAGAGCTATAGTAACCAAAACATCATTGTACTGGCATAAAAACAGACACATAGACCAATGGACTAGAATTTCCATTCGATTTTGGAAACAAATCCATACATCTGCCGTGAACTCATTTTAAGGCACCAAGAACATACACTAGGGAAAGGACAGCCTCTTTAATAAATGATGCTGGGAAAATGGAATATCCATATGCAGAAGAATAAATCTAGACCCCTATATCTCAGCACATGCAAAAATCAGATCAGAATGGATTAAAGACTTAAATCTAAGATCGCAAGCTATGAAACTACTAAAAGAAAACATTGGGGACATGCTTCAGGACATTGGTCTGGGCAAAGATTTTTTGAGTAATATCCTAAAAGCATAAGGCAACCAAGCAAAAACAGACAAATGAAATTAAATATAGTTAAATAGTTTCTACACAGCAAGGAAAACAATCATCAGATTGAAGAGAAAACCCATATGATCGGAGAAAACATTTGCAAACTCTACATCTGACAAGGGACTAATAACCAGAATATATAAGGAGGTCAAACAACTCAATAGGAAAAAATCTTATAATCTGATTTTAAAATGGGCAAAAGATCTGAATAGACATTTCTCAGAATGTCTGAGATTGTGTCAGAATCGCATACAAATGGCAAACAAGTGTATAAAAAAGTCCTTAACATCATTGATCATCAGAGAAATGCAAATCGAAATTACAATGAGGTATCATCTCATTCCAGTTAAAAGGACTTTTATCCAAAAGACAGGCAATAACAAATGCTGGCAAGAATGTGGAGAAAAGGGAACCCCATTCACTGGTGTTTGGAATGTAAATTAGTACAGTCACTATAAATAACAGTATGGAGGTTTCTCAATAAACTAAAAATAGAACTATCGTATAATCCAGCCGTTCCACTACTGGGCAAATATGCTCCACAAAAGGAAATCAGTATATTGAAGAAATATCTGCACTCCCATGTTAATTGCAGCACTATCCACAATAGCCAAGATTTGGAAGCAACCGAAGTGTTCACCAACAGATGAATGGATAAGGAAAATGTGGTACATATACACAATAGAGTACTATTCAGCCATTAAAAAAAAAATGAGATTCTGTCATTTGCAGCAACATAGACGGAACTGGAGGTCTTTATGTTAATGTGAAGTAAGCCTGACACGGAAAGACAAACTTTTGCATATTCTCACCCATTTGTGGCTGCTACAAATTAAAGTAATTGAACTCATGGAGATAGAGAGTAGAATGATGGTTATCAGAGTCTGGGAAGGGTATTTGTGGAGGAAGGGAGTGGGGATGATTAATGGATTAAAAATTTAGTTAGAATGAATAAAATCTAGTATTTGATAGCACAACAGGATGACATTAATTTATTGTAGGTTTTAAAATAGCTAAAAGAGTATAATTGCAATGTTTGTAACACAAAAAATAATAAATGCTTGAGGTGATGGATACTCCATTTACCCTGATATGATTATTATGCATTATATGCCTGTTTCAAAGTATCTCATATACCCCACAAATATATACACCTACTATGTACACATAAAAATAAAAAATTAAATACACTGAATAGTAAGTAGTCAATAAATCTTAGCTATTGTTAACATTTAAAAAGACATTTCCCTCACTGCTTCTCTGTCTTCCTCTGTTCTTTCTCTGTTTTATCTCATTTCTCACACAAACTTTACTTTGTGTCTTCACTAGGTCTTTATGTGTTGTATAAGAAACTATATTTTTAAAATTATTATAGTTTCCATCATACACTGAAGTCATTAGAAAGAGTTACAGATTTGGATTATCACATCTTTTAGTTTGCATGGGTTTTGGTGAAGAAGGCAGGGTGGAGGCTCATTAGCTGTTGTCTAAGATGCTGGGAGCAGAGGTAGGCATGCAGGTCATGAGAATGTCCCCATAACTACTACAAGCGAAAATAAGTCCATAAAGAGCAAGAGTGACAGCAATAGTGGAGTAATGTAGGCATTTCATTTCTTCCTTGAGTTTACACCAGTGCACGTGATTTTGGACTTAAATGTTCTGAGAGACAAGCTAAGCTGTGCCTCTTGTAAAATGTGGGACCTCTGGAAAAGTAAATATACTAAGTCTGTTTCTTCAACAATAAAATGTAAATAGCAGTAATAATAATTTTTTTCTGGCTTGAGGTGATGCACGCATACCTTGTTTTATTGTGCTTCACAGATTTTTTGGGTTTTTTTTTTTAACAAATTGAAGGTTTATAGCAACTCTGCATTGAGCAAGTCTAGCAGTTTTTCCAACAACATGTGTTCATAACATGTCTCTGTGTCACATTTTCATAATTCTCACAATATTTCAAACTCTATTATTATTATTAAATCTGTTATGGTGCTCTGTGATCTTTGATGTTACTATTGTAATTGTTTTTGGGTACCGTGATCCATGCCCATATAACACATTTAATCCAGAAACGTTGCGTGTGTTCTGACTGCTGCAACAACTGGTCATATCTCTCCCTTTTCTGGGGCCTCCCAATTTCTTGAGAGACAACAGTATTGAAACTAGGCCAATAAACAACCCTACAATGCCCT
This sequence comes from Homo sapiens, assembly GCF_000001405.40. Classification (NCBI taxonomy): domain Eukaryota; kingdom Metazoa; phylum Chordata; class Mammalia; order Primates; family Hominidae; genus Homo; species Homo sapiens. Next base: position 40,347,925 of record NC_000011.10, on the reverse strand, counting down.
TTAAAATGTTTTCAAATGGGCAGGGTGCAGTGGCTCACGCCTGTAATACCAGCACTTTGGGAGGCCAAGGCAGGCGGATCACCTGAGGTTGGGAGTCTGAGGCCAGCCTGACCAACATGGAGAAACCCCATCTCTACTAAAAATGTAAAATTAGCCAGGTGTGGTGGTGCATGCCTGTAATCCCAGCTACTCAGGAGGCTGAGGCAGGAGAATCGCTCGAACCCCGGAGGCAGAGTTTGCGCTGAGCCAAGATCACGCCATTGCAATCCAGCCTAGGCAACAAGAGCGAAACTCCGTCTCAAAACAATAAAATAAATAAATATTTTCAAATGAAAGGAAATATTGCACATCTCTCACATTAAATCGAAAGCTAGAAATGACTAAGCTTAGTAAGGAAGGCACAATGCCATACAGTTAGCCAAGTTGTGAAATCAAAGAAAAAAAATTCTGAAGAAAATTAAAAGTGAGACTTCAGCGAACACATGAATGATAGGAAAGCAAAACAGCCTGTTGCCAATATGAAGAAAATTTTAGTGGTCTGGATAGACCAAACCAGCTGCAACATTTTCTTAAGACAAAGCCTAATGTAGTGAAGGCTAAGAAAGGTGAGGAAATTGTAGGAGAAAAATTTCAAGCTAGCAGAGATTGGTTCATAAGGTTTAGGAAAACTACCAAATCCACAACATAAAAGTATAAGGTGAAGTAGCAAGTGCTGATGTAGGAGCTGCAGCAAGTTATTCAGAAAATCTAGCTAAATGACTGATGAAGGTGGCTACACTAAATAACAAATTGTCCAAGTAGACAAACAACCTTCTCTTGTAAGAAGATCCCATCCAAGACTTCCATAGCAAGAGAGGAGAAGTCAATGCCTGGCTTCAAAGCTTCAAAGAACAGGCTGACTCTTATTAGGAGTTAATGCAGCTGGTGGCTTTAAGTTGAAGTCAATACTCATTTACCATTCTGCAGATCCTAGGACCCTTAAGAATTATGCTAAATCCACTCTGCCTGTGCTTCATTAATGGAATGACAAAGCCTGGATGACAGCACATCTATTTATAGTATGGCTTGCTGAATATTTTAAACTCATTGTTGAAATCTGCTCAGGAAAACAAAAAACGATTTTTATAAAATACTACTCCTCATTGACAATGTACTCGGTCACTCAAGAGCTCTGATGAAGACATACAAAGAGATTCATGTTGTTTGCTTTTAAAAAAACGTTTATTTTAAGTTCAGGGGCACATGTGCAGGTTTGTTACATAGGTAAACTTGTATCGTGGGGATTTGTTGTACAGATTATTTCATCACCCAGGTATTAAGCCTAGTACCCATTAATTACTTTCCCTGATCCTCTCCCTCCTCCTACCTTCCAGCCTCTGATAGGCCTCGGTGTCTGTTGTTCCCCTCTGTGTGTCCATGTGTTCTCATCATTTAGCTGCCACTTATAAGTGAGAACATGCACTATTTAATTTTCTGTTACTGTGTTAGTTTGCTAAGAATAATGGCCTCTAGCTCCTTCTATGTCCCTGCAAAGGACATGATCTCATTCATTTTTATGGCTGCACAGTATTCTATGGTGTATATGTATCACATTTTCTTTATCCAGTCTATTATTGGTGGGCATTTAGGTTGATTCCATGTCTTTGCTATTGTGAACAGTGGTGCAATGAACATACAAATGCATGTGTCTTTGTAACAGAACAATTTATATTCATTTGGGTATATATGCAGTAATGGGATTTCTGGGTGAAATGGTATTTCTGTCTTTAGCTCTTTGAGGAATCACCACACCGTCTTCTGCAATGGTTGAACTAATTTACACTCCCACCAACAGTGTATAAGCATTCCTTTTTCTCCACAACCTTGCCAGCATCTGTGATTTTTTACCTTTTTAATAACAGCCATTCTGACTGGTGTGAGATGGTGTCTTATTGTGTTTTTGATTTTCATTTCTCTAATGATCAGTGATGTTGAGCTGTTTTTCATATGCTCATTGGCCTCATGTATGTATTCTTTTAAGAAGTGTGTGTTCATATATTTGCCCACTTTTTAATGGTGTTGTTTGGTTTTTCCTTGTGAATTTGTTTAAGTTCCTCACAGATGCTGGATATTACCACTTTGTCCAATACATAGTTTGCAAAATTTTCCTTCCATTCTGTAGGTTGCCTGTTTACTCTTTTGATAGTTTCTTTTGCTATGAAGTATCTCTTTCATTTAACTAGGTCCCACTTGGTAATTTTTGGTTGTGTTGCAATTGCTTTTGGCATCCTCATCATGAAATTTTTGCCGGGTCCTACATCCAGAATGGTAATTCTTATGTTATTTGTCAGGGTTTTTATAGTTGTAGGTATTACATTTAAGTATTTAATTTATTTTGAGTTGATTTTTGTATATAGCATAAGGAAGGGGTCCAGTTTCAATCTTCTGCATATGGCTAGCCAGTTCTCCCAGCACCATTTATTAAATAGGGAATCCTTTTTCCATTGCTTGTTTTTGTCAGCTTTGTCAAAGATCAGATGGGTGTATGAATATGGCATTATTTCTGTGCTTTCTATTCCATTCTATTGGTCTATGTAACTGTTTTTGTACCAGTATCATGCTGTTTTGGTTACTGTGGCCTTGTAGTGTAGTTTGAAGACAGGTAATGTGATGCCTCCAGCTTTGTTTATTTTGCTTAGGATTGTCTTGGCTATTTGGGATCTTTTCTGGTTCCATATGAATTTTAGAATAGTATTTTTGAATTCTGTGAAGAATGTTATTGATAGTTTGATAGCATGGCATTGAATCTATAAATTCAATTGAATTTGATAGGATGGCATGGAATCTACAAATTCTGTAAATTACTTTGGGCAGTGTGGCCAGTTTGACAATATTGATTCTTCTTCCTATGAGCATGTAATGTTTTTCTATCTGTTTGTATCATCTCCAATTTATTTGAGCAGTGTTTTGTAATTCTTATTGTAGATATCTTTTATCTCCCTGGTTAGCTGTATTCCTAGGCATTTTATTCTCTTTGTAGCTCTTGTGAATGAGATTGCATTCTTGATTTGGCTCTCAGCTTGGATGTTCTTCGTGTACAGGAGTACTACTGATTTTTTACATTGATTTTGTATCCTGAAATTTTGTTGAAGTTGTTCATCAGATCAAGGAGCTTTTGGGCACAGACTATGGGGATTTGTAAGTATAGAATTATATTGTCTGCAAACAGTGGTAGTTTGACTTTCTCTCTTCCTACTTGAATGCATTTTATTTCTTTCCTTTGCTGGATTGCTCAGGCCAGGCCTTCCAGTACAGTATTGAAATAGTAGTGGTAAGAGAGGGCATCCTTGACTTGTTCTGGTTTTTAAGGGAAATGCTTACACTTTTTGCCCATTCATTATGATGTTGGCTGTGGGTTATCATAGAGGGCTCTTATTATTTTGGAGTATATTCTTTTAATGCCTAGTTTGTTGAGTGTTTTTAACATAAAGGAATGTTGAATTTTACTGGAAGCTTTTTCTGCATCTATTGAGATAATTATTTGGTTTTTGTTTTTAGTTCTGTTTATGTGATAAATCACATTTATTGATTTGCTTATATGTTGAACCAACCTTGCATGCCAGGGATAAAGCTTACTTGATCATAGTGGATTCACTTTTTAATGTGCTGCTGGGTTTGGTTTTCTAGTGTCTTGTTGATGATTTTTGCATGTATGTTCATCAGGAATGTTGGCTTAAAGTTTTCTTTTTTTGTTGTATCTCTGCCAGGTTTTGGTATCAAGATGATGCTGGCCTCATAGAATGAGTTAGGAAGGAGTACCTTCTCCTCAATTTCTTCAGAATCGTTTCAGAAGAAATGGTACCAGCTCTTCTTTATACATCTAGTAGAATTTGGCTGTAAATGCACCTGGTCCTGGGCTTTTTTTGGTTTGCAGGCTTTTTATTACTGATTCAATTTTGAAACTTATTATTGGTCTTCTCAGGGATTCAACTTCTTCCAAGTTCAGTCTTCAAATGTTGTATGTCTCTAGGAATTCATCAATTTCTTCTAGGTTTTCTAGCTTGTGTGCATGGAGGTGTTCTTAGTAGTCTCTGAGACCTTTTTGTATTTCTATGGCATCAGTGGTAATGACCCCTTTGCCATTTCTAATTATGTTTATTTGGATCTTCTCTCTTTTTGTTCTTTATTAGGCTAGCTAACAGTCTATCTCTGTCTCTCTCTTTTTTTTTTTTTTTCAAAAAAACAACTCCTGGATTCGTTATTCTTTTGTAAGTTTTTTTTTGTCTAGAATTTAGAGATCTTTATATATCACTCCATATTAAAAACAATGGTTTTGAATACTGTATGTTCTCACTTATAAGTGGGAGCTAATCAATGAGAACGCATGGACCAAAGAGGGGAACAATGGACACCAGGGTCTGTCTGATGGTGGAAGTTGGGAAGAAGGAGAAGAAATAAAATACCCATCAGGTACTATGCTTATAACATGGGTGACTGAATAATCTGTATACCAAATTGCCATGACCTAAAGTTTACCTAAAAAACAATCCTGCATATTTACCACTAAATCAAAAATTAATATTTATGTGTATATATATATATATGTAAGTTTTAGTGCTTAATAGCATCTTCATCATACAGATGTCAAGTAATTTGCTTAATCAGTCTCTTATTGATAGACTTAGGTTAATTCTAGATTTCTGCTATCCAGATATTGCTTCATTATGTGCCTAAGGTTGCATTCTTAGCAAACATGTCAAAGTATATGTATAAGCTGAGTTCCACTAATATGAATTTCCAATGGTAGTGAGTCAGTTTATATATAATTTCTTCAATTGTGTAGTATTTACTCATTCCCTCAGTAACCATTTTATGAGCTCCTATTAAGTGTTAGGCATTACATTAGGCAAAAAATATATATATAAAATAAAAAAATGCGGTAGCAAGTTAGAGAAACATTACTACTATACTTATGGAGCCCACTTTTAATTTGGCAAAAGATAGGCAATAAAGAAAAATAGATGGAGAGATGACTAGACTAAAAGATGGATGAATGAATAGATAAATATATAGGTAGGTAGGTAGATAGATAGATATAAAGGAAAATTTCATAGTATGATTAGCAATATGTAGTATATATGGGGTAGTAGAATAGACAGTAACTGGGAAAAGAGAATTAAAGCAAGTGCTTGTTCTGAAAATGTGCTTTTAAATGAGACTTCAAAAAGCAAAGTACAAAACTGATCACATCAAAAAGAACATTACAAAACTGATTATGCCAGCCAGTGTTTCATTAGTATTATTTTTCTTTAAAGTAGTTATGTTGTATAATTTTTATGTGTTTTAATCATTTGCTTTTATTTTTCTACCAAGTGGTTCTCCATCTTCTTTACCTATTTTCTACTGAATCGCAGTATTTTCCTCACTGATTTATGAGATATAAGCCTTTTCTTTTCTTTGTTTGTTTGTTTTGTTTTTTGAGACAGAATCTCACTCTGCCGCCAGGCTGGAGTGCAGTGGTGCCATCTCGGCTCACTGCAACCTCCACCTCCTGGGTTCAAGGGATCCTCCAGCCTCAGCCTCCTGAGTAGCTGGGACTAGAGGTGCGCACCACCATGCCCAGTTAATTTTTTGTATTTTTAGTAGAAATGGGTTTCACCATGTTGGCCAGGATTGTCTTGATCTGTTGACCTCATGATCCACCCACCTCAGCCTCCCAAAGTGCTGTGATTACAGGCATAAGCCACTGCACCTGTCCACCTTTACTTTTCTAAATGATTAAACTGAGTTATCAAATTGCTCTAAATTTATACATTAATATTTTGGGGAAAAACTGGAGATGTTTAATTTTTCATAATAATACTCTTGAATTTGACAACCATATGACTTGGCTACAGATAAGCTTTGCTGTATTTTCTTTAAAAAGACTTATTTTGTTTTTTTTTTTTGAGAAAAGTGCCAGTAACATAATCTCTATCAACATACAAAGCACAGCACTGAGCTATGATTTACAAAGAAAACCACAGAAAAATATTTGTAATAAGGATCAAATATTTAATATGTCATCCCATATTTTCTAAGCACAAGGAACATCGATTTATATTTCTTTCTAGAATTGAACCCCAACCTTGTCACTCACTCAGTCAAAGGCAAGTTGAGATATGAAAAGTGATGTATCAACTGTGATGACTATCTTTTTTTCTGTCTTTTGAACTCTGAAAGAAGACAAAGAAATTAATATCAATTTGAAAGTTTTTTTATTATACTTTAAGTTTTAGGGTTCATGTGCACAATGTGCAGGTTAGTTACATATGTATACATGTGCCATGTTGGTGTGCTGCACCCATTAACTCGTCATTTAACATTAGGTATATCTCCTAATGCTATCCCTCCCCCTCCCTCCCACCCCACAACAGGCCCCAGTGTGTGATGTGTCCATATGTTCTCATTGTTCAGTTCCCGCCTATGAGTGAGAACATGCAGTGTTTGACCCAGCAATCCCATTACTGAGTATATACCCAAAGGATTATAAATCATGCTGCTATAAAGACACATGCACACGTATGTTTATTGTGGCACTATTCACAACAGCAAAGACTTGGAACCAAGCCAAATGTCCAACAATGATAGACTGGATTAAGAAAATGTGGCACATATACAGCATGGAATACTATGCAGCCATAAAAAAATGATGAGTTCATGTCCTTTGTAAGGGACAAGGATGAAGCTGGAAACCATCATTCTCAGCAAACTATTGCAAAGACAAATTTGAAAGTTGTTTATAGTTCATACATTTTAAGTGGGAAAGAAATGAGAAATATCAAACATCACTTCGTTTTAGGGTTTTTGACTGTTGAGGCTCCTTTCAACAGCCTTTGATGTTATGATTCCAGCAGAAAACTTTCAATAGAGCCTTGGCAAGTCCAAGATTTACTTAGTTTATTTTGTGCTGCACTCACGACCAAAACATGACATGTAACAGAAATATATGGATTGTGAGGTCGAGATTACTGGTAGAATGCTGACCTTCAAACCTTCACCCATGGTAGATAAGTGACTACATGAGCTTAATTTTTGGCTTCTGTCATTTAAAATTCATTTTTTTATTTGCTCCTCTGCATTTAGAAGAGACATATCCCTTTGTCTTTAGTGATCAGGAACCAGAATAAACAGACCTGATATTTAACCTCAGCTCTGCTATTCAGTAATATCATTATATTACATAATGATACATGTATAATTGAATAAGTTTTCTGATCTTCAATTTCTTGATTTTTGTAAAACAGCTATAAAATTCCTATATTGTAGAATTGTAAGAATTAAATGAAAGAATGTTGCACTGCACTTGTCAGAGTACCTGCACACAGCCATTGATAAAGGTTATTATTACTTTTATCACATTTATTGTATTTTATACTTATACATATTAATATTATATTCCAAATGTATCCCTTAGCCTCAGTCCCCACTACACATACATTCCTCAGTCCCAATGTATTTAGAGAAGAGGAATTTTCAGTGAGCAAGGTGGGTAAAAGTAGTTATGTGACTACATTATAATTCAACACTGTTAGTTTTCTGTTTTTTTCTTCTATTTTCTATAGGAATGGGAGGCAAAAAAATACTAACCAATATTTGAACTGTACATGGCCTGTTGGTGAACTTCTCATGTTTCTGACCATGTGAAAAAAAGAGAAATCAGAATTTCATATGCATTATGGGGTTTTGTTTTGCTTTGCTTTAGCCCTAGTTTTTGTATGCTGGAAAATAGGATATGAAGTAGAAATAACCACGTGCTTGGGCAGTGTGGGAAGGGGGATAAAGAAGACAGTTACTTAGGCAAATTAGAATACACTAGAGCAATGGAAAATATAGGTAATTTTAATGAAATGGTTTCTCAATTAAAATTTCTAGTTATTCATTTCAGAACACCATAAGGAAGAATGATAAAAATCATACACCCACACAATCTTTAGATTTTTACTCTCTTGGAACCACATATGCCAAATTTCCAAGTAAATGTCAGTTTCCTTTTTACTCAACATATTAAAATCGTCTTTAAATTTTATAATTGCCCTAAAACATGAAGTTACTCTTTACTATTGCTCCTTGGAGAAAATTCACAAAATAAAGGAGAGAAGAAATTAATATTATTACAATTGATAAGGTCTTTTCAACTGCCCAGCTGTTTACCTAAAACAGGTTCAATACTAAACCTTTTTACGGTTATGATTAACATATGATTTATGATTAACAAAAATTTTCTGCCACAAACCATGTCTAATCACTGGTGACCTTGTTTATACTGGGACCTGTGATAAAAAGGGCTTCAATGTACTAAGTATGTTCAACCAGGACAATTAAAATTATATTGCCTGCCAGCTTTATGCAAAGTACTGCTCAAGGCATTGGGTAGAAAAGAGAACAATGCAGTAAATATACCTGCTTTCCCAGACTTATATTCTGAAATAGTGCACATTTTAAATCTCATTAATTCATACAACACCCCTGTGAAGTTAGCTGGTTGATTTTTTTGCCCATTTGAGAAATTAAATAACAGGCTTATATACATTAAGCACTTTCACTAACACATATGGAGTTCGAGGTGTTTTTTTATTCTATAACCCATGCTATTTTTATTATATTGTGGAAAGACAAAGTGTTCTTTATTTTGGGACAACTACTATAGACTGTCCAAAGAAAAGATAGCATACCTGACTACAACCTTGTTTCCTGGGTACAAAGAATTTGCTGATGGCAAGGTGGTATCTATTAATCCTGAGACAATCTAAAGTCTCCAACTCCTGCAGAGTTAGATAATATGTTCCTGCGAGAAATCCAGTGTGCCGAAACACTACCTGTCACACTTGGGCTGTAAAGTCTACCTTAATAAAGAGGAGGAAAAGGTGTGAAAACACCCTCTGGTCCTTTGTAACTGGTTACTCATCTTGAAACAGGAAACAGGAAAAGGATGAACGCAGACACGAAGCAAACAGTATTCATCTTTGGCTTTCTGGAGGCTTCTAAGTGATCGGATGAGTCATCTCTGCTATATTGTAAATTTCTAACAACAGGAGTCTCTTTCTCTTTTTATAGTCTAGTGGCCAGAAACAGAATGAAGCCTTTTCCTACCAGACTCCCCCAAATTTTATTTTTAATGAAGATAACTCTCAATAGATGAGATTCATTCATTTTATTCAGAAACGTTGGAGTAAGTTTAGGTAATATTAACAAATTCCCTGCTGTCATTTTCATTTTTAAAAAAAATACTTTCAAAATGATTTCATCATGAGAATATTACCAAAAGAAGTTTTTCTGAGGAACGAGATTAGTGTGAGTGTACAAGATAGACCTCATATTCATTTCAATGCTGAATTACCATTTTGGTGATATAGATTGCTGCTTTTAGATCATATCAGATTAAAACTTATTTAAAACTTCTGTCCTCTGGAAATCGGTAGCATGTATTCAACAGAACTTTAGTCCTTTGAAATATCCTATAAAAGAGGAAAGACTTCTGTAGTCAATTAAGTTTGATAAATACTCCAAATATTATTTTAACTCATGGAGAGTCATATGCATAAAAGCAGGCTAAATTCTCTGAACTACCCTGCAGAAATTGGATCTGACTAATTTTATTTAGTTCAATGACTCCAAAACATATCTTAACTACAAAACCCTTTTTCACATTGAACTTATTTACTACCTTTAGAACATGTTCTTAGGAGACATAAATTGAATTGCTATGATACAAGTCAAGCCGTTTCCAAACAGCCACATCCTCATATGAAAAATATAGTCGAGTTGTACTAGTTCCATGTAAAAGGAAATTTAAAAGCATTTTAGAAAGTATCGATCACAGAAATGAAAAATAGATGTGATAGGGTTTAAGGTTAGAAAATCTAAAACAAGATTTCCACAGTTTGATGAATTATCTCCAGCTTTAGAAAGGTAAGAGTTGTAGGGCATATCTAGGGAACCACATGTAATTGTGAATGGATTTAAGAATGATGGTGTCTGCATGTTCTCACTTATAAGTGGGAGCTAAATGATGAGAACACATGGACATAGAAGGGAAGAACGCACACTGGGGCGTATCAGAGGGTGGAGAAGGGGAAGAATGAGAGGATCAGGAAAAATAATCAATGGGCACTAGGCTATTAAGTGCCCTGGTGATGAAATAATCTGTACGACAAACCCCTATGACACAAGTTTACCTATGTAACACACATGCACGTGTGGCCTTGAATTTAAAATAAATGTTGGAAAGAATGATGGTGTCAAACCCAAGCGCTTCTGGGAGAAGAGTAAACAGATTATTTCAGATTATAACTTATTTAAAACTGTTATCTTTATTTAAAACTTTTGTCCATGTATCATAAAACAATGCTTGCAGATTATTGACCTTATGGTGTATTTATGATACATGGTTTTGTGATAAATGGACAAAGGTTCTAGGGAGCAAAAACACTGACATAAGAAGACTTAAGCTGCCATTGTGTTGTTTTCAAAGCTACTGTAATAGCTTCATAAATGATATCTCAGATTTCAATCACTTTCTGACTCACCCTCTGCGCAGGAGCTAGACTGATTATTTAAAAATGTAAATTACATTGCATGGTTTCCTTTCTGAAAATCTTCCAATCAAATCCACAGTCTTTACCTTCGTCTGTAAAGCCTTACTGGTCTGTCCTCTGATTCTCTCTGAACACATTTTTTACTCAGTTCCAACCCATGCTGATTTTCTCATGAAGCTGTGAAAATTCCAAGCACTTTGCTACGTCAGGGTTTTGCTCTTGTGATTCCTTTTGTCTGGAGTGCTTTTTCAGTAGCTGTACATGAGTTTCTTCAGCTCATTTTACAAGTCTCGCTTCGGATGTGCGCTTCTTGGTGAGGACGTCCCTGACCACTCTCCTCCACTCCCTTTCCCTGATTCGCTCTTTTTTTTTTTTTTTTTTTTTTTTTTTTTTGAGACGAAGTCTCGCTCTGTCCCCCAGGCTGGAGTGCAGTGGTGCAATCTCGGCTCACTGCAAGCTCCGCCTTCCGGGTTCACGCCATTCTCCTGCCTCAGCCTCCCGAGTAGCTGGGACTACAGGCGCCCCCCGCCACTCCCGACTAATTTTTTTGTATTTTCAGTAGAGATGGGGTTTCACCGTGTTAGCCAGGATGGTCTCGATCTCCTGACCTCGCTATCTGCCCATCTTGGCCTCCCAAAGTGCTGGGATTACAGGCGTGAGCCACCGTGCCCAGCCCCTGATTCGCTCTTCTGCATTGCACTTAGCACTAGCTGATATTATACTTCAGATTTATTTGTCTGCTGACTCTCTCTACATTAACTGAAGTGATGCTAAATGCTGTGAGAGATAAGCCTTGAAATTTTAACAGCGTAATACAGTAGAGGATAGTTTTCCCAGTTGTATGAATCTGAACCTTGGTGGCAGCAGTGAGATGAGGCTGGGGATCTGCTCCATACAGTCATTCAGGAATAAAGACTGACTTCTGTAGCCTGCGGCATTCAAGTTTGTCCAGGCGTCTTCATATAGCAAGCAGGCAAGGGAAGAGAGGAGAATCAATGGCATGTGGGAAATACGTATTAGCCAGGCCCAAAATAGTGCACATCACTTTCTTTCACACTCTTTCGGCCGCAACTCAGTTCTATGGACAAACATCACCATAGAAAAAACTGGGATATGCAGTTCCGCGGTCTGTCAAGAAAAAAAGAGGAGAGAGGTTCAGCGAATAGCTGCCTGTGTTCTGTCACAGTTACGTTAGAAGGTAAATTTCATGCAGGCAGGGATTTTGTTTTGACTGCTATTATATCGCCATCATCTAGGACAGTGTCTGGCAAATAGTACTCTACTAAAAACTCTATATTGAACTTAAAAAATAAATATAAAGACCTCATACTCATACAATGCTTAGTATGTGTCAGGCACTGGTCTGTGTGCTTAACATGGAGCACTCTTCAAAATGACCCTATGTGGTACGGGCTATTAGTGTCTACATTTTACAGATGAAGTTCATGGGGCAAAGAGATGAGAAACATTCCTGAAGTCATAGAGCTAGTAAAAGTTGGAGTAGAGACTCGAATCCAGTTTATCTGGGTCCAGAACTCACTTGGCTGCGTTACTTACTTACCTGCGTTACACAGTGTACTCTAGACATGGGTTGAATGAGTAATTACATAAATAGGAAATTTCAAAAAGTTAGACGAATCCATTCTCTTCGAGATAGGCACCCTTATAAAAAGTGAAGTCTTCCATGATGTAGGTATAATCAGAAGCAGAAGAGTGTCATACAATGACGGTGAAAAAGAAATTCACCTGGGTGAACATTTGAATTTGGCACATCTAACAATTGTCATAACTAAATTTCTAAGATTTTCTGCTTCTCCATCCTAATCACATAATACATTTTTCATGCTCTAGCGAAGTAAATACAATTAGAATCCATTCCAGTTTTATTAAATGTCTTAATTCTTTATTTTCTATTGTTTTGGCTATTTCATTTGGAAGGGTGTTAGAAAAGCCCTTTGATAAGAAAGTTCACCTTCTGTCTTACATCTCAATAAGAGAGGACTTAGGTGTAGGATTTATAGACTGAAGAAGAAATGTTAAGCCTAAATTCTAATTCAGAAATATATTTTTTGATATGTCTTTAAATATCATCTATAAAACCTACTTCCTTGATATAATAAAAATATGTATAAATTAAACAATCTAGAACAGACACAGGTTGCATTCTGACTTTTGTGTACAGGGTCATGGTTTCTGCACCTAAAAAAATGTAACACAGGAAATAAGAGCAATTATGAGATACTACAATGTATAAATGTTTTAATTTATAAAAGCCTTAGATTTTTGTTTGTACATTTAAAAAATAATATCAAGCATATTATTTATGAGAAAAATCTATTGTTGCTTAGTTATTTTAAAAGTTATAAATACATGGGATTTTGTGACAATCAGATATTGATTAATTAACTGAACAAAAGTTTCCAATGAGTATTGATAATGATCAGACGAATGAGTTTAGTGATTTCAATCCATTTTCAGTGGCCAGATCGCTGTTATCCTATATGGTTTTGTTCCTGCTTTTGTTGCTGCTACAGTTTTTAGGTAGCGCAGGAGTGAGGGAAGAAGGAAAGATAAAAGGGAGAGAAAAAAGAAATAAAGTAAAAATTTGAGATAGGTACTCTGAATTGTGTTAATGCTTTTTTTCATACCTCGCTCAGATGACTGGCTGGATGGCTTGCATATTTATGTATGCATATGCATATGTATGTATATATTTATGTATTATAGATTTATCTGGTGACTTCAGTACTCTACAGAAGTATTCTTTGTTCATTAATGTGCTTAGAATTATTTGATTATTGCAAGTAACCACAAAACAATTATGAGTACACACACCTAATGAGATAGAAGGTAGACAGCAAAATAAAATGTAATTACCTTCTTCCCCTACTCACATTTGGTGGTGTACTGCTGTGCAATAGTGAAGTAGACTGCTCTTAAAATCTTTTATTATGTCCTCAAAAGTTATCTTCTCAACCTTCTCAAACTCTAGCCTACTGGCCTCATGGATAATAGTACCCATTGGCTTACTTTTTTTTTTTTGTGGGTATCTTCTGAAACCATTATTAAAAGCTTTATTAAAATGTTTCAACTGTGTCCTTGCTAAGCAAATGTTCCCAGTAACCACAAACTTAATATTTAGAAATCATGTAACAGTCTTAAGACCTTTGAAAACATTATAGGTGCCCTTAAATATAAAATGTAAGAGGATCCCCAGTGGCATCCTCTGTATACATACTAAAACACAGCAAGGAAAAACACCAGGTTAGGTTTTCCCATCTTGAGCACCAAGGACTCCAGAATTGTATCCACTAAGGAAGTTTTTGTTGTTGTTGTTTATGTAAGCCATCCAGCCAGTCAGCAGACAGTGATGTATGATAAAGCACTAAGATAATTGGGGTTATCTAACTAAGATTTTGACTTTATTTCTTCTCTTCCTTTCCTCCTTTTTTCCTTCCTCCCTATCACTCTCTCTCTTCCACACAACAATACCAGCAACAAAAAACATATCGCTTAGCGGTGATCTGACCACTGGAAATCAATTGAAGTCACTCATCTGATCATTATCATACTCATTGGAAACTGTTCCTCAGTTAAGAGTAACAAAATCCCATGTATTTATGAATTCTTTTTTTTTTTTTTTTTTTTTTTTGAGACAAAGTCTCACTCTTGTCCCACTGGCTGGAGTGCAATGGCGCCATGTCAGCTCACTGCAACCTCCGCCTCCCGGGTTCAAGCGATTCTTCTGCCTCAGCCCCCTGAGTAGCTGGGATTACAGGCACTTGCCACCACCCCCTGCTAGTTTTGGTATTTTTAGTAGAGACGGGATTTCACCATGTTGGCCATGCTGGTCTCGAACTCCTGACCTTAGGTGATCCTCCCACTTCAGCCTCCCAAAGTGCTAGGATTACAGGTGTGAGCCACCACGCCAGGCCATATTTACAATTTTAAAAATGACAACTACAATTTTTCACTCGTAAATAGTATGCTTGATATTCCTTTAAAATGTACAAACAAAAAATCCAAGGCTTTTCTACATTAAAAACTTTTATATGTTGTAGCATCTCACAAATATGTGTATGTATAATTAAATAATATGAATGAATATATAAAGATGATTAATCAGAATAATTCCACATACCCACTAATAAAACTGAGCTTAAGGAGTAAGGATTCCCTTACATATTGTTTGATTATAGCAAGAGGAGGAGTTCAAAAAAAAATTGAAAGTGAGATATTTTTGGTGGCCTTCACTCTCTATGCTATTTTTGTTTTAATATCCACAACACCTCACATATACAGATTCTTTCAGACACATGCATGGGTCATAAGTGCACCTATTTGCTCAGTCATCCATTAATTCATTAATTTATTCAATAAATATTTATGTGTGATAAACATGGTCCCTGCGTTTAAATAACTTACCATTTCAGAGACAGAGAGAAACAAACAAATGTTAATGATATGGCTTGACAATTGGCTTAGTGAAGATATATGCAGATGCTATAATGGGAACAGAAGATGAAGGAAACTCTATTTGGCCTAACAGATGTAAGAAATAGATAAGGTAGCTAAAAGTTGCAGAACAACTAGAAAGTATTGACATGGATAAGGCAGAATCCTCCAATCCATGAACAATTATGTAAAAGAAGATGATGTGTTCAGAGAGTTAAATGTGCTTTAGCTTTATTAGGTGGGAAAGTGGAAAGAATAAGACACAGGGAATGAAAGTCCAGGAAAGGAAGAATATTTTTTAAATTAAAATTAGATACCTTAATTTACACAAGTGTTGATGATAAAAAGATGTAACGTTGCTTGTTGTGAGTTGAATTGTGTTTTCAAAAAATGTATGTTAAAGTCCTAAGCCCTGGTAGTTATGTTACCTTATTTGAAAACAGAGTCTTTGCTGATATAATCAGGTTAAAATGAGATCAGGATTTAGGTGGGCCCTAACTCCAATGACTGGTGTCTTAAAAATAAAAATAAATTAGACTTACAGGAAGACACACATAGTGGGAGGAAGGCCATATGAAGATGGAGACAGAAATTGAAGTTAAGGTGCCACAAACCAAGGGATGCGTGGAGTTACTAAAAGCAAGAAGAGACAAGGAAAGATTCAGCCATAGAGCCTTCAGAGAGACTGTGGCCTGGCCATATTTTAGTTTTGGGCTTCTGACTTCCAGGAAGTGTAAGAGAATAAATTGCTGCTGTTTTAAGCCACCTCATTTGTGACACTTTGTTATGGCCGCCCTAGGAAACTAATATACTGCTAAAGTGCATTCAGTTTTTAAAGGTCACAAAATATAGAAAAAGCTTCATCACAGAAATTGCTTCTCAAGTGTTAATTTACATGTTATGGCACTTGGGTCAATGCTGCTAATCTTACCTGTATTCACTAGGGTTCTCTAGAGAAGCTGAACCAATAGAATATATATAAATGAACATGTACGCAGGATTTATTAATATTATGAGAATTGGCTTATGTAATTATGGAAACTATGAAGTACCACAATATGCTGCCTGCAAGCTGGATAACCTGGAAAGCGGGTGGCATAACTCAGTCCCAGTCTGAAGAATGGCAGGGTTTGGGGCAACTGGTGTTAAGTCCCAGTGTTTGAAGGTCCATGAACCAGAAGTTCTGATATCTGACGGCAGGAGAAGATGCATGTCCCAGCTCAAGAAGAGAGAGAGAATTCAAACTTCCTCCACCTTGTGGTTATATTAGGGCACTCAACCAGTTGAATGATGCCTGCCCACACTGGTGAGGGGAGATTTCTTTGCTCAGTCTACTAATTCAAATGTTAATCACTTTCTGTGCCTTGCTTATTTTACCTACTGTAATATCCTCCAAGCCCATCCATGTTTCAGTCAATGACAGTATTTCATTCTTTTTTATAGATAAATAGTATTTCATTGTGTATATATGCCACATTTTCTTCATTCATTCATCTGCTGATGGACATGTTGGTTGATTTTATATCTTGGCTATTGTAAATAGTGTTGCAAGAAACAAGGGAATGCAGATACGACTTTGACATACTGATTTTCTTTCCTTTAGCTTTGATTATATTTGATTAGCTTTGGATGTATACCAAGTAGTGGGATTGCTAGACCATATGGGAGTTCTATTTTTAGCTTTTGGAGAAACCTCCATACTGTTTTCCATAATGGCTGTACTAATTAACATTCCCACCAACAGTGTATAAAAGTTCCCTTTTCTCCCTGTTCTCACCAGCATTTGTTATGTTTTTGTCTTTTTGATAATAGTCACTCTAACTGGGGTGAGACACAGTAAGTATCACATGTTCTCACTCATATATGAAAGCTTAAAAATTTGACCCTGTAGCAGTAGAGAGTAGATGAGTGGTTCCTAGAGTCTGGGTAGGGTATGGGGAAGGGAAGAATAGTCAGAAATTGGTTAATGGATACAAAATTACAAGATAGGAGGAATAAGTTCTAGTGCTCTATAACACTATAGTTAACAGTAATTTATCTTGTATTTTCAAATAACTAGAAGAGAGGTGATATGGTTTGGCTGTGTCCTAACCCAAATCTTATCTTGGGTTGTAGTTCCCATAATCCCCACATGTCATGGGAGGGACCCAGTGGGAGGTAACTGAATCATGGGGTTGGTTATTTCCATGTTGTTCTCATGATAGTGAGTAAGTTCTCACGAGATCTGATGGTTTTATAAGGGGCTTTTCCCCCTTTGCTCAGCTCATTCTGTCTCCTGCCACCCTGTGAAGAGGTGCCTTCCGCCATGATAGTAAGTTTCCTGAGTCCTCCCCAGCCATGCAGAACAGTGAGTCAATGAAACCTCTTTCCTTTATAAATTACCCAGTCTTGGGTATTTCTTCATAGCATCGTGAGACCAGGCTAATACAAGAAGATTTTGAATGTTCCCAACATAAAGAAATAATCAGTGTTCAAGGTTGTAGATATGCTAATTACCCTTACTTGATCATTACACATTGTATACATGCATCAAAATATCACCCTGTACCCCATAAATATGTACAATTATTATATGTTAATTAAAAATAATATTTTTATAAGTGAGATAGCTACATTTTTAATGCTAACTTTCCCCAGAAACATCCTCACAGACACACCCAGAAATAATGTTTTACCAGCTATCTGGGTATCATTTAACCCAGTCAAGTTGACAGATAAAATGAGCATCACACCACCTCAAATTCTACTACGTAAGTAATTGTAATTTTTATAGATTCATAATTTGACTACCTCTTCGTCATTAATTTAACACCCGACTGGTATGACTCATTGGATTCTGAGAATGACACTGTACCTAGTTAGAAAGTAACTACCAGCCAGGCATGGTGGCTCACGCCTGTAATCCCAGCACTTTGGGAGGCCGAAGTGGGTGGATCACGAGGTCAGGAGATAGAGACCATCCTGGCTAACACAGTGAAACCCCATCTCTACCAAAAATACAAAAAATTAGCCGGGTGTGTTGGCAAATGCCTGTAGTCGCAGCTACTCGAGAGGCTGAGGCAGGAGAATCGCTTGAACCCAGGAGGCAGATGTTGCAGCGAGCCAAGACTGCACCACTGCACTCCAGCCTGGGCGACAGATTGAGACTCCATCTCAAAAAAAAAAAAAAAAAAAAAAGAAAAAGAAAGTAAGAAAGTAACTACCAAGTGGTTATGCAATCAATACTTGAATACCTCAAATAATTATAAACTGATTACCTTCAACGACAGTCTATTCTACTCTTGGATAGTTTTGACAGGTAGAATTTTTTTATGTTGAGCTGAAATTACATTTCCTGTTTCCTGTCAACCCTACCTTTGGTTCCTGTTCTATACCACGAGGTACACAAAGGAGTTTGAATCACACTTTTCCAGAATAACCCAGAAACCCTGATTCCTGCCCAGTCGTCTCAAAGTCTGTTTGCTTTCTACAGACTCAACACCCTCACATCCTTCCAGCATGACTCACGTGGCATGTTTCCAGTTTACAGCACTGTTTCCGTTGCTCCCCTCAACTTGTTTACATTAGCTATGTGCACTGGCATTTCAGCTACATGTCTTTTTGCTGCTAGTCATCAGACTGTTGGGTTCTGTTCTCCTGTGACATCACTGCATGACTAGCTTGCCCAAGTAAAACAAGGTTTAATTAAATCTTAATGTTGCACCCAGCTCTTTACAGAACTAACTGTTATTTTCACATCCTTGTGCTATTAGCAGAATACATAATGAGAGTGTATGGAGCACAGAATCAGCCCCACTTATAAAGAGTAGCATTTTGTCACTCACTCACGGTCTATTTGCACTAAGCCTACTTTTTGGCTCACCACAGAGGTCTCAGTTTTCCCCCACAGACAGATAAACTTTTATTTGTGGTAGTGTTTGTTCTTTTTGAGTTACTCAGGTGGCATCATAAAATCATTAAAATATATTAATATGTCTTTGAAAAGAAGCTATTTAATATATTTAGTGCAGAAAGTTTTGGGGATTACCCCACTCATGCTGCTATTATCCAGTTACCTTTTTCACATTTATGAATTGTCTAAATGGAAACCACTAGTCTCTGAGCACTCCAAATGCAAGTAACCCATAAAATATTCTGTATTTAAACTGATAATCACTTCTCTTTCATTTTTAAATTATGACAGAAATGATTATCAAAGTTATTCTCTGGGGGAAAATTACAAAGTGATACCACTCAAGTACTTGTGAGATTACTAATTTTTAAACCTGCTCATAAATCCTCAGGAAATGTACAATACCTCAATTATTAAATATTAATCCAGTAAGACTTATTCCAATGGTTGACTATTCTTGTCTGCCTTAGAGAAGTCCCAGAAAGAGTATGATGACGTGGATTAAAATATACATGCAACTTGTCAACAACTTTAGTTGTCTCCAACAGCTAAAGGCAAATATGAAAAAAAACACACAATGTGTGGAAGTATTATACTGTACCATTGAACTGATAATGATGTGAATATGTTCTTTTAGGCAATTCATCTCTTGATTTCTTTTTACTTCAGGTGATAGTAATGATGTGGTCTCTTTATTTTGAAATAAAAAACGGAGAGCCTAGCAGGCTTCCTAGACACCAGACTTCTAATTCTCATGTTAAAATAAATAAGGATAAAGTGGCTACATAGATTTAACTCCACTTTAGATAAAAATACTGTGGCATAGAATATTGAACTATCTTTCCAACCCTTCACAGGCCATGGAAGAGTAGAATATCAAGTTTGGGTATAAATGTTCTCATTTTAGTTCTTACTATGCAAACCAAATTCTTTTAAAATATATATAAAAATATTTCACTTTTAGTAATGTCTGTCTACAAACTCTCTCACTGTCTGTGGTACATATTTGTTAACATGTATAAAGATCACGATATTATTTTTACATAATGATTAATTCCTTTCTTTAAAAAAATCTCAAGCAAATTCACAATTAGAATTTGGAAGCATAAATGAAATTTTTTTCTTGATTTTCTAAGTGATGTAAAGTTTTTATAGGTCAACATAAAAGTAATCAACTTTATTGTTTTTGTTATTAATTTTTGCAATAGTTCTAGAGTCAATGTAGAGTGTAGTGAAACCAGTTTTATGAATTCCGCTTGAGATATTTTTGTTGGAGTTTAATAGACTAAAAATTTTGAAAATGTTCAAGCAGAAGAGAAGTTATAAAAGACTCATCACCAACACCTGGCCCAGTGCATAGCTAATTCACAGTAAATGTTTATTAAGGGAATGGCTGACTGATAGACTGACAGATGGACTGACTAACTGACTAAATCAGTGACTATGAAAACATATTCATACACTGAACTCAAATCCAAGATTATTTTGAAGCTCCATAGCTTTTGATGAATATCGCTTCTCAGCCTTTTGGCTAAGATCAAGTGTAATTAACAGCAACTTCTTTCTGATAGCAGATAATAATAGAGGCCCTTTTCTTGGTCATTCATTTTCTGCAAGGGAACAGTAAGGCTCAATGAATTCGAAATAAATATGAAACACTGAGATTTCCCATTTAGATCTTCTTATTTATTTATGAAAAAAATGGCCTCTCTATGTAAGCAAGGCATCTCACATGACTCCAAAGGGCATTCATTCTCCAGAAGCAGCCTCTGTTGAAAGCCCTGTCATGGGAAATGGCAGATTTCTGCATGGCTCCTCAGAGAAGTCAACAGGAGGCTTACATTTCTTTCTCTGCCATTGAGAGAGGCTCCAGTTAGCGATAAGAATGCACCTCAACTCTCAAACGTAGACCACCTCAACTAACCACATTCAGCATTAAGATTTCCTAACAGCAGTCCTAACCTTGAATCTTTTCTTGTGGTATTTTTCACTTCTAATCCACAAGCAAATCCTATTAAGATTTCTTCCAAAGTATATTTCAAAACCAGTCTACATTTCTGTGTCCATTTCTACAGCTGTGTTTGAAACCTTTATCACTCTTTCCTAGACTTCTGAAATACTACTGAACTTTCCTCTCTGCACTCAATCTTACCTTTACAATCCATTTTCTACACACTGGTTATTATCATCTTTAAAAAACTCAGATCAATTGCTCTCTCCACTTATATCTTAGAAGATTCCATTGCAATGAGAATGAAATCCAACAATACTGACAGGAGCTGCAAGTTCCTGCATTGTTTGATTTCTGTCTAGCTCTCTGATTTCAATTTCTAGCAATGTCTTTATAATACTCCAGAAGCAATGTTTTTTTGTTCGTCCTTGGACAGGTTAAGTATTGCAAGCTGATCTAAGCTTCTTTGGCCCTGCACAACACACAGGCATGTAGACTTCTTCTTTTTTTTTTTTTTTTCTTTTGAGAAGGAGTCTTGCCTGGAGTGCAGTGGCATGATCTTGGCTCACTACAACTTCTGCCTCCCGGGTTCAAGCAATTCTCTGCCTCAGCCTCCTGAGTAGCTGGGATTACAGGCACCTGCCACCATGCCCAGCTAATTTTTGTATTTTTAGTAGAGACTGGGTTTCACCATCATGTCCAGGCTGGTCTTGAACTTCTGACCTCGTGATCCACCCACCTCAGCCTCCCAAAGTGCTGGGATTACAGGCATGAGCCACTGCGCCTGGCCAGACTTAATTTTGGTAAATAATAATTGCCAAAGAAGCCTGAGCCCTCTGGGTGAGGGTTAGCTATGCCCTCAGTACTAGGTTATACTGAAGTAAGTCACTGACTTAATTTTGGTAAATACAAAGACTTATTAGACAAATATGCTTTCAATAGTGAGCAAGCAAGCAACAGTTTTTATAACCTAAGTGCAACAAAATTCCACCTTTTTTTTTTTTTTTTAGGTTTTCCAAATGCCACCTTTCAGCAGACAGCATTCCAACCTCATGGTTGGATCAATGTTCTTCTCACCCATGGCTAGACAGAGAACCAGTTACAGATCAAGCTTTGAGTATCATCCCTAACTTAAAGATACATGCCTCTGGCCTCACTAGATTCTTAAATGGTCTTAATCTAATTGTGAGTAGTATCTCAAATATATCTTTGTCAATCCATATATGTTGAACACCATTAATTTCACCAATAAAGGCTATTTATTTTATCACCCCAATCATTGACACATTTATTTGCTGGAAAATGACAGTTTCTGATATTTGCTATGATCATTAGCTGCCTGGTGTTGATGAAAAATGAAAAAAATAAGTGTTAGTAGCTATCTTTCGAACATGACTTTTTAATATAATCCTAGCAAATATGGTTTCTTTTTTTTTTTTCTTTTGATACAGGGCCTTGCTCTGTTGCCCAGGGTGCAGAACAGTGGCATCATCAAAGCTTACTGCAGCCTCTATCTTCTGGGCTCTAATGACCCTCACTGCTCAGCCTCCCAAATAACTTGGACTATAGGCATGTGCCACCAAACTTGGCTATTTTCCTTTTTTTAGAGATGGGGCCTCGCTATATTGCCGAGGCTGATCTTGAACTCCTGGCTCAAGCTAACCTCCTGCTTTGGCCTACCAAAGTGCTGAGGTTACAAGCATGAGCTATCATGACTGGCCCGGATTCTTAATTTAGATAAGTGACCCTTCCTTTCCTGGAGTGAGTCAAAGCAAAAGTAGCTGAAACTTATATAATAATACTGAAGTAGTTTCTAATAAGTTGAACACATTTTAACATTAAGATCACTTCAGAAATTTTGCACTGTTGTTGGCTTTGTTAGGAAATGGCGTGAATATGTTTCCTAAGGCTTTTCACATGTCTGGCTCTTTCTCATTCTTCAGGTTTAAGCCCAAATTTCACCTTTCAACTAGTCGTTCCATTGCCAATCTGTTCATAGAAGACTAATAATAATAATAAAGTAATAATGGTAACTACAACTATACTAATAGTAATTTTGAGCATTTCTATTTGCTAAGCACTGGGTTAATCTTTGTGTATTTATTAATTCATTTAGTCCTCAAAATAAGCCTATGAAGTGGAATATTCAGCTTCAATTTACAGAAGACAAACCTGAGGCACAATATCTTGCCAACACAACATAATAGAGAAATGGCAGAGCTGGGATTTGAATCCCCAATCCAAAGCTTACGCTCTTCAGTTAAGAAACCCTGTCTGACCCCAACCTTGTCCTTATCACATCACCCTGTTTATTTCTCCATAATTTTTACCCTAATCTGTAAATATTTGTATTTACTTAATTGTTCTGTCTCATTTATCAATAAATGTTTCTCAAGAATTGTTCTTTCTCATGCTTTCAAGAAAATATAGATATCTTGAGAGCCAGGACCTTGCCTAGCCTGTTCATTACTCTGTCACAGGATCTAATACTATCCCTGGTGCATAGTTAGTGCTCAATTTATTGTTTTTCGCAAATGAGTGAGGGTGGTAGAACTCAGATACAGCACTGCTAATTCCAATCTTTCATTGCCCATTTCATTTCACCGTCAAAAGGAACGCCATGAGATTTGGAATTGCTAAGTTTCTATGACATTCTCTGCTACCTGTGTCTTGCATCTGATGTCATATGAATTCAAGCATGGATTTACTAAGGCCTCTTTTGACATCTGACAAAAAAAACTGCTCACCTTTATGGAAAAAACCACTCACCTTTCTTCTATTCTCTGCACTATTGCCAGAGCAATACTTTTAGAATCAAGCTTGCTTAAAATCCATCAGAACTTCTGCATCTGCATGATTTTAAGGATCATGTCCAAACTCCTTATCATGACATATGAGACAGCTCATTAATTTGTGTGCCTAATCATGGATGTCAATTTGTTACATTCACACTTCTATGTGAGTATGTGTACCTACACACTAAACACACACACATAAACTCACACACACATACTTGCCACCTCTCACACTAATCATTCTGAATTTCTTGTTCATTGAAGGGAAGGTGTCAGGCTCTTTTATAGGATCTTCCCGCCGACTAGTGAGATCTTCTATATTTGCTTAATTAACTAATGCCTACTTGGTTTTGAAGCCTCATTTCTTCAGATAGTTGTCCTTGATTCTCCTCAGTCTTATCTAGCTACCTCTGATACCACCTAATTCATAAATTGTTTTATCATAGACTATGTCATATTATTCTATAATTGTTTGTATACGCTACTACCTCATTCAATAGAGGGTGGGTTCCTTGAGGTAGGATCTGTGTTGCTTTTAGCACAGTGTTCTGTCCAGAATAGGTGCTCTAGAAATATTTGATGAAAAAATCCATAAGAGGAAAAAAGGAATAAGCTCTAATCCTAAAGCAACCCCAGACATGAGAATAATCTGTGGCAAACTGTCCTTCAGAGGTATGTTCACTTGCTAGCTGCATTTTATAACTTTAGTGGATAGGGCCAACATTATTCCCTGGTGATGTCAATATGGCCCCTTCATCAGTCTGAAAATCGGCTGGCAATGAAAATACATGAAGTCTGGAAGCTGTTTATGAAACTATGAAGGTGAGTCAATAGACTCTGTTCCAAGTTGGCAAGAAGAGACATCGTCCTAAACATCCAAAGCGCCATAATTCACATTGAGCTTCTCATTAATTTAAATGTTAATGTAAATTTAAAACATGTTGTATTGATTTGGAACTATTTTTATATGAATATTGCATAACTGAGCTTCTAACAGCAGAGTCCAAATGGACATTCCTTCACATTAACTTATTATAATTAAGAAAACAAGTGAACTTTCACCTTTTTTGTCATGTAAAATCATTTGTTTTAGTTACAACGTTTAGCTATGAGAAGCTATGAGAACTTCTGCCTTTGAGTGCAATTGCTTTAGGCTGCTCTGAGCAAAAAGATCCATTTCCAAGTTGATTATTTTAGGGTATTGAACATTTAATTTCAAATATGTATAGAGATTTGTGACTTTCTCATTTCATTGGTGAGTCAAATAAAGTTACCATGACAATGCTGGTTACTTTAGTCTCTTTCGTTAGTACTTCAGTCATAATCTCTTTTTATTGAGATTTATATTTCCAAGGGAAAATGTAATTTACAGAAGATATTCCATTTTATTAGTCCCACATGAAATAAATTATGATGATGAGGATGCTGACAATACCTGGATATCTATGTATATGCTTACTCTGGGACAGACCCTGAGCAAAGTACCCTATAGAAATTTCCTCATTAAATCCCAAAGCAGCATAAAAGGGATGGACCTCTCATTATCCTGTTTCACAAATTAGGATAGTGACCCATAGAAAGATGAAGCCACTTTTCTAAAGATCTACAAACAGGAAGTGATGCTGCTGACCTTAGATTGTCTGACTCCAAGGTCTTCTGCAACCTATGCTCCCCGAGTCTTAAACTGCCCAGTGTGATTGACACATTGAAGCCTAGAGATGTGAATTTCTTGGCCGGGTGCAGTGTTTCACACCTGTAATCCTTGCAGTTTGGGAGGGTGAGGCAGGTGAATCACCTGAGGTCAGGAGTTTGAGACCAGCCTGGCCAACATGGCAACACCCCATCTCTACTAAAAACACAAAAATTAGCCAGGCATGGTGGCACATGTGTGTAATCCCAGCTACCTGGGAGGCTGAGGCAGGAGGATCCCTTGAACCCAGGAGGCGGAGGTTGCAGTGAGCTGAGATCGCACCACTGCACTCCAGCCTGAGTGACAGAGTAAGACTCTGTCTCAGAAAAAAAAAAGTGAATTTCTTTTTTAAAACATGCAATATAAACATACAATTGAGGATTCAGTGCTACCATTGAGAAGCTGGGTAGATGGATGAAATCCTAAAACCTGCTTTCTGGTTCCTGAACATATTGTATCTTATTCCCTTCACCTGTGCAGTATAACATTTAGTGAATCGATTGGTGAGTCCCTTCCAGCCCCACATTTAATGAATCTACATAATATGATTCACTTTGTTCTAATCAACAAACCCCCTGCCTTGTTCTCTTCACAACCACCTGTCATAGTACTTCTCTTATCTGATGCTATGTCCCTTCAGGCAGCCCCACCAAGCTCAGTTCTCTGTACTAAGAATCCTGGTATAAACAAATTTATTTGAAACTCATTAAATACCAAGTAGAAAACTCAGATTGAAAGAAGGAGGAGACATCATTTTGTTCCCCTGAACATACAATTGAAATGGAATGCAAAAATTAGATTCCTGAGAAATTAGACAAGGCATTCAGGTATGAAAAGATCAATATCAACTGATGCATTCAGAGGCTAAGATACAATCGATCTGATAGAATCTACTTCAATTGAATATGTACTGGCCCAGAAGTAGCCATCAAGCTTTGTAGTGCCAGGATACATAGCACAGTTCATAGTAAGAAAAAGTATAGGCTTGGGGATTAAACAGACTTGCTAATTCTGCCATTTATCTCTTTCTGGGTTAAACTAAGTTGTTTAACTGACTTAAACATCCTTACCTCTGTTTCTTAATCTATAAAAGGAGAATTATAATCCAAATTTTTATAGCATAGTTATGAAGCTTAATTTGTACAGTAATGTAGAGAGATTAGCCCAGTGCATTAGAAGTATAATGCAAGCTTAAATTAGTTTCTTTTATTCTAATAATAGTAGCAAACAAATCTGATATGCCAGTTTTAAAATTATCTTTGCAAGTAGTAATTCCAGCTATCACTCAACCCTTCAGTTTTAGGAAATGTATTGTTTTTTCAAGACAACAACAAATTAAATATGAACATTTCAACCAAAAATACCTTTTTCCCTCTGGAAGATATGTGAGGGGAAAAAAATCATCATATCATGCTAAATTCTGTAAGCTATCTTACATATTGTTGGTGGTTTCCCCAGTCCTTTCAGAATTTCAACTTCTCTTTAACATCAGGATAGCTGAAGGATGGACAACTGACCTACTGGTCATTAGACTCCAAAGAGTTATTAATCTTTTGAGTTAAAAATAAAATTGTACTAAACTCCGTCAGGTAGATAATTAATTTTTTTTCAAGTAATACATGAATCTCAAATTCGTTGATTACAACCACCTTAGTATAACTTACCTACAAATAACTCATGCTCGAGAGAGAAGCTAACAATTGGCATATATAAGTATATAAAAATTCAGGCTTTATTTAAGCATGGGAGTTTTGCTTCCACAAAATCTTCCTGATCATTCTACCCATATCAAAACATACCCTCAGAAGGAAAATTATCACAGAATTTGAAAGATGGAAGGGTCCTTAGTGGCAATTTTGTACGAAGCTTTTTGTTTTATATGTGGAGCAATTAAGACTCAGTAAGTTTTGGATTCTTGCCCAAAATTGTCTGGCTAATTATGACAGGGTTATGAATTGAATCCAGTTCTAATTCTCAATCCAATGTCTATATTTACTTATTTTCTGTGATGCTATATCAAACTGAGGAATATGTAAATTACAGTGTATATTTTCTATTTATTTATTTATGTATTTATTTTTGAGACAGAGTCTCACTCTGTCGCCCAGGCTGGAGTGCAGTGGCGCGATCTCAGCTCACTGCAAGCCTCTGCCTCCAGGGTTCACACCATTCTCCTGCCTCAGCCTCCCGAGCAGCTGGGACTACAGGCGCCCACCACCATACCTGGCTAATTTTTTGTATTTTTAGTGGAAATGGGGTTTCACCGTGTTAGACAGGATGGTCTCGATCTCCTGACTTCGTGATCCACCCACCTCTGCCTCCCAAAGTGCTGGGATTACAGGCGTGAGCCACCGCGCCCGGCCATTTTCTAGTTTTTTAATGTCAGTTTCAGCTATTAGAGTTGAAATAAACAGATAATTATCTGTATTGTTTTTAGCTCATGGCCAGAGGGAAGAAGTAAGAGCAGGAAGTCTTTTAAATTTATGTACAATAAGCTATTTACAGATAAAAATCTTTTCCAGTGAAATTCATATGACACATTTCAATAAAATGCAATGACATTAAAAAAGAAATGAAAGACTAATAAATCTAGAGTTGGTAAACTAAATCAAATAGATATATGTATATATTTATATGTTGTATATATATAATACATACACATATATACATATACATATTTGCTATAGTTTACCCATGTCTTGATTTGTTAGTTATGTAACACACACATGTATGAAAGACATTCTGTGATTTTAAATTACTAAATTATATTGAGGGAATGGAACAGGCAGGGATGTCTAACACTAAATTTGTTTTCACTTGTATAGCATGATTTTAAAATATGATATTTATGTTATCTTCCTGCAGGTATAAAGAAGTATCTGCAGAAATCCAGAGCACTTATTAAACTTCTTTGAGTTTTCTCAGGAAGATCAATACCTGTTGGAGAAATTTTACTAAGGTAAGTTCCAAATACCACTAATCTATTCTTTAGGGGCTTCCATTCTAGCTGCTCTAGTTCAGAACAAAGTGAGGTTCACTAAGTCAAAAAAAAATAGACAAATAGAAAACCAGGCATTGCTTTTATTAATGATGCAGTTAATATTTGGGGATAACATTTCAGTGCATGCGGCAAAAACGAACTTCATAATATTTAACTACAGCATTAAATAGATTTACCCATCCAGGCCCAAGAAGTGCGTGGCAACTGCAGGCTCTCCCAACATGGCAGCCTGCCCTGTGAAATTTCTAGTGTGGAGTAGCAGACCTGAGTGTATCTTCCTTCAAGTAGCCCACTGTAAAGATGAAGGGGAAGAGAATGGGTTAAACTGTGATTGACGAAATCTTGCTTTGAAGTTCACAAATCAAATAAGCAACTCTACTGACCAAGAAGAAGGAAGAGAAAAGGGGTTAAATAGAGGACAGAAGAGCTGCTATAATGGAGTTTCCTTCATATGGAAGAAAGAAAAATAGAAATGGGGAAGGAGTATTTTTTTCTGTTACCACTGAAGGATCGGAGAGACCTACCAAAAAGGAAAAATGCTCTTTAGAGGTTGCATCAGGATTTTCTTAACCTAACAGCACACGAAGATAATTTCTCCTGGGTAATGGAGGCAGTCAAAGGAATGAGATTTTCCCTGCTTTAAGAAGAAATATTCTAGGCAAAATTTTTTCCACCTTCCTATTAGAAGTCAGGTATTTTCAGAATCACAATAGACATGTTGTGTGTGCTATCACAGAGCAGATGACTATATAGTAGACTACTACCATTTATGTTTTTACTTATTTTTAAACAAAATAAAAACCCATTGCAGATAGTAGTTTTCAATTTTTGAGGCATACTGTTAAGTTATTCTGTAAAGAGCAGGTGGAGGGAACAGTTTAGGTAGTAAATGGGCTTAGCTAACTCCTCAGTGGACTTGTCTCAATGGGGATTTGAAACTCTAATTTAATAAACAACCCGTGTACATGGATTTATTTATTGGTAAAAACAAAACCAAGGAAATATAATGTATTGAAAATATAAAAAGGAATCATAAGCTTGAAGAAAGTAAAATAATGGGCTTGGTGCAAGACTGTGAACCAAGCCAAGTATCTGTAGAAGGTAGCAGGATTGACTTAATAGTCTCCATTAGATGCTGCCTCTGTAATGAATGAACCCTGCTCCTTTCATATTTGTGTTTCATCATCTAAGATTGAAGGTCATTTCATTCCAAAAAATGTTTGGTTTATTTTGATCATTTTACTTGGTCAAATTTTGATGATTTTTCCTTTTGACTAGACTGGAGCAGTAAAGGCAAAATAATAATAATAATAATAAATTAGACCATTGTGGCTTCTGTAGAGAAAGAGCAAGCATTCGGATTGACCACAGCACTGTAAATACATATTACAAGGAATAATTAATCACTGAAAACAAAATAGGCTTACTATCTGGGAGGTGATATCTATATTTGATATTATTTGGCATAGACGAGTATAGTGATGTTTGGAAATTGATTATTATCAATGTTCTCGGGTATGTCTTTCAAGAATACCAAAGGTCTACTAGACTGATCAATATTTTTAATTTGACACTAAAAACTTATACCTCTGGAAGCTAATATGTAAGCTTAAATGTATGGTTACATGTATAAAGGTTCTGATCCTGCCTGTGTTCACTTTGAAAGGAAGAGTCTACTCCTTGCTACCAGGTTGCTGCTGCTGCAGAGAATATGGACTTCTGCTCTCTAAAAGAGGAACCTGGTTTCTCTCATCTTTCCTCTTAAGAATGGAATGGGAATACTTTAGATTTAAAATAAGCTGCTTCCTACCTTTAAATAAAAAGAGTAGCGTAGTGTTGTAACTTGGTAATGAGTGGCAAAAACCATATGTGAACTAATAAAACCATGAAGGAAGTAAAGTTAATATAGTAATTGAGAAGGTGATCTCAGGAAGGAACATGTAGGATGGACCAAGAGACATGCAGAGAGACGTTTCAGTATCTTGATGAAACACATAGAAGGGCATGGGTTTCAGGAAATATGATCACAAATGCATACATTGAGAAACTTGCCTGCATGGCTACAATTGTCAGTAAATTATGAATTGGTGAAGAACAGGACAGATATGTAATTTATTGTCAGCTCTAGAATTTCAAGCTAGAGCATCCTTCTGCTAAGATTTCAGTCTGGATACTAAGTTGTGCTTAGATCCTGTGGAAAGTATAACCCATTATGCAAAGGGACACCTAACCCTAGAAAATTAAAATACTGTGATGAAACAAGAATGAGGAATAATCAGGAAATGGAAAGACTAGGACTGCTGTGAAAGAGCCAAATCCAATAATACTTTGCAAAACAATATTTAAAAAGGAATAAAGTAGTCCTAAGTCAGTAGGATGTCCTGCTCCTAAAAAAAAAAACAAAATACCCTAATTTAGGACCTTTACTGAAGACCCCAGAATTTCCCCAGATTAAGTTCAATAAAAGATGTTTGCATCATTGAATTTTAGTAAACATTAGTTGAATAAACTATTAAATGGTTAGATTGATTATAAATGTATGAGATTATTTTCCAAAATATACATTTGCTCATCTAATTTAGAATGAGTAAATCCCAGTTTTCTCCCTTTTTCCCATTTCCCACAGCCTTTATAACATCTTTTTTAGCATATTAGGGAACTAAATTTTTTTAAAAAACCTGGTAACTTAAGAGAACCCTATATAGATCTCCAATGGGTCTATCCTAAAGAGTTTATCTCAGAAATTCAAGGCTATCTGGTTTCCTGGCACCCATAAATCACAGCTTAACCAAATCACATCATAGTGAAAGCATTCTAAGTTTAATTTTACCTTGAGATTTATGAAGCTTCTAATGATATTTACAGTCACGCATATGATAAATAAATGCATAACAAGTTCTATAGAATGTTTGGATATTCAGAGAAATTTTCCAAGAACGCTTTGTGAAAGTTTATTAAACGCCTAGAGATCAGAAAATACAACCACTCATTTGATTAACTATCATAACTCTTCATTTTCTGTTGCCTGTAAGCATTGTCATGCAGATTTTTTGTCCTATCTGAATTTATACTAATAGGATTTGGCCATATCCCTACTGATGTTTACTTCTGTCTTCTTTTTGCTAGTAGAGGGACTGAGAATTATTGTCTTCCAAAAGGTCATTAACTGATTAACTGGACAAAGCAACAGATTGGAACAAGTAAAGTTCCAAACAGCCTTGTCAGGTTTCTGATTCATTCACAAAAACTAGACATCTACATGAGTAAGTTGTGGTGGCTGTTACTTTATGATTGACATTTTTATCTAGCAACAAATAGAGTTCTACTTATTTCTGAAAACATATCTATAAATTGGATTCCCCCAATGTCTATAATGAGTTACATAATTTCAAGTGAGACAATATTATTGCCTCCAATCTAAAGAGAACTGAAAGAATATTTGCTATTATCACATCTGTGGGATTTTTTTTGATTAAAAAATGCATAGACTTTTTCCAGTTTGGGTTTTCTCTGAAATGTGGCTATATTGGTAGTGGCTAAAATAGTTATTAGATCTAATTCATAGAGATCTTGCTAATAGAACAAACATGCCCACATTCCCATGATTCGGTCCTGGTTAACAAATCTGTACACCATAAATCTGATGTAGCCCTACTCAGGGAGATTGTAAGCTCTATGGGATGCCTCCTCATTGCTCTTTAAATTTAAAACCAAATTAAAACATCCTGTAGTGTTAAGAGTTTAGAGAAGGAGCATTTTTATAAACCGCTGTTCAGAGTATAATTTGGTGTAACCCTGTCAGAGACCTATATGTTACGTGATTCAAATGTCTTTAAAATGTGCCACTTCCTTTTCTAAGATTGCAAATAAATCAGTGGACAAATGAAGACATATCTACAGGCATGATCATTAGAGTATTGTAAGCAGTTGCAATATATTGGAAACAACTTAAAAAACTAAAAATAGACTGTGTTATATAGTTTATTGATATAATGAAACACTATACAGTGTTTCACAATGCTGCTGCTCTGAATGTATAGATATGGGAATATATTCATAATATTAATTTTAAATTTCTGATTATAAGAAATGTAAATGTGACATTAATAATTTTACATATTACATATATTAGGCATTTATATGTGTAGAAAAATATCTAGATAATAGTATTATATGAGGGTAATATTTCCTTGTTTTAAAATGAGAAATAGACATGTAGGTACATAAACTAGGAGAATAAAATAAATTGCAAACTAAGCAAAAGCTATTTAAAGGATAAAAATGACTTCTTCCTCCTCTAAAACACACACACATGCACACACACACGCCATCCCTTTATAATCCATATTGGGTTTTTTAATTTTTTCATTTTTTCCTGTCTGTGCAGTATTTTATTTTTTCAATTTTGTTTAACTGACATAATAATTGTACATATTTTGGGAGTATACAGTGATACTGCAATACAGATAATATATATTGATTAGCATATTCATCACCTCAAACCTTTATTATTTCTTCTTGTTGAAGCATTCAATATCCTCTTTTTAGCTCTATGAAACTGTATAGTATATTTTTGTTAACTACAGTTGTCCGATAGTGATATACAGCACAAGAAATTATTCCTCCTTTCTAACTTTAATTTTGTATCCTTTAACAAATCTCCCTCCATCTCCCTTTCCCCTACACTTCCCAGACTCTACTATCTTCTGTTCTACTTTTTACTATTATGAGATCAACTTTTTTTTAGCTTCTACATTTGAGTGAGAACATGTGGTATTTAACTTTCCATTCCTGGCTTATTTCACTTAACATAATGTCCTCCAGTTCCATTGATAATGCTGCAAATGACAGAATTTTATTCTTTTTTATGGTTGAATAGTATTTTATTGAGTATATATACCATATTTTCATTATCCATTCATCTGTTTTTGGACACCTGAGTTGAATCCATACCTTGGCTATTGCCAGTAATACTGCAATAAGCAAGGGAATGTAGATGTCTCTTCCTTATGCTGATTTCCTCTCCTTTGGATAAATGCCCAGTAATGTGATTGCTGGATCACATGGCAGTTCTATTTGTAGATTTTTGAGGAACGTTCATACTTTTCTTCATGGTGGTTGTACTTGTTTACGTTTCCAACAGTGTATAAGAGTTCCCTTTTCTCTAGAGCCTCCCTAGCATTTGTTTTTTTGTTTTTCTTTTGTGATAATAGCCATCCTAACTGGGGTGATGATAACTCACTTTGGTTTTAATTGGCATTTCCCTGATGATTAGCGAGGATGAACATTTTTTCATGTATTTTTGGCCATTTGTATGCCTTCTATTGAAAAATATCTATTCGGATCATTTAGCCATTTTTTTAAAAAATCAGATTGTTTGCTTTGTTTTTGTTTTTGTCTTCTGTTTTTTATTTATTTTTTATTTTTTGCTGTCAGGATGTTTGAGCTCTTTTTATATTCTGAATATTAATCCTCTGTCAGGTAAATAGTTTGCAACTTATTTCTCCCATTCTGTAGGTTGTCTTTTCATTCTGTTCATTGTTTCCTTGGCTGTGCAAAAGCTTTTAGTTTTATGTGATCCCATTTATTTGTTTTTGCTTTTGTTGCCCATGCTGTTGAGGTCTTATTCATAAAATGTTTTCCCAGACCAATGTGCTAAAGAATTTCCCCACGGGCCGGGCGCGGCGGCTCACGCCTGTAATCCCAGCACTTTGGGAGGCCGAGGCAGGCGGATCACGAGGTCAAGAGATCGAGACCATCCTGTAGCCAGGATGAAACTTCGTCTCTACTAAAAATTAAAAATAAAAAAAAATAGCCAGGCATGATGGCGGGCGCCTGTAGTCCCAGCTACTTGGGAGACTGAGGCAAGAGAATGGCGTGAACCCGGAAGGTGGAGCTTGCAGTGAGCCGAGATTGCGCCAATACACTCCAGTCTGGGTGATAGAGCGAGACTCCATCTCAAAAAAAAAAAAAAAAAAAAAAAAAAGAATTTCCCCTCCTAGCATGTTTTCTTTTAATTGTTTCATAGTTTTGGGTCTTACATTTAGGACTTTGATCCATTTGAGTAGATTTTTGTATATTTAAAACTCTAGTTTTATGCTTCTGCGTGTGGATATCCAGTTTACCTAGCACCATTTATTGAACAGATGGCCCTTCCTCCAATGTATGACATTGGCACCTTTGTCAAGAGTCAGTTGGCTATAGATATGTGAATTAATTTCTGGGTTCTCTATTCTGTTCACTGGCCCTGTGAATTTGTCATGTTTTCATGTTATCATGACTCCTCTGCCTTAATCTATAACAGTGATAATAACTCCTGCCTGTTGTGGTAAGTCACAGAATTGAAGGGCTGTAGCAGCCAGCAACATGGTGAAAGGCCTGGGAGGAGGCGAGGAGTAAAAACTAACATAAACAAATCTATTTGATCGATTACAAATAGGACAAAACAAAAAGAATGTGAGTTGTAATGTCCAGAGGTAGAGATTGAAAAGAGACTTTGAGGATGGTGAAAGGGACAGGCAATAATATATTTGCCATTCACCAGTAAAGTAAAGCTAAGACCACTTCTGGCGTGATAGACATTTGGGTCTCAGTGAAAGGAGTGGATGAGTGGCAAAAATGTTGGACTTAGCAATTCTGCAAGCCTGTAAAGTGCAAAAGAGAGGGCACCTGGTCAGTGAAGGTATCAAGATGTTGCTTGGGAGAGCTTGAGCCTTCATGTAACTGCTGTCCAATCTCTGAAAGCAATTAAATGCTCAAATAAATGTCTTTCGGGTTAAGCTGACTACATTTTCATCCAGATTGTTGACACTGTCCTTCTGCTAGACTGTTGGAACCATGACCATACTGTATTCATGGAGTAGTTAGTATCTGAGAGGTAAAGGAAAATCCTTTTGCAAATAAGACTAAAACAGGAACCCCTCAATAGCTCTGGATTCCCTTGAATTTGCCTTTCTTTTAGCATTCTTGGGTAAAACTGGGTTGGTGCTATGAAGGGTTGGGAATCCCTTTTTTAAAAGGTCTTGAAGACATCTATTCATGGAGGAGTTTACTTAACCCAGTCTACTTATCAATACCACTATCCTAAAAATAATGGCAGGTAATAATAAATGATGTGAATAAATTCCCATGCACATGGCTGGAACTAAGCTCCTTTACATGAATTATCTCACAGCACTGTTTTCACCTTTACTTCAAAGAAGGAGGAAGACAAAAGCAAAATAACTTATTTGTTCAAGATCATTCAAATGGAAAGAAGGTAGAAATGGGATTAAAATCTAGGCAATATGACTCAAATCTTCTCAAGCATTGGTGGCTCTATTGTTTATTTATGGTTACTGTTATCGATTAAGGTAACAATAATAATTCAAAGAAACTGACAGAAAGTATAACCAAGCAAGAGTTTCACGCAACTCAGAAGTTAAATTTTTCAAACTTTTTTTTATGTATCAACAGAAGGGAGTTGGTGAGTTAGAACTCCATAGTTCATCTTGAGTTCCCTTCTTTGGCCTTAACCCACATCTATGATAAATAACAAGACATAAGTGAAATCCATAGCTTTAAGATGCTGAGACATACAAAACCATAAAGCACTGTAATGTACATGAAAGGGGAAAAGTACTTTTTTTTTTTTTTTTTTTTTGAGACAGAGTCTCACTCTGTCTCCAGGCTGGAGTGCAGTGGCACGATCTTGGCTCACTGCAACTTCCGCCACCCAGGTTCAAGCAATTCTCCTGCCTCAGCCTCCCAAGTAGCTGGGACTACAGGCACATGCTACCACACCCAGCTAATTTTTGTATTTTCAGTAGAGACAGGGTTTCACCAAGTTGGCCAGGATGGTCTCGATCTCTTGACCTTGTGTATCGCCCATCTCGGCCTCCCAAAATACTGGGATTACAGGTGTGAGCCACCGTGCCCGGTCAGAAAAGCACATTTTAAGTGTGGTGCATTTGGCAAGTGGCAACCTTTTGGAAAACAGAGGTGAAATAAAAATTACCTGCTAAATCTCAGCTGTTGTACAGCATATTTCAGCTGAGAATACTTAAAAATAAAATGCCCAAGAAGGCAAACTATTAGAACTTCTATTTGTATGTGATCTTATTTTCTCTGTGTACAGAAAGAGATTTTCTTTCAATGTTGTCATTGTCCTCATTGAGCACTCACTCATTAAGTACACGTTTACTGAACATGTACATTATGCCACAAAATTAGGCACTAGGGTTACCCAGGAGGATAAATGCTGTCTTCTGTGAAGGGAAACAAAGACAGGCCCTGAGAGCTTAATATCTTAATAGTATGGTAGAGATAAGAGGAACAGATGCACATTAACATAAAGATAGATACGCTTGCCCATATACGCATATGCTATCTTGCCATACTGCAGGAGAGAAATATCAATCACACTGAGGATATTAACAGAATGTCTGGGTGGCTTCCGCCTTGATCACAGAAGATTTTATGGATGAGTTGAGTTTTGAAAAGTTTTGGAAAAAAAATGACAGGATAAAGTATGGTTGCACAGAATATGGAGATATTTTCTGTTTTGGCAGAGATAATGACACAAAGGATCTAAGGAATCCTCAGTATCTTTAAAAACTATAATTTGAACTAAGAACCACCTCAGGTGAGCCATACAGTGTATCACATCCCGAATTAATGCATATGGTTTTCAAAATATTTTCAAATGGACCCTAAACAAAACAAAACTCTTTGGATTCTTCTTTAGGACCCAGTCTTTGGAAATGAGATAATATATAGTTATTATGCTTAATTCTAATAAATAAAGTAAACCAAAGTCCTTTTAAAGGCTTTGACTTTAAATCAAACCAGCATACAGTCAGCATTGAAATTAGCTTTTAAACTTAAAAAACATATTACTTCTGTCACCCCTGAATTCTTTATGGAGGGGGTGGGGTGGTTGTTGTGAGTTAATGCTTATAAGAGTGTAGCACAGTATCTGCCACATAGTACATGCTCATTAAATGTAAGCTAAGCTAGTGCTTCTTTTTGTTACTTTAATAAAGATGATTGGAGGATACAGCACACAAATCATGCATGTGCCGATTGATGCACGATTATAGAGAGTTCTGATTTTTCCTTCAATAAAATAGGTTTATTGATGTTACTATAGCCTATAAATTGTGGCAAGCAATGTGGTACAATGATGAATAAGATAGACTGCTACCTGGAAGGGCATCAGAGTCTGTTAGGGCCCATTTTCAACTAACCACAATAGTTACTTTGGGGTTCTGATTCATTCCTTATTTACCTATGAATTCCTAAGGAATTCAGGGACCTCAAAAGCATTTTCCTTTCATAAGAAAGCATTTCAAAATGCCTCTAGCACACTGTTCTATTGAAGCATGGTTGTACTTTTGAAAATATGTTCCAATTTATAAAATACTTTTACCCTCTTCAAAATATGATCTTCATGATTATTCATGAAGTAAGAATAGGGCTGCGGGAAATAAGTGGAG
Source organism: Homo sapiens (assembly GCF_000001405.40). Lineage (NCBI taxonomy): Eukaryota > Metazoa > Chordata > Mammalia > Primates > Hominidae > Homo > Homo sapiens. Next base: position 40,310,109 of record NC_000011.10, on the reverse strand, counting down.
AAGTGGGGGGATGATTGGAGGATACTGATACTTCACGGACTTAAATGACTCTCCCAAGCTAACCGAGTTAGTGAGTAAGAAGGCAGTACTTTCTTCTACATTAGGTTGCCTCCATATAGGATGAGCCAGTCACCTTTTATTCCCCTGACTCCAGGCAGGGCCAGCAGGAGGGAAGAAGATGGGCCTCTGGCATGCTTCCACAGAATGTTCAGCATCCCTCCTCAACCATCCTTTCCTTTCTCTAGTCAAACATATCTTCTTCCTGCTTCTGGGGGCCTGAGCAGCCATTAAGATCATACTTTTGGTGGGGCATGGTGTCTCTTGCCTGTCATCCCAGCATTTTGGGAGGTCCAGGAAGGTGGATCGCTTAAGCTCAGGAGTTTGAGACCAGCCTGGGCTACATGGTGAAAATCCGTCTCTACAAAAAATACAAAAAATTAGCTGGGCGTGGTAAAGCACACCTTCAGTCCCTGCTACTTGGGAGGTTGAGGTGGGATAATCACTTGAGTCGTAGAGGTGGAGGTTGCAGTGAGCTGAGATTGTGCAATTGCACTCCAGCAACAGAGCAAGATACTGTCTCAAAAAAAAAAAAAATACACTTCTGCTCCTTTCTTCTCTGTCGTGTTCACTCAAAAATATTCTACCCTGTAATAATAATAACTGAAATAAAATATTGTCTACTCATATAATGCAATATTATTTGGCAATAAAATGGAATGAAATACTGATATGTGGTATGGCATAGATGAACCTTGAAAAGATTATGCTGAGTGAGAGAAGCCAGACACACAAGACCACACATGGTATGATTCCATTTATATGAAATATTGAATATGAATATGATATGGATATATATATCAATTTGAATATACAATAAGCAAATCTATAGAAATAGAAAGTAGATTAGTGTTTACTGATGGCAGGGTGAGGACTTGAGAATGACTGCTAATAGTACCAAGTTTCTTTCTCAGATGATAAAATATTCTAAAATGACACTGTGGTGATGGTTGCATAACCGTGAATATGCTACAATACAGCCTGTACTGGTGTGAACAAACCATTAAGGGTGACTCTGGTGAGGGCTCAGAAGGAGTGGAAGTGAGCTGTAAAGAAAGTTCCATACTTCTTTGAGAATACCTATATGATCATGAACAGAATGTTGGTAGAAATATGGATGGTGCAGCCCATTCTGATGATTCATATGCATGTCCGTTTTATTGGCTCATGTAACCAGAGTAGCTTCAAGTATGACTAGATCTAGATGTTCAATACCTAATAAGCTGAAACATAGAATCTATCACTCTTAATCTCATAGCTCTACTTCCGTCACTGCTGACATTTTTCTTGGGCTGGCTTTCGTATGTGGTGGCAATGAAATTCCCAAACTACAGATTCACCTTCCTTCATTTTGGCCACCTCAGTGGATCAAGGGTTTCTCCCTTCTTATAGTCCATGGAAAAAAAAAGTTTGTGGTTGGCTTGAGTCACTTGCCCAGCAATTATGTTAACTGACAGTATAAGGTATTTGACCTCCTGCCTTTCTCTTATAAGGACCCTTATAATTACATTGGACCCACCAGGTCATCCAGGATAATCTCCCATTTCAAAATTTGTGACTTAATCATACCTGCAAGGTCCCTTTTGCCATGTATGAGACATAGCCACAGGTTCCAGAGATTCAAATATGGACATTTTGGGGAGGTTGAGGGGAGGCATTATTCAATGTAACATATTTACAATGCTATGAAGTGTTAATGTTGGATCTTTAATCCATGTTTCCCAAATTGAAGATCAGTTTCTCTTCTACTTTATCACAACTGCATCAGCGGCCATGCATAAGCTTGGCTAGATTTCAAACTCTCTGGGAAAAGAGAATTGCACCTGCCATAGCAAACAACTGTATGTGTGGTGGGGGAGAAAGTGTGATTGTTTTCTGAAATCACAGGAAGAGATGGGGGGAAAAAAGGTTCAGTATCAGTGCCATCACTCCACACTAGCAGTGCCTCCTTGGCTCTCTTTTTTGATTAATAAAGCAATAATGTAGATTTGCTTGTACCTCCTTTATTTGATAAATTCTGTTTCTAGCGAAATAATACAAATTCCATCAGTAGGCAAATCACTTAATAGTTTTCAAATGACAACTATAATTCTTTCTCAGCTGTTCCTACATGTGCAAAGAGAAACAGAGAATTAAGGCAGTTGCATGAATAATTTAAACAATAAACCTCTATTGGCTCAATTATATGACTATTTCAACAAGCATCTGGAGATAAGTTTAATTTTGTATTCTCTAACTTTTTTTTAGTTTACTTTAACATTTTTAGTCATTTCTTTATAATAAGTCATTTGTTTCGTTTGTGTCCTAAATAAAATTTAACAAACATTTAATGAGCAACTAATATATGCCAGCAACTGTGCTCATTTATCTGGTGGCTAAAAAGACACAAAACAATGAATCTCATTCTCATGCAGTTTTCAGTTTCAACAGGAGAGATGATACAATTATATACATAACTATACAACATGGCAGAAGGCAAAGGTCGTGATTGAACAAAAATGACATTTGAAAGTATTTAGAGGGAGAAATATCATGCAGTTGGAAAGAATTGGGAAACTTCCCCTAGGAAAAAGAATTTTAGAGGATGGATAGGCATTTGCAAGGCAGAAGCTGGGTGGGAGAGTGTTGCAGTAGACAGAGCTACACAGGCAAGGGAGCAGGACAATTCAGGACTAATCTTGGGAGCCACAATTCTATTGATTATGCTGGGGAATAGGGAACATGCAAATTTCTCCCAATCATTCAAAGAAAGAAAGAAAGGGACAGTTTATGTCCAGTATTTAAAACTATCTAATTTACTCATCCCAACACCCTAGTGGTTTTCAGTGGAGCGGTGGGGAGGAGAGAATTATTCATGTCTGTAGACATTTTGATTGTCATAATGGGGGGTGAGGAGGTGGAGTGGGGAAGAGAGGATGCTACTGCCATCTAGTGGGTACCAGCTAGGAATGCTGCTAAACATCCTACAGGACCTAGGGCACCTCCCCAAGCAAAAAAACAAAAACAAAAAAAAATTGTATATAGATAGATAGATATTAGATAGATAGATACATAGATACATAGATATCTAACTTGAAATACCAATTGTGCCACAGAGAGAAAAAAAAAAAACCAGATAACCTTGTGAGGTTGTACTATTATTTTCACTTATTTTATAGATGAGTAATCGAGATCTTTTGAGATTACATAGCACATCTTACCCAAGATCATTAAATAGTGAATGGCAGTACAAGCTCAGGGCCATGTTATAAAGGGTAATGAATGGGGATATAGGCATGCAGCTAATGAGAGTCTCTGAACGTGGGCGTGGCAATCATTGGAGCTACAGTGAAATGACAGTGCACATGAAGTGCTGAGCACAGTGCCTGACACAGAGTAAGCACTCAATAAGTGGACCATGCTGCTTTGCATCACAGCTGGTGCTTTTGACTGTGTATTAGCCATGGGTGGGTTGGATTGGGGCAGGAGCATATGATGGGAAGAGTGGTCAGGATCTGAACTGGAGTGAAAGCAGGTAGAGTGTAAAGGAAGGGACACATGCCATACACTTTGTCCATGTGAGAATGAAAGAACCTGGAACATAAATGAATGTGTGGGTGTGTATCGGGGACAGTTTTGAAGGTGACTCTGGTTTTGAACATGAGAAACTAATTTTCACCTCACTACCATGAAGTGAGCAGCTGCTGTGTTAGGAATTATTAGACTTATTTAAAACAGACAAACTGAGACACGGAAAGGGAAAGCAATTAGTTCAAGGTCACACCATATTTTGAGATTTCTTTTGACACTTTGGAAGAGAAAAAGGCTAACCTTTTTAAAGATACAATAACTAAATCTTTATAGGAAAGATAAGGACAAAATGACATTTTCCTTAATATACTTCCAAAAAATAGTTTTAACATTAATGTTGCTATACATTTATGTTGATGAAAGTGACTTTAAACTCTAGTCAGGCAGTCTGGCTGAATGACATAGGTGGAGACACCAAGGAAGAGCTGCTCAAAGAGAATGGGCCGAAGTTCTGTTTCGTTGGTCACATTTGCTACATTATTAAGGGAGAGCCAAAAAACAACCTCGTTGGTCAAGTAACCACATGTAGAAGACAGAACCCATAGTAACGCACAACTTGGTATCATACATTTATTAATAACAGCAAATATGACTAATAATTGAGTGCTTATTGGATGCCAGCAACTGTGCTAACTATTCTTCTGCATTACTTCATATTAATCTTTGTAATTCTGTAGAACAGGTGTAACCGGTTATTGATGAGGTCTTTGAGGCTTAGAGAGGTTAAATAACTTACCAAAGTCACACAGCTAAGACATAAGGGAGCCAATACTGAAACTTCTGGTGTTGGGCTTAAGAGCCCAGGCTTTTATCCAATGTTGTCTATGTATGGCTAGAAGTTAAGAACATACATTCTTCCTTTTTTTTTTTTTTGTATTTGACAAATGTAAATACAACTGGATACATAGTCATCATTCAGTTAAGACTTACTTAGGGGTGACCTGAGAATATTTGCTACAGAAACAGCTTGTTGCCTTCTCAAATCTCTACCTCGACTTCTTATCAATATTATGCAGTTGATTTCCAGATCTAACTTTTACCATCTTAGCTATTCATTCAAAAATTTGAATCCTGCACTTGCTTTGTGCTTGGTACCATTCTATGAGTGGAGTATATGCCATGAACAGGAAAGTAAGGTCTGTACTCTCATGGACAACACATTTCAGCAGAGGTAGACAACTCCATTCATAAAAACAGACATCAGATAAGGGTTCTGCAGAAAATTAAAATGTTGCAATAGACATGGGGTAGCCAATTGAGTTGCTTGAGAGGGATGACCTCTCTTACAAGATCAAAAAGATCAGTGCCTGCAAAGAGCAGAGGGGAATGTTCTAGGCAGAGAAAACAGCTAGGGCCAAGGCCCTATTCGAGCACTAAAAGAATGCCCATATGCCTGGAGAGGCTAGTGCTAGGGCAGGAAATGTGGGATAAGGTTGATGCCTGTAATCCCAGCACTTTGGGAGGCCAAGGAGGGTAGATCACGAGGTCAAGAGATTGAGACCATCCTGGCTAAACACGGTGAAACCCTGTCTCTACTAAAAATACAAAAAATTAGCTGGACATGGTGGCACGCACCTGTAATCCTAGCTACTTGGGAGGCTGAGGCAGGAGTGCTCAGGATCTGAACTGGAGTGAAAGCAGGAGAATTGCTTGAACCCAAGAGGCAGAGGTTGCAGTGAGCCGAGATTGCGCCACTGCACTCCAGCCTGGGCGACAGAGCAAGACTCTGTCTCAAAAAAAAAAAAAAGGTTGAAAGTCTAAAAGAAGTTGAGAATTTGAAGCCAGGTAAAAGAGGATTTTATAAGTCAATACAAGGTATTTTAATTTTATTTCTGGTATAATAAGATGCCTTTGAATGAATCTTACCCTCTTTCACTAGACTTTCTTGTCTAAAAGGGTAGCTTCTGAGGTAGAGAAGAAGTTAAAGATACTAAGAAAAACTAATTTTACCTTGACTTTATTAGTTAATATTTCGTTTGAATAAAAGAGAGTGAGCAAAACCCCAAACTCTTTCAGTAGCTTCATTTATATCTGAAAGATGTGTTTTTTGACACTTCAGTCAATCAGTGGGTGCCATTAATCTACGTATTATGTTACCAGAAGCTGTGTTTCTTCTTGACTTTCCTTTTCTTTTTGTTCTTCCCAGGAAATTAATTCACATCATTTTCATTTGAAATCCGGTGGCATTTAACTGTACAGGCACTTAGAGGCACCCTCCTATGACTTGAAGCTTAATTTAATTGCATTACTTGTCAGCAGCACCTTAAGGAAAAAGAGCTAGGTCTTCCAGGCCCCTCAATATCCCCAAATTACAAGTGGAAAATGACTTGATACAGGTCTGTAGGCCTCTATGGAGGGAGCTTCTGAAATAGTTGACTTTGGTGAATGATGTTGGCAATTTGGCTCCTAACATTTTTTCAATGTTGTATTTTACTGCAAAAGGAACCTTTGAGCAAGTGTTTGTAAGATGTCATCAATTTCACTTTAGAATTTGGCTTTTGAAAAGGCTGCACTTGGAAACTTTTGGGAGCATTTCCTGCAATTATGGTTTAAGACAATTGGTTTATGAAAGGTTGAATAATATTCAATCACATTGCTCTGTTGATCTACCTGAAAGCACTTCATCAGGCAGAAATATTCTAATAAAAGCGTAAAATCTAAAAGCCCAAAGGTCTCTCAAAGGCTATAAGTCTGCTGAGGCCCAGAGTTTAACACTTTTTATGTCCTTAAAGTGAACATAAAAGTGGCCCAGTATGGTGCTTTCAAGTTTTCTTTTGTCAGATATTTGCATTTTAAAACAAAACTAAATAAAAGAAAAAAAATGTTTTAATTGTAAAATTATAAGAATTAATCACAAATTGAAGACTCTTGCTTTAAATTCAAGTAATTAATAGGACAATCCCACTATAATGCCCTTACTCTTCTCATATAGCTCCAGTGGAAATTTAAGCAGGGACAATGTTTAGGAACTGCTAATCTAATATAAGCTTGCCTTAAAGGCCTAACCACAACGTGCAGCCTATGATTGAGCTACTCCAGTGGCAGGAAAATCACCCTTATAAGGAAGCCCATCCCATGTTCATAGAGCATTATTTTGAGGGAGTACTTCATTATATTGATTGAGAGTTATGCATGGCCTCCAAATAGAATATCTCACATGCACACACTCACACACATACACAAACAAATACGCAAATTAATAAAACTTTGTAGATTCTAACCCTTGACATTTCTTATACCCACCCTTCTCTCTCCAACTCCAGATCTTCTGCCTTTGTTTAGATCCTCGTAACCTCCAAGTTTCCCAATTTCTCTCTGGTTTTCCGTTGTTCTTCTCTGATTCATCTGCATACTGCCTCTGGGATAACTTTTGTAGACCCCAAACTTATCATGTCACTTCTTATTAGCCCTCAGTGATGTTCCTTTACCGTTCGAAAAAACTCCCCAAAAAGAAAAAAATAATAATTCTTGATGTGGCTGTTATATGGAGGTTCATTTCTTGGCATTTTATCTTCTTCCCTGCCACACATTTCCCTTAAGTTCCAGCCTTAAAGTATTTGCAGTTCTCCTAAAGCACAAACAATGAATGTCAGATTCAGACTGAGGTCTATGAAATTCCAGACTTGCTGTTCTTGGCTCGACTCCATGCTGTTTTCTTGGATCAAGCATACACCCTTTCTAAATATACAGTAATCTTTTACAAAAATATAAGTGTGTCTGGGAAATGATGAAAAGTTACTAAAGCATTGCTAAGTCATAGTATATACAGAACCCACTGAAATTGATATTCAATAAATATTTGCTCGTTCAATACATAAATGGATTGAATTGGATAGTACTAAAGTGTTAGCACCTATGTACAAATTATTGTATTTAGTATCATTCTTTCTGGAGAAGGGAACTGCTTAAGGTTCAGGCCTTGGGCTATTATAAAGGAATAAAAAAAAAGACAGAAAAGAAGGATGGGCCTCTTCAAAGAAACTTTGTTCTGATAATCGTAATTTTACCATTCTTTACCCATAGAGGTCAAAGAAACACAATTGACAGTATGAGCAGTGAAAAATCCCTGTGGCCTTTTTAATGGAACCCCTAAAATAAATAAGAACAATAACAAAAAATTGTGGAAACGTTCATAAGAATTAAAGTAAAAAATTGAAATTCAATGTGACATAATTGTTATCCTAGTGAAAATGCGAACTTCCATAAATATTCTTAAAATTTCACTAGAAATCCTTTTCAAGATTGTCAATTGAAGGTTGTGATAAAATGTCAAACACTCACTCACGTAACAGTCACCCTGTGTTCACTCCATGCAAGGAGACCACAAATCTGGGACATACCTCACAGTCTTTATTAGCCACAAGCATATTTATTTTATCTCTTATTGCCCCTATAAAACTAACACAGTTTTTGATGGATTAGGTAGATATGTATAGTGAATCAAAGGATTCCTAAGCCCCTTCCATTTTGAAAGTCTTTATTTCTTTATACATACTTATTTTCATTTTTCAAGGCATTATTTTATTCAGGTGATAAAGGTGTCTCCATTTCGGTGTCAATATCATAAATGATTTTTTCATAAGTCTACAGCAACCCTTAGAGAGTCATTTTTGTCTCTTAAAAGTGTGTATATTAGAGACCTGGACATTTAAAAATGCAAATTGTTTAACATTATTTCAATCACGAGTGACTAAATCAGCTGGAGGCCTGGAACCACAGATGTGCTAAATGAATCTTCAATGTGAAGAGAACTCAGTTTTGAAATCTATGCCTTCATCTTCTGAAAGCACAATAGTAATGTGGTGGGGAAAACAAGGCTATCATTTCTTGAATCTGCACTGTCTATGCCTTCATCTTCTGAAAGCACAATAGTAATGCGGTGGGGAAAACAAGGCTATCATTTCTTGAATCTGCACTGCATGGCTGATGCTAAAATAAAGTGACATTCTTTAGGAATTGTTTAGTATCAAGTGCTGATTTAGCTGTATAAAATGCAGCTGTCTTCCCAAACTACACAACTGGATTCACACCATCTCCTAATTCCTGGTGAAGTTTTAAAGATACCTTTATGGGCAATTTTCTTCCCAGTGCAAAGATTCCTAATTTAGACAGTACAAAAATACTACCACATAGTATCTATGCACACATACCTTCTCCCTTAGAAACATTTAATAAAGGAGATTGTGTTTTTAAAGTGATTGGGTCACTATTTAGAAAGGATATGTAAAAGATAACTGAGTTGAAGGCCATTCAGAAGTGGTTGCCAAATTGTCATACCGTTGTTTCTTTCAGCTTTCTTCTTATTACTTTAAGTCACTCCTCAAATTTGTCATGTTGCCTCATGTGGTCTGAAAAAGGGAGAATTGTCTGTCAACATGCTCCCCTTCGCCAATGCCCTTCCTTCCCAAGCTTCTTTAGTGATTGATATCCTCCTAGGAAGATTATCAATGGGTAACCCTCCATATCTGTGGGTTTCCCATCTGTGGATTCAACCAATCACAGATCAGAAACCTTCCAGAGAGCCTGGTACAGTGCTCACACCTGTCCTAGCTCTTCTGGAGACTGACGTGAGAGAATCGCTTGAGCCCGGGAGTTCCAGGCTGTAGTGAGCCAGGATTGTACCACTGCATTCTAGCCTGAGCAACAGAGCTAGACTCTGCCTCTTAAGAAATAAAAACTTCACAGAATTTCAAAAAGCAAACCTTGAATTTGCCAAGTGCTGGGTATTACATTGAATCCTGAAGAATGAAGTGATGTGTAGGCATTGTATTAGGATTGTATTAGGTAAGTAATCTAGATACGATTTAAAATGTATGTGAGGCTATCCACAGATTACATGCAAATACTGTACTATTTTATATAAGGGATCGAGCATCCTCAGATTTTGCAGTCTGCTGGGATCCTGGAATCAATTGCCCACAGATACAGAGGAATGACTGTATTTCAAAAGCTGGACTCTTTGGATCTGTACATGGCATCTAATAGTTGATCACTTCAACCATAGCTGAGTTTGTAAGTTAGTTAAGCTTTAACTCTGTTAATCTTTGGGTAACAAATTATTTTTTCTTAGAATGCGTTTTGTTCTTTGTCCTCTGGCTGCCAAATGGGCAATTCTGCAATCATCAACTACATCCACGTTCATGAAGCCTTGAACACATTAGCGTTTCTGATATGGTTTGGATCTGTGTCCCTGTGGAGTCTCATGTCAAATTGTAATCCCTAATGTTGGAGGTGGGGCCAGGAGGGACATGACTGGATCATGTAGGCAGATTTCTCATGAATGGTTTAGCACCTCCCCTTTGGTACTCTCCTCACGTTAGTGAGTTCTTGTGAAATCTTGTCATTTAAAAGTCAGTAGCACCTCCCCTTTCTCTCTCTCTTACTCCTGCTCCCACCATGCTCGCACATTGCCTTCCACCATGAGTAGAAGCTCCCTGAGGCCTCCCCAGAAGCATATGCTACCATGCTTCCTGTAGAGCAGAACCATGAGCCAATTCAACCTGTTTTCTTATCAATTACCCAGTGTCAAGTATTTGGTATAGCAATGCAAGGACAGCCTAATACAGTTTCTATTTGTGAAATCCTCTTGGTCTGGCCCCACATTGAGGTAGCTACTGTCTCCTCTGTCTTCCATCCCCAGCTCTTTACACTTCTGTAAAATTCTGACCATATTATCTCACCATTGATTGTAATTAGCATAGCTACTATCTATCCACATTCTTCCCCCAACCAAGTGGACAGTTCATTCATCTAGTCAATCAAAATTTATTAAGAGGTCAAAGGACCAGGCACTGTGTTAAGCAACATAGGTCCCAATACATGTTAAAATAACTAGTTCTTCATTTAATTGGCTCTTCAAATATTTTTCCCATTCATGCTAGCTATTTCAAGAACTATTTTTGTATTTAAACTATGAATCTTTTCCTATGCATTACAAATAGTTTTGTTCAATGTTGTGGTATCTTGTCATTGTACATATGGAACAGATTTTCCTTTTAATGTTTGTTCATTTAAACTTTTCTCTCATCTACTTTCCTTTTTCACAAGCTAGCTGGTACTAGAGAGGAGCTAGAATGGGTAACAAGAAAGGTGAGTGGCAGAGTCCACGCAGGAATCTGATAGTGGTCTCTCTAAAGTAATAAAGAGAAATAGGTACACTCTCTTTGGCACACATCTGTGAGCCATTCCTGAGACAGCATCAACAGGTGCTATCAGGAAAGTAAAGGTGACAGAGGAGTTAGTGATGACTTCCATAATGCTTGGCACGTAATTGAGGATCATTATGCATATGTTTAAATAAGTGACTGATTAGATGGTCACTAATGTGGACATTTTCTTTCCAGCAAACCCCAGTAATCACTAAGGACCTTTGTTATTCATAAGGGAGAGAAGTTGTAGTTGATTGCAATGATCACTCTGATTCTCCACTTGCTTTCGTTTTATACAACTTTGCAGTAACCTCCTGATATGGTCTGGCTCTGCATCCCCACCCAAATCTCATCTTGAATTGTAATCCAAATTGTAATTGCCATGTGTTGGGGGAGGGACCTCATGGGAGGTGATTGCATCATGGGAGCATTTCCCCCCATGCTCTTTTCAAAATAGTGAATGAGTTCTCAGGAGATCTGCTGATTTTGTAAGACAGTTTTCCCTGCTCTTGCTAGCTTTCTGCCACCTGCCACCATGTAAGACATGCTTCTTCCCCTTCTGCCATAATTGTAAGTTTCCTGAGGCCTCCCCAGCCATGTGGAACTGTGAGTCAATTAAACCTATTTTCTTTATAAATTAGCCTGTCTTGGGTATATCTTTATAGCAATGTGAAAACAGACTAATACACTTCCCCTTGAAGGTGGAATGACCTGCCCTATTCCCTGACAATGGGCTCAACTAAGTGATTTTCTTTGGCCAGTGGGAAGTTAGCTGATACTATTCACACAGAAGCCTGAAAAGGTACTCATGATCTTCTGCTTGCTCTATTGGATTTCTGCCATTGCCAAGAAATATGCTTGGTCCAAGCTGAAGAAGAGAGAGAGAGATGCATGTGGGGTGGAGCCCAGTTGCACCAGTGACTATAGCTGAGACCATTCTAGATCAGCAAGCAGTTAACTCAGCCACTAGATCAAAAAGATCAAAAAGAGCCACTTAACCAATTTCTGACCAGCCTTTAGAGTCATGAGAAATAATAAATGATTGTTGTTTTCAGCTATTAAGATTTCAAATGGTTTATTATGCACTCATTGCTAACTGATTCAAAAGTTATACTTCATTGCTGAAATCATCTTATTTGGTGGCATCTTCTCTTAGCTTTTCTATTTTAATAATTATGACAAGTATCTCATCTTTTTACAATTTTGTGCACCACAGTGAAAAGAATAGTCGGTAAGAGACCAAAAAATGTAGGTCTTTCCATTTCCTAAGAGCATTATCTTAGACGTTTATTCACTCAACGGTGTACAAAGCATTAGAAATACAGACAATGCTCTTGTGAAATCAATTATGGTTTGGAGGTTGGGGGGGACATAGACATGAGCAAATCATTTCTATCCATCACAATAAGTAATAGTAGGAAATATGTATTATAACCACAACCTCTGAGATGAAATAACCTGAGTTACAATCTTGCCTCTATCACTTCCTAGCTAGGTTCCCTTATTTAACCTCAAGTCCAATTTCATCAATGGCACCTACTTCATAAGATTGTTGGAAGGATTACATGAGTTGAAATCTGTAACATACATAGAGACAGGCTTGGCACTCGCAAGCTTTCATTAAATGCTAGTTATTAAAACAAATGTTAAAAAGTATGAGAGAACAAAAAATAAGACTATATGGGATGAGGGCTGAGTGGAGGAGTAGCCATCATGGGTCGGCGGGGGACCTTGAAAAAAAAGCAGAAATTTGCACATCAGTATTTAGGACTTTAGGACCTTTTATCTATATTTCAAGAAATAAAGAATAGAGGATTATTAGGATATCATCTAGTTCCAAAATACAATATCTATAGAATATTATCTAATGTAACATGTTTAGTAAACTCCTGCTGAGTATTGAATTTTAAATTCAAAGTAGTTTTGAAAAAATAAGTTGTTTTAATGAAATTAATTCACATGTCATTACGTGTGACTATACAGGCAAGCTTGATACGATTATCCCGGAGGATATTCTGGTCCCTATGTAATACTATTGGAAGTGAAAAGAGAATATTTATTTCCAGGATTTATAACACAGCATAAAGACACAAACTTTAAGTATGTATTGTGCTTCAATAGAGTTGCCTACAGCTTGTTAAATCCAATTAATAAACACAATAGACACATTCACTTTTTTATTTTTAAGCAAAGTTACTGAATTTGTTCTATTTGCTATTTTGTATTTCTGATTACAAGATGCTGTCCCCTGCTGTTTGCTAATGATTACACCAGCTATAGTCACGAACATACAGTGAAATAAGATAACAGTTTTGTTTAATGTCTCACATCTACAAATCAGAGAAGAACAAAAGTAGAAATCTGCATGTCCGTAGAACAAATCTAGCATGCTAGCACTGTGCCTCCTCTTCTCCCAAGTCATGTCATTTCAATAAGCATTTTGTCCTCTCCATGCTTTTGGTAACTAGATGGGCTAATGGGAAGGGTGGTGGTGTAATATTATTTCTTCTGAAAGAGCTTTTATAGAAATTTTTACTTGAACACATACTCTGTCATTGTTAATAGTACCTGGCAACCTCTACTGCATAAATATCTATAATTATGTTTTTTTTCAGCAACAATTTGGTTTGCATGTGTACTTTCATGACAGTTAGCTTGTTTACTACTTATTCCAATTCTTTTTGGGTGAGGTCATTCAGTGACAAATGTGGTATTGCCATCCTCTGAAAGGGTTACAAATTCATGCCTGGCATTCAGGGCAGAAAATGACAGCCTGCATGCTGATAATTGATATACAGCTGTTCCCCATGTTACCAAAACCTTAATGTTATCGCAAAACTGGAAGAACTGGCATTGAGTAGATCTGGGTTCAAATTTTGGCTGTGTCATTTACCAAGTTTGTGATTTTAAGCTTCATTTTTTCCATCTTCAAAATCTCTCAGGGTGTTGTTTTGAGTACTAAATAAGGTGATATATATGAGAAAAGTGTAACAAAAAACCATGCCATATGGATGCTCAATAATGACTGGTTCAATCTAAATCTAAAAATGAAAGCCATGTGACGAATTCAAGGTCATATAGTGTGAATGAGTCAATGATGTGGGTAAAGATACTGTAGCTGCTGAAGGGGAAGGTTAACAGGAAAGAGAAGCTGTTCCTTTTTCCATTTTGGCCAAATAGCACTTACCTGTCCCTGCTGCTTTGCCTAATAGATTAATTCATTCTGATAGTATTAAAGATGTCTGGTAGAGAGCTAATAATCAGCTCTGAAAAAAACAAATCATTGGCCTTCCTTTGCTGTCAAAATCCCTAAAAAGAAAATTTTCATTTCAAATGGCTTCTAGCTTACTTCAGAATCAGAGGATAGACTCCTTTGAAGCTATCTAGTGCAGCTAGTGAATGTACTTTTTAATCGTTTATTAGTGGATAAACTATAATTAGCATATAAGGGTAAGAGCTTCAAAACACAAATTAAAGTCAACTGCCCACTAGTGTTTTGAATCAATCAATACAGCATTCACTTAAAAATAGAAGCAATGCCATTAACCCTCGAGAAATTCACATTTTCATGTAATTCATAACATCAAAGCTCTCCAAAAAGATGGGGAAATTACAATAAATCACAATCCATGTGTAAGGAAAAGTCTTTCCTCTTGCATGTACTGACATCTGAGATGCACGTTACAGCATGCTCTCAGTATGCAAAGAACATTACAGATGAAATTTTTTTAACTCAAACAAGGAAATACCGTGGAGTATAATGGGAACAGAAGAGGAAAAAAATAGCATTTTGTATAAACTTAGATATGTCTCTGATGTTCTCTTAATAAATCTTTTCTCCTTTCTGTTTGATGCTACCTTCCGTTATGATTTACTCACTTTCTTTAAAACTGTTTTTAAACCAAGTACATATTCTGTTCTCTCAAAAATAAAGAAAATCAGTGCAAAGATCATCACTTAGGGCATACAAAACAGAGGAACATTTATTTAATCTATTCCATATATATATATATAGTACTGTTTAAATTATCATTCCTAATTTTATTGATTCCTATCTCAAGGTTACATACATAAATGACATAAAGTGAATGCCCATAGATTAACTGAAAGGGCCTTATGAAAATTATACATTGGAGAAAGAAACCAATGTAAACATAATATTAATAGCATTATTTTGTTGGCCCAGTCCCTCTAAGGAGACCCAGTGAATTTGAAATGTGCCAACTATTTCTCTAACACGAGTTAATGGAAAAGTCCACATCCTGGAGCAGGGGATGTTGGAATTGAGTTGTCAAGCTGTCCTGGATGTCTTGTACAAACTGAACAGGCCAATTTACTGCAACACTGCATAGGCTGAAGGCTACTATCTCGCCTTTACAGTTGCTTCCTCCTGGTAAGATTATCCTGCTCGACCGCAGCCTCCCTCCCGAGTAGCTTTTAAGCTACTCTGGATTCTTTCTGATGAGCCTATTCTTTTTTTTTATTTATTTATTTTTATTATTTATTTGAGACGGAGTCTTGCTCTTGTCTCCCAGGCTGGAGTGCAATGGCCCAATCTCGGCTCACTGCAACCTCCGTCTCCCGGGTTCAAGCAATTATCCTGCCTCAGTCTCCCGAGTAGCTGGGATTACAGACGCGCGCCATCGCTCCCGGCTAATTTTTGTATTTTTAGTAGGGACGGGGTTTCACAATGTTGGGCAGGTTGGTCTCGATCTCCTGACCTCATGATCCGCCCACCTTGGCCTCCCAAAGGGCTGGGATTACAGGCGTGAGACACCGCGCCCGGCTAAGCAATAGTACTGTGTTAATCCTCAGCTTGGGACCAGTGTGCTTGACTGGGAGAGGCTCTTAACCTGCAACCTGAAAGCAACAGCTTTGTGTGTTTGGTGATAATTTTGAATCTTAGTGGTGATTTGATTTTAATGTCTTCCTCTTTGTAGCTCAAAACTCCTGGATTTCTGGATGAAAACAGGCAAGCTTTTTGAAAAAACTGACTTCTCCCACACAGCCTGAACCTCCCAGCGTGGGGGTTGCTTTTAGACTCAGCTGTTCTGGCTCTGCCCTCCAGGTGGCAGCAGAGCCACATCTCTGAAGCTCCAATCCCCTCTTCCCTGACTTCAAGTGTTAATGCAATTGACCAATCAGTGCTAAGATGATGGGAGGTAATTGGGTAATTGTATTTTACTGATCACAAGCAGAGAAAGGGAAAGGAAAAGGGGAAAGAAAGAGGGGCAGAGGAGGGAAGGCGACTGCAGTCCGAAAGGAGCTTTTGGAAGCTAGGACCCTAAGCGTCAGGACGTGGCATTGGTCGAGAGAAAGCCTGGGCTGGCAAGAGCTGCCGCCGGTGCTGGGAGAGCATTTATTTGGGAGAAAAAGAGGGGAGAGAGCAGAGGGAGGGGGAGGAAGAGAGTTCAAACCGAAGTGGATGGAAGGGGACTGGGGTTTCTGCCGCGCAGGGAGCCGTGAGCCAGGGCGATGGCGCTAAGGGCGGCGCGGAGCAGCTGCGCTCCCGAGAACGCGTCTCCTCGCAGAGGACTAGCAGACATCGGGAAGGTCTGCGCCAACGGGAACCAACTTGTGGCTCCAAAATGTACCCAACGCAGCTGGAAATGAGATCAAAGCTGCAGTTGCATTTGAGAAGGATGAGAAGAGCCAGCGATTAGGGAATTTTTTTTTTACCCGTTTTCTTCCTTTTTCTTTTTTTCTTCTTTTTCTTTTTTTCTTTCTTTTTTCGTGTGTGTTTTTTTTAATTTGCCTACCACCCTGTCTGTCCCCTCACTTCGCCCTCCCCATTTGAAATAAAAGCCCCAGTCTCAACTTCCATCACCTCGGCGCTCCCGGAGCCACTACCGGCTGATGGAGGAGAAGGGGACCCGGGGGCTGGCAGGGGCCACCGGCGAGGGACCGCATCCTGCGTCTCCCCCGTGATCCCGGCCCCGACCGCGGAGTTCTGCAACACCTGGAGGATCTGGACCGGGTGCTGGGGGTGGGGGCGGGGACAGAGGAAGGAAAGGCACCCCGAGCCTTAAAAAGAAAAAAAAAAAGTAGCGGGGGGAGGAATGGGTTTCTTCTTGACAGCTGACGGAGCCTTGAAATTTTCCTCCACTACCTCCGCCCCCGCCCCCGCCCCCGCCCCCCGCACTCCATTTAACGTGAGATTATGAAATTGCAGAGGCGGTGGAGGGAAGGAGACAGGATATAACCGGAGTTTGGAGGGGAGAGGGGAAGGTGGCTGGCCGGGTGGCTGAAATCAAAAATTCAATTGCGCACTGGGTTGTGATGAGAAATCTAATCAGATCTTTGGCGAAGGGGCCGGCCGGAAGGATGGAGAGTGGGGGGGAAGTTGCTCCCCAAATTCTTCGAAGGGGAGGCTGGGGAGAGGAATTGACCATGTAAAAGGAGACTTTTTTTTTTGGTGGTGGTGGCTGTTGGGTGCCTTGCAAAAATGAAGGATGCAGGACGCAGCTTTCTCCTGGAACCGAACGCAATGGATAAACTGATTGTGCAAGAGAGAAGGAAGAACGAAGCTTTTTCTTGTGAGCCCTGGATCTTAACACAAATGTGTATATGTGCACACAGGGAGCATTCAAGAATGAAATAAACCAGAGTTAGACCCGCGGGGGTTGGTGTGTTCTGACATAAATAAATAATCTTAAAGCAGCTGTTCCCCTCCCCCCCCCCAAAAAAAAGGATGATTGGAAATGAAGAACCGAGGATTCACAAAGAAAAAAGTATGTTCATTTTTCTCTATAAAGGAGAAAGTGAGCCAAGGAGATATTTTTGGAATGAAAAGTTTGGGGCTTTTTTAGTAAAGTAAAGAACTGGTGTGGTGGTGTTTTCTTTTCTTTTTGAATTTCCCACAAGAGGAGAGGAAATTAATAATACATCTGCAAAGAAATTTCAGAGAAGAAAAGTTGACCGCGGCAGATTGAGGCATTGATTGGGGGAGAGAAACCAGCAGAGCACAGTTGGATTTGTGCCTATGTTGACTAAAATTGACGGATAATTGCAGTTGGATTTTTCTTCATCAACCTCCTTTTTTTTTAATTTTTATTCCTTTTGGTATCAAGATCATGCGTTTTCTCTTGTTCTTAACCACCTGGATTTCCATCTGGATGTTGCTGTGATCAGTCTGAAATACAGTGAGTGACCCTTATTTTCTTATTTATTGGTGAAGAAAATGTCAGTTAATTTGGTGTTCTTGGTCTCTTTATCCTCTCTCCCCCTTTGGTGTTTTTTTTTAAAGAACTGGCTATTGGGGGCCAGAAAATAAGGGAATGGGTGGCCCACGCATTTGCTTCATCAGTCTCTGCTCTCTGATAAGCCAGTTTGCTATAAGGATGCAGGTTGACTGCATCCTGGGCAGACGCCTTTGCAAATGTTCACCAGGAAAAAAAAAAAAAGCTCCCCAAGAAAGCCGCTGCAGTGTCGGGTGCCAGTGCTGTGTGACTGACACTCCAGAATGCATTTAAGTTGTTTGTCAGCCCCGGAGTTAGATGCACAAATGTTTCGCTATTGGAAATCGAAGGGACTCAATTTAAATTTCATTATCCAACCTGACATTGCAGATCAACAGAATGTATTAACACAAAAATATGACAATAAACCAAGGCGATGAAGGGTGGCTTCTGGCTGGTGCGTGGGTGGAGGGAGAAAGGGTGGGTTTTTGGGCAAGGAAGCTGGTGGAGAGAAGTGGCTGTACTTTCCACAATCACTCTTGCATACATATGCCCAGATGTGGTCTTCAGATTACCCGGGTTCACACCAGTGCTAAAAATGAAACAAGGAGGACCTACTTCTCTCCAACTCCACCCCCTTCTAACTGAGGACTTCTTTGGATTACAGAGAGGCTGTGTATAGACTGTAGAGCAGTGGCTTGGGTTTTGCCAGAAACCTTTCCAACATCACCAGTTCACAGCTCCTCAGAAAAAGAAAGAAATCTAGTGTCCTGTGGTAACTTAGAAAAAGCAGCTGAAGAAGAGGTTGTGTTGAGCACTAATACTTCTCATGTGCCAGCTTTGTCTTGGAAAAAGAGGCCAATATAAAAAATAAAGCAGAAGGTGGAAAATGCTTAGAAAGTCTGAGCGCCTGTAGGATCACCTTCCCTCCTCCCCTATAGCTGCCAAAGTCATGGAGCTGGCCTTTTTTACAGAACTTTTCCCCTTCCCCCTTCGCTATTCCTCTCTGGGGCCTTCTATCAGAATCATAGACTCATATAACTTTCGAGCCAGAAGACTCTCCAGAGATCTCAAGTCAATAAAAAAAGGAAACTGAGGCCTAGAGAAGCTATAACTCTTTCATTAATGGCCAAACAGCATGAGACAGGTGACTCACACAAGCCTCAGAACGCCAGGCAAAAGTCAGTTTGGGATCCAAACTGGACAGGTATACATAGCCTGGCTACTCCTGTATTTTGGATGCCGTTTTATGAGTAAGGGTCAAAGGAAGGCACATTGGTCCTGAGAGCTTGAAATAAAACTTCTGCCAGTTTAGACCTCCAGGGTTACAAACTCCAACATTCATTTTCTCTCTTCCCTTCCTCCCTCTCTCCCTCTTCCTTTCCTCTTTTCCTTTCTATAGCATAGTTTAGGTAACCTTGGCTTGAATACCATTTAAAAAAAAATAAGATCGACAACTCTGACATATCCCAAAGGAGATGAAAGGCAGCACTCTCCTGGGTCCCTTCTTAGTGTTTAATCCTGTGAGTGGTGGTCCCCAGAGAGTCATTAAAGAACTGTAGAGTTAGATTTATATTAGAGAGGTGATAATATAAACCAGAAACACACAGCTGAAAGCATCTGAGCCTGTTCTTACACTCACATCATCTATTCTTATCCTTTTCATTACTCCTTAACTAAACTAGCCTACAGCTGAGCACTTCTCTAATTTATTTTTCTGGGCACATGTTTCCTGTTGGAACACAGATCAGGCAATAAATTTACCAACCTATGAAAATAATTGTGCAAGATGGTTTTATTCCCTGAAATCCCCATAGGCTTGTGCATATATTTTCATAGTTCTCTGCACTTTTTTTGCATTCGTTTGCTTATTTGCTTTGTTTTACGTTACCACAGTTAAGTCAGCATTTGTAGACATGGAATGACTCAAGTTATATTAAGTTCCTGCTCAGCTGGAATTTAGCACAATGACAAAGAAAGTAAGAGGAAAAACATGTACTTGATGCTTTTTCACTTTATAGTTGAGTTCCTGGCTTCACATGGGAACCCCAGCCTTGAAACTAGGTTGGGTCTGCCAATTGGAGGAGATTTTATTTTCTACATATATATATATATCTTTTGTTGACATCAAAATTTCTTCAGTGCTGCTCTAATTAGGTCTGAAAGCACATTCCTCTCCTTGATAGTGTCACCTCCTCCCTGTGCCCTCCACACTTAATGTATACATGCAACTTTCCTAAGAGAGAGAAAGGGAAAGAAGTGAAGAGAGAGAATCTGTTTAAAATTTTGGTCTGAAATGTGTCCTCCCATCCCCTCCACTTAAACATTTGCAAATCTGGAGTTAATGGGGCATCTAAGGTGTCATCATCTTTCATACTGGCAAATCATTTCAGCAACTCTACTGTTAGGAACCTATGGCCCACCTGGGGGTTAACACCTTTGGTTTAGTAGTCAGAGTTGGCCCTGCATTTTGGTTAAGTACTGATTTGTTTTAAACTGATTGGTTAAGAAGCACTGCATTTGTTCATGTACTTTTCAAAGAATTAGGGCCATGACAGAGCTGGAAACTTACTTCATCAGTGGGTGTCAGGGCCCAGGTTGGTGCCCACTGAAAGACATTTGTGAGTAAGCAGTTGTCCACCAGAATCTGCCGAGGACCCTATGCCCAGAAAGCTACTGGGTTTTACAAGTTTTAAAGTTACGTTTTCAAATATCTTCTTCCTCAAATGTAGTAGCTGTGCCCTTTGAACAATACTTTTAATTTCCCTGGCTCTCAATTGTCTAGTCTATGAGGTGGGAATTATAATATGTAATTTTTGAATTGTTTTATGACTTAAAAGGAGTGTTATGCAAAGCTGCAAGCATAATAGGCCCTCTAAGGATGGCTGTTTGTTATGGTTATACTTGGATTAACGTGTATTAATTTCCTGAGAATGAATAACAATCTGGCTAAGCACTTTAACAGTTCGAGCACCAATACATGTAAAATAGGGAGTGTGCAACTGACCTTACAGTGGTTGCCAGGATCCTCATTTGAGGTCTTATCAGGACAGATTGGCTCAATATATTATTTTAGATATAAAGTGCTGCCTCATACTAGAAACTGTGCATTATGACTTTCTTCTAAGAGTATAGAAAAATAAATCTCAGCAAAAATAATATTTAAATGAAATTTTACAGGGAAATAATGCAATTAATGTGCTGTGTGTGTTTTTGGTCTAAAAGTTGAATAAGAGATTTCTGGTATTTTAAGTGTGTCATTTTAGCCACATATTACATAGTCTGGACCTGGATGTACAAAATAAAGGCAAATGTCTATGCAGTTACATAATTTAAATTATATGGTATAAAATTCCATTACTAATATTAAGCCCTCCAAAACCACAATTTGGATTCACAATTCTAGTCAAAATGAATGCTGTGTTCATTAAACAAAATCTTTACTTTGTTATAGGCTAAAGACTCATTAGAATATATAGAATGAGGAAGATTTAATGCAGACACACACGTCATTGTTTACACGTGCAAATCTTCCCACACCAGTGGTTTTCTGAGGCAGGCAGTCATGGTCATTGCTCATAATTTCATTCTCTACAGCAGCAGCCCTGTTTTCTGTCCATTTCCTTAATATTCTTCTAGGGACCTGTTTTCCCCTTAAGAGAAAAGGAGTTCTACTGTAGTAATTGTTATTCTTAATGTCTCATCTGTGGATGATAATAGTACAGTTAGGCTTGGGAGATAACCATTGGATTCTTATGTTTCTTTTCAATGAAAACAATTTGAAATCTGTGTGAATATTGCAAAAGCATTTGAAAGTTCACCATTTTCACTGACCTTAAGAAAAGATGGAAATTCTCTATGAAAGTTCTTACCATTTGATAAATTTTACTTTTTTGCATGCTTCCTAAAGATGAATAAGAAATTAGGTGAAACTTGGACTCTAGCATCTTAAGTGAATTCAAATACTCAGCTTCCCACTGGGCCACGTGTGTTACATGCATCATTTAACCTCTCTGAGCCTGTTTGCTTATCTGTAAAATAGAGGTAATAACAACTGCATGGAACTGTCTGCCGTGAGGATGAGATCAGATTGCATATGCCACGCACAGCAAGCATTCAATAAATGCACATTTAAATGGATCATCTATGATTTTAGTTTAGATTTGCAGAAAAACAGATATGGACTCTGTTGGAGGGAAGCTGTTACTCTAAGTTCACATTGGCATAGACTAAGAAAGAAGAAATATATAGACAAGATTAAGGTTGGAGTAACATATAAATAGATATGACCATTTTTGGTAAGGTCCTGCCATTTTAAAACATATATAGAAGTGCCTTAGTGAATGCCATTTCGTCAGTAAAGATTGAAATATACTTTGTGAATTGTGGAAAATATATTCTGTGTCATATAAACTTTGGTTAGAATGTCACATACTTTATAATACAGGCATAAAAACATGAATGATCTGTAAATGGTATCTTAGAAGATTCCCTAAGAAGGTCAAGAATCAGTTGCATCTTTCATTTCTTCAAAATAATTTTTGTGGAGAAATATTAATTTGACCATTGAAATTTAATTAGGCTGATCTTGTGGCTGAGACACTGTGCTTATAACACTTTCTGAATGCAAAGGTTTTGTTATGTCCTCAGCACCTCAGAAGAATGGCTGGCAAGTAGTATGCATGCAATAAATACTGCTTGAATGAACTTCGTCTGAGAAACACCTCCTCTAAATAACTCAAATGCATGCACATACAAGAGTGTATGCAAACACACGCAGGCACGCACATATATACCAGAAGCCTGGCTTTGGGGAATTTATAGAAGCTTAGTAACAAAAGCCAACGAGTATACTGATGGAATACACACACACACACACACACACACACACACACACACATACAGTGACATTAAGTTGCTTCCTTATGTTGGAAAACCTGAGGTCTGAAAGTCATGTGATGCAGTGTGTATTTCTTATTCTTGGTGTTGTCATTAATGAATTGTGACATTTTGTACAATTCAACTTACCTCTCTAGGTTCTATATTCTCTTCTGTTAGATCAAGTAAAAACTAAGGTTACTTCAAGCACTAAGATTTTAGGATCCTGAGTTCATAATTGACTACCTTGGAATTTAGTATTCCCAAAATTAAAAATATATAATTATTGTTCTTAGGAAACTAGTTATTAAAATGTGGAGAAGAATCCCATAGTATTCAGTGAGAAAGGCAGAATTGTGTTAAAATGGCAGATATGTGGGTAAAAAGGTGAAGGAAATGCTCAGTTTGTAGGGGAACTACTTCAAGATTTGGAATAGACAAACCTTGGATTTCAACTTTGTTTCATCACCTGTTAGCTGGGGCCCCTAAATTTGTCAATTAACCTTGTTAATCCTCGGTTTCCTCAATTGTAAAATTGACTTTATTTTTTGCAGTTATTTTGGGAGCAATAAAATGTCTTAAGTATTTGGCACATGACTGGCACTCAATAATTGCTAGCCCACTTTCTTTTCTTTGAAATCTTTGGTTATTTAAAACAGAAATGGGAAGATTTAACATTTAAGATTCTGTGAGTGTTTTGCTTTACTTTTATGGAGCATATAAATAAAGATTTCCTGCCAACTTTGCTATCCAAGTTGGTGATGTTATTTTTGATCATGGTTTTCAATGTCAATCAAATTCATAATGAAGTCTAAAAATAATGAAAAACTTATGTAAAGTTAATGTACTTTTCTTTCAACTTTGCCACAGGCTTATGAGAGCTTTCTGCACTTAGGAAAGCTTTCAACACTTCCCGGGTTTACAAGTATCTAGTAGTCCCTTCTTATCTGCAGTTTCACTTCTGGTGGTGTCAGTTACCTGTGGTCAACCGAGCAGAGATTTTAAGAGAAAGAGACTACATTCACATACTTCTATTACAGTATGTTGTTATAATTGTTGTTAATTTTTACTGTGCCTAATGCATAAATTAAACTTTGTCATACATACATCTTTACAGGAAAAATGATAGTTTATGTAGGGTTTGGTACTATCAGTGTTTTCAGGCATCCACTTGGGATCACGGAATGTATCTCCTCTACCAAAAAGGAGGCACTACTGTAAGTTAATAAAAACAGTAGTTACCACCATTTCTTGAGCATTTGATATGCACCAGGCACTGTACTGAAAATATAACAAGTATTTTTTTTTCTTTAATCCTCACTTGAAAACAGAAACACAAAGAGGCTAAGTGATTTGTCTAAGGTTGTATAGCAACTAAATGGTGAGGCTGGGAATAGGAACTGCGTATCTGCTGACTTGAGAACCCAAAATCAGAATCAGTAAAGTCAAACTTGTTGACTTGGTAACAAATAAACATAGCAGTTCACTATTATGTAACCAGGTACTCAATCTGAATGTTTTCACTGGGCTTGAGATGTCTGCAGTTTCCCTTTCCCCTATTTCCTGAAATGAAAGTTCTCCAGCTGCTTAGGTCACATATACCTTCCGTATATTTGTCAGTCCTCAGTCATTTCCAAGTATGCCCTTAAGTATAGAAGTGACTTCTAAGAAAGACTTAGGCAAAATTGTCCCAACTCACTGAACATATCTAATGGAGAGAAAGATTTTGCAAAATGTTATAAGGCATCTAGAAATTTATAATTATATGAGAAATATGGTCAATGCTAATAGTAAGGTTAGAGTTTAGATACGATGTGCTGTAAACCAGATGAGGTCCTCATTGTGGGGACCCAACACCTGATGTTAGTCCTTCTTGTGTTTGATCTCTCTGTAATACGATCCCATCACCTGCCTCTGGTTTCCTGAAACTCTTCCAAGGGCTTGAGGCACTCCTCATTGATCACTTTATTGATATCACTTTATCCTCCTTCTGTTTTCCTAATCTTCTCCTTAAATAATGAGGGCTTCCCCCTTTGAGTCACTTCTACTCCCAGTCTCTCTGCATTCCTGAAAGACATAAGCTGGGGGTTTTTTGAGAGAGGAATCTCAAATCCTGGCTAACCTGTGTATGCTGTTTCTGTTTTCTAAGTGAGGATTAAGGAAAAAAATACATGTTATATTTTCAGTACAGTGCCTGGTGCATATCAAATGCTCAAGAAATGGTGGTTACTACTGTTTTTATTAAATTACAGTAGTGCCTCTTGTTGGTGGAGGAGATACATTCCATGATCCCCAGTGGATGCCCGAAACCACTGATAGTACCAAACCCTACATAAGTGTCCATTGCCAGCAAGATCGCACTTAATTACCTGAGTCTCCTACAAGCCTTGCAAACTTAATACTCCATCTATAACTGGTTATTTTTTCTCCAGAAACCTAGATATGCACCAGGCACTGTGCTGAAAACATAACATATTTTTTTTAACTCCTTAATCCTCACTTAGAAAAAATAAAAACTTGGATATTTACAGTTTTAAATGATGTCAGTATCTCTTTAACATCCCTCCTATCCAACCAGTCATCAAATCCAATCTACTCACTATCTTAAAGTCAGCTTTGGTCTATCTCGCTATGGCCTTGGTCCAGATTCTAGCGTTTCTCTCCTAGATTGTCTCTAACTAGTCTTTCTGATAATGCCAATTTTTCCTCAGATAGTCTATTACTCGTTCTTCCTCTAGATATATCATCCAACAAGTAATGCTGAACATCCTCTTTATATTCTTGAAATATGTTTTTAGAATAAAATCCAGACTCTTCTCAACAGCACAGTCTTCCTCAGATAGTCTATTACTCGTTCTTCCTCTAGATATATCATCCAACAAGTAATGCTGAACATCCTCTTTATATTCTTGAAATATGTTTTTAGAATGAAATCCAGACTCTTCTCAACAGCACAGGCCAGCCAGCCTATTCATGCCCTCTCCCATCTGCCTGCCATGCTAAATGTTTTAGTCCTCTGGGGACATGCCAGCCTAGTTTGAACGCAAACTTGGGGAGAGCTAATCCATTTACCTAGGATATGATCTTCATATGTCAAGTCTCAGAGCAAGTTACCTCCTTTGGGAACATCTTTCCCAGCTCCCCTAAGCCCACTGATCTCCCTGTCCTCTGTACACAAACATTTTGTTCATATATTTGTGATAGCTCTTACTATTGTTATATGTATTTGGCAAAAACCCAGTAAATTGTGGCTTCTTTTAGAATGTGGATCCCATTGACTGGGTGTGGTGGCTCACACCTGTAATCCCAGCACTTTGGGAGGCTAAGACGGGTGGATCAACTGAGGTTGGGAGTTCAAGACCAGCCTGACCAACATGGAGAAATCTGTCTCTACTAAATATGCAAAATGAACCGGGTGTGGTGGCACGTGCCTATAGTCCCAGCAACTCAGGAGGCTGAGGCAGGAGAATCTCTTGAACCCAGGAGGCAGAGGTTGTGGTGAGCCGAAATCACGCCATTGCACTCCAGCCTGGGTAACGAGAGTGAAACTCCGTCTCAAAAAAAAAAAAAAAAAAAAAAAAAAAAGAATATGGACCTCATCTTATTCTTCTTGTCATCTCCCACATCTAACTAACATAGTGCATAGAGATTTTCAGTGTATCTGGGGAGAACTAATAAATGAGTGGCCTGATCTAACACATCTTTAAGGTAAAGAAATTTCTTTAATTCAGTTAGTGATATAGGCCATTATTTTCCCAATATTCTTATTGTTAAGATTAAGTTTTATTATTTTTCCTGTAGGGACCCATTTTTCATAACTACTTTGCATAATAAAACATTGCAATTTTTTTTTTACTTTTACTAATAGACAACATGTACCTGGCAGTTATCATTTTTTGAAGTGCACTAGATGAACATTTAAATCAAATGATTTTATATAAATTGAGCCAAAAGCAAAGGTGATTTAATTACCTTGTGCAAGTACATGGGTATGTGTATGAAATCTAGTTGGCTTTTTGAAATATTGATAATAGCTGTTCTTGAGGATCTCATTTTTAAAAATAGTTCTTTAAATATATTTTAGTGCTAATTTAATATTCCAATGCATAGCTTCTCATAGGCTTACTGTAGGTGTGGTAATGTACAGTCCTCACTGACGTTGTTCGTGAAGTCTGCTGGTCACAAAAATCAAGGTGGTCCTTGCAGTTGTGCATTGCACATGCCTCACAGTTGTATGAAGCAGGCCTTCCTACTCATGAATGATTATCAAAGAAGAGAATGTAAATTTTAAGTTTGAGTAATGTCCATAAATGGACTAATATAACAAGAGATTAAAAAATATCTCCCTAATAAAAGTACCTTCATTAAATATAGAAAATCATGAGCTGCAATCGTTTTTGACAACATGTGAACACCTGGCTTTGTGGGAGCCAGGCATACATACATTCATGGATATAATAATTTGACTCCATGCTACAGAAGGTTATTTCCTCCTTTCTCTCCTGAGGAGCAGCAGAAAACACTGGATCACATGAAGGAAAGTGGTAAATGATAGGATATTATTTAATTATGGCTTAATTTTATCTTGCAATTTTGAAGAGAAATGTCTTAAATATGTTGAACTGGAGTATTTGTGTTTTTACATTAATAGTTCTTTTTTAAAGTTTTTCTTCTAGTTTTAGATTATTTCCAGTTTAGAGATTAATATTATTAATCTCTAATAATAGCAGATGATAAAGCACTAATAGTCATGCTTCATCCTGCTTTTGAAATCCAGTGATTTCTTTTAATCCTTTCAACAAATTTTAGCCCCAGAACTGCCAAAGGGATTATTTCCTGACCACTACATTCCTTATGATAAAGCGTGAGGATTTGGGAAGGTATGCCAGGGAAGTTTTTGGGGTTTTTTTGTTGTTTTGTTTTGTTTTGTTTTTGAGATGGAGTCTCACTCTGTCACCCAGGCTGGAGTGCAGTGGTGCGATCTCGGCTTACTGCAACCTCCACCTCCCAGATTCAAGCGATTCTCCTGCCTCAGCCTCCCGAGTAACTGGGATTACAGGCACATGCCACCATGTCCAGCTAATTTTTGTATTTTAGAGACAGGGTTTCACCATGTTGGCCAGGCTGATCTCAAACTCCCGTCTTCAGGTGATCCACCAGCCTCGGCCTCCAAAAGTGCGAAAGATTTATTTAGAAGAGCCAGTGATGAGTTTTGTCTTAGTTCTTGTCAAACTACAAACTGTTGAGATGACACTTGTAGGCAACCTCCCAAGACAACTTCTTGGGAGGGATCCATTTGCTTTAGCTCATCAATTTTGACCAAGTCACATTGGGAATGTAGGAGAATTTAGCTATCCAATTATATGTGTTTATTTGTTGCTAAAGTAGGAGTGTGTGTGTGGGAGTGGGGGTCCACAGATTTTTAAAAAAGAAAGCCTTTTTCTGATGATAACTAATACAGTTCCCTAATTATTAAAATAACCTGTTATCATCGATGTGGTCCTGCCTAGAACAAGTTGACAGATTTATTTGTGATGCTTTAAAAGACATCTTATTGTCCGTGCAGCTGATCATTTTTGTTTGTTATTAATCTAAAGAACTGTAGTACTAAGGAATTTAATTTCAGGGCAATGGACATGTTTTCTTTCAACTAATGGTTTGATAATGATGGTGGGAACTTCAATAACTAAGATATGAATGTTCTGAAAAAGGTGCATGACACTTGAAAATGTAGAGATGTGCCTCTCCTGAATGATTTTACAGTTGAACCTGAGCCAAATCTCAGAGTGTGCCGATTTTTACAACCTTAGGGGAAAGAGAGAGAGAGATTGAGAAAGAGTTTGCGGGGAGAGAGCTCATCCTGGCGCAGCTGTTCTAATCTGGGCAGAAAGAATGCCCATAGCTTAGTTAGCTGATCTCTAGAGAGGCTCACCTCAGCAGAGACCACAGCACGTGTGTGGATGAATGAATTCAAACACATTATGGGGAGGGATCTAGAGGACTCCGATTTTTACTAACTGAAAAGGCAAAAAGTCAGAAGCCACCCTAAAAGAGTTAACATCTACACAGTGGTGTGCAGGAAGGCAAGAATGGAACTGTGAAGGCTTTCTCTGTATTGTTTTGAACGTTGCCATGGCAATAGTTTCCAGCAGAAGTTACATGTTTTTCAATTCCCCAAAGCAGCAAGCAGCCTTTCCCTCTCTTTCTCACCCTCTCTGCATCCATCCCTATCCGCCTTCATCCTTAGTCCTCCCCATCCCTTTTCTCCTCCCTCTGTCCTTTCTTTTGTTCTCAAGTCCCTCTACCATTCCCTATTAACAACAAAAAATTCCAACTCCAAAAGGTCGCTTTTAGACAGAATGCGAGTCAGACATATAGTCTTCTATCCGGGTTTCTGTTTTCCCCCGTCTGTTTACGTATTAAAGACCTAATTAAACGGAAGCTGTGGATGGAAGCAGGGTTGGGGCTTTCCCTTGTTGGTAGGACACAGAACATATTATAATGGTTGGTGTTGTGGCGATATGTTAATTGAATCGCTCCAGGCAAGTGCAGAGCAGCAGTCTCTGACAATTAGAAAGAACAATGACTTTACTATGAGTGAGCCCACTCTCTTAACCAGTGGAAGGATTAGCATGCATTGCAGGTCTCTGGAAGGTTCCTGTAGACCCCGAGAGAGATCTGCAGTTGGAAATGCCTCCTGTCTCTTTATAGCTATGCTGCTGCCTCTCCTTTAGCTTACTTTCCTGCCAAGGGAAGATGAGTGAGAGGATAGTAAGATCTGGTTTACTGGGCTGTTGCGGGACCGTGTCGCAGACCTGAGCCATAGGATATATTACAGGGATGTTAAGAAGAAATCTTTGCCTGCTTAATGCACGTGGCCAGTGAATTGTGAAATGGGTCTCATTAGAGCCTTTCATATCCCGGCATGTGCCAAAGTGCTTTGCCGGCACAGCGCCATCACTTCAGGTCCAACCCTTCTGCTGTTCACTGAAGCCAAGAAGGGACAGAGACTCTGTCTGTATTAAAGCCTTCAGTCCCATCTCTCTCTGTCTACTGTTCATTGTAAGGTTCCTCTGGGCCTTTCAGTCCAGCCAGGGATGAGGCCCAGCGTATCCCCTAGGTGTTTATTGAGAGGAAATACTAAGAATTTTGAGCATCACAGATGGATTTCAGGCAGCCAGTGGGTGCTGGCACCCAGATGTTTCCTTTTTTTCCCAGGGCTGGCACTGAAACTGTATCTAGACTTCCCTGCAAATATGCACAGATACTCACCTGAAAGAAAGGGTGAGTAGTTCAGGGCCGAGTAAATCATCAAGGACTTATTTGTTAGATAAAAAGGAACACTTTACTTTTTCTCAGATTCATATACTAAAGATTTTAAAATGAAATTATATCTCCCAGAGCATAGTCCCATAAGTAATACTAATAAATGCCATATACTGAGTACTAACTGTATGTCAGGCACTGTGCCTGTCTCTTATTTAGAACACCCCATGAGTCCACAAGGTTGATGAATGACATAACAGCACAGACATGGAAGGCAGACTAGTAAAAGCTCTGTTACCTCTTAGATCTGTGGTTTCAGGCAATTTATTTATAATTCTGAACCTCAACTTTCTTATGTGTGACATAAGCATGATTATAATGCAGGATTGTAGTGAGTTAGAATTGAAATAATTCACATAGAACTTTTAGCAAAGTGCTTGGCACATGGAAATACTCAAGCTATTATTTGTAAAAAGATAAGAGATTTTCTTACAACAATATTGTAAAATAATTACTAAGCATATGCCTCCAGAAGAAAGGTGTTAAAAGTAATTATAGGCAGATTGTTTAATAAAAATGGAAATATGGCATAAGAAAATGAGTTTCTGAATGCGCAATGGTGTAATTCCTGTTGTTTTCTGTATAGCGCTGTAGTTTGGAAAGTAGAATTGATGAGATCAATGAAACAGATTTGTTGCATTTATTCTGGGTAGATGATTTTTATCCATCCATATTCGAGTTTTCTTTTGGGACTGATCTCTTGGACCTGTCTCAGTTGTGATGCCTTGGATTTGACATAAGAAGGGAAAAGTCTAGCGAGGTTAAGCAAAAAAGAGAATTTGCTGACATATGTAATTGAAAAGTCCTACAGTACATGGAGTTCAGGTGTAGTTTGATCCAGATGTTCCCAATGTCACAGGGACTCCTGCTCTGTTTTCCCTATATTTCTCTTGGCATAGTCCTCTTTCATGGGCTATTTTAATCAAGCCATTGTTTTGCATTCCCTCAAATATCACCATAGAAATTTCCACAGTTTTGTCCCAGCACTCCCAGTGAGCACCCTGAGATCACAGCTGATTAGATTAGCTTATGTCATATTTCTACTCATAAACTATCATTGGCTTTAAGGTAAGGGAGTAGAGGGTCAGTGCACCCCCAGATGGAACTCAGGGGCTATTGAGAGGTAACAGGAATTATGTGCTGGAGACAAAACCCACTAATATCTATCATACGTCTGGTGGTAGAGAGTGAGAAGGACAAGTTGCTATGTTTCATAATGTAACTTGCTACAAGGGTTAATTTTATTTGTACTTCTCTGTAATGCTACATTGTATATAGGTATTGAAGTTGTAATAACTAAGGAATTTTGTTCTTCCAGCAAATCGTCTGGCTGTAGTGATCAATTTTTCAGTGGAACAACTTCATCTGCATTCATGCAATTTTTGCATTATTCCTCTCATCTCTTAGAAACAGATCTTTGTTTTTGAAAGAGAATTTACAAGTCCTTTTTCGGAAATGAAGAAACAAAAGCAAAAACAAAAGAATCATCTTCAGTCAGTAACAGCTCACTGGTAGAGGATCTTTAAAACGCCTTGAATACCCACACTCCTGGTCACTTGTCCCGGCCATAGATGTGTTTAAATCTAGCTTTGATTTAATCTAACTGTTGTTGCAAAGGTCTTAGCAGTGACATACGCCATTCCAGATCTCTCGATTCTGCCCACCCAGGGATGGTGATCTGGGCCAGGTGACACATCTTTTTCTTCTTCATAGGCAAGGTGACGGAAACTCATATCTGGCCTTTGGATACAAATATTTGTTAAGAAGCTCTGTTCAAAGTACATGATTGCTTGCCAAGTTCAAGGACTTACCTCTTTTGAAGTCTTAATACTGTGTGTTCCATATTGGGAACACTGTACTTACTTAATTCTTACTTATGCAGTGACATGCTCAGAATTGAGAATCAAACCAAGTTCATATATTTCTCAAAGCTATGGGAGAACAAATAACTGTTGGAGTAGGGTTTTCCTGGAAAGTTAAAGCAATGAAGGAGACTGCCACTTTTTTGAGTACCAGTTGTATGGTAGCAATAGTAGTGAGTTATTTTATATATTTTATCTCAACGTACCCTTTTGACAACTGCAATAATAACCACAATACAAAAAAATCAGCGATAGGTAACATTTATGGAGTGTTTGCTGTGAGTAGGCACCCTCTAAAGGTTTTACCTTTGTAAAGACATTGAATCCGCAAGCAAATAAGCAGTAAGCACCCTTTTTAAAGGTGAGAAAGGGAAGCTCAAATAAGCTCAATGACTTACCCATGTCACAGAGACAATAAATGGCAAAACTCTACTTTGAACCCTTGGTCAAGCCAGTGGTTTTATACTATGCTGAGCTGCCTCTCACATGGGACTACTTACTACTACCGCTAATTAATAATAATAATAATTTGATACTAGATTTCTTTTAGTTTAAAGAAATAACACTGAGTAAGACCTGTAACTCTTTCCCTTAACCTCACCGCTTTTTATAGTTCCTTCCTCTTTCCCCCTCTTCTTATCCTGGGTGTTCTCAGTTCGACAACCTGTTATAGTATTTTGCCTCTAGTTTGGCCAGGGCAGCTACCCAGCCACAACTCTGGATATTTGAAAGTAAAACTTTTTATGCATCACTTATTTTAAATATATCAACCCTTTGAGATTGCCACAAATAAACCACAGGGGTCTTTAAGGAGGCCTTACTGTTTTCTTATGTTGGGGAGAGTGAAGAAACATTTAATATCCCAGTGGTCCCTGGCAACTGAACTTGCAAAGTCTGTGCAGATATTAGTTGGCAGGCCTCATTCCTTAAGATGTGGTGATACTAACAGTCATACAGCTGCATAAGGCTGTACCGCATATTTCCTGTCTCATTGGTATCCATCAGAAGACATCCTCCTCTGTATATAGAACAGGAAATTGGACCTTTTCCCCCATAACTCTTAACACTCTTTACCTTTTCCTACCAGGATGGTACATGGGAGAGGCAGGAAGAGATATAGTGATATAGCTCTGGGATACTGTCATTGCCACCTTTCCCATGAAGGTACTAAACAAAATTGCCATTTTCAGCTTCTCCGGGCATTGGTCCAGATGGGAGGCAATGCCCCCAATCAGTTTCCTTACTCCTTCAGCATATCGCCCTTTATTTTGCTTATGACACAGACACTGCAGCAGCAGGGAAGACAGGCACAAAACAGCATGATTGCAGAATCTATGGACACAAAGGCTTGCTTGCATACACAGACATACACACACACACACACACACACACACACACACACACACACACACACACTTGTTTCCCACCAATTTATCTCCGGGTCCTGAATTCCCACATGACTTCTCCTGAAGGGCCTTCTAGAGACATGTGCCACTTATCTTCCTCTGTTATTCAAGGTACAAGGAGAAAGAAATGCATATTGAGGCAATACACTATAGATTCAGGGCATGGTTTGACATCTGAGAATGATTTTCATTATTGCCTGCTCCATATTTGAATGAACACCTTCTCTACAAAGAATATAACCGTAGCTTTAATATCAGTTGTGCCTTCTTATCCCTAAATCTAGGACTTTTTAAAGACAAATGGAAGACGACTGGAGCTAGTCACTATTTTATATTATTCGAACCACTGCTTTCTGTCCCTTAGGGCTGGCAAGACAAAGCAGGCTCTTGCTTCCTATTGTCTCTAGAATGTGTCCCTTCCCTATTCTAACTCAGCATTTAGCACTTATCAGGCCCAGGTAACTATAATCGTGCCCTGATTTGCCCTTCTCTTTCCAGCCCATCTTTATCACGTTATTTATCTTCCAAATAATCACAAAGCACTGTTTTAATGCAGTTCTCCTACTAACAAACCTTCATTTGTAAAATAAGTGCCAGGCCCTGTAATCAAAATCTCCTCCAGAGAGCCTCTCTATCTCAGCTCCTCCTCTCTCTCAATTCCAATATGTATTTCTTGGCTATGCCATATTGATTTTCATTTCCAATATCCTGTTTTGCATAAGTAATTGTTCTATGTGCTTATTATTTGTTTGTGCTTTTAGCCGGAAGGCTCTCTGAGGTCAGCCCCTTGACTTCCACCTCTGGGTCCTCACCTTCATGCCTTACATATAGTGGATAGTCTATAGATGCTTTGTGATTGAAAGAATGTTCTTCACAAGCTTCCAACTGCTGATCTTAAACAAAATTTTTAAAAATTCAAATGAAATTATGACTTTTTTGTTAGGTTTTCATTAATCTTTCTAATAGATAACCCCATAGACTCCACTTGGGGCCAGCCAACCTTCTCCATTAGGGGAACCCACCTAGTAGTGTGTTGACTTTGAAATAAAAGAAACTCTCTTTTGCTGAGTTTCCTATGATGTCTCTTTAGAGAGCTGGTATTGGATGAGCGGTAATTTAGAGCTCAAGGTTTCCTGCAGCTATTTGCTTAGCAGGAATGTGGAGCTCCCTCATCAAAGCAACCTGCTTCTGTGGGCTCCGTTGTGCTTCAGAGGGCTGCCTGCTTTTATGTTCTGTAGTATGGATATGATGGGGAGATTTCCCAGGGTTTCCCAAGGGAAATGCTCATGTGTGCAAGATGTTTCTTTTTCCAGCCTCCCATTGGATTAAAGTTATAAGGAGCAGGATGAAATTGTTACATTTAATGTTTCAAATCTCCCCCTGTTTGCATATTATTCTAATATGCAGCAATGGTCCCTGAAGCTAGATTGCCAAATGGGCAGGTGTAATGGTGAATCTTGCAATAACAGATAGAGGCAAAAAAAAGTAGAATGCAGTGTATTTCTCACATAATTAAATTTATACATTTAAAAGACAGACTCTTGTTATTTCATTGGGATCAAAATATCCTCTTGTTAAAGGTGAATGATTATAATAGTAGAAGGTATTTTTTAAATTCTAATGTCAATGCTTAGCAAGATATAAAGTCATATAGATATAATTGCACAAGTGTGTGACAAATGACCACCATGTCTATTATTCACTTCGATAGTCTAGGACACTGCCATAAGCTATAAACATTAGAGCCCCTGAGCAGGTGGTTGCAAGTGAAATAGAAAATATGGGTGCATTTCACTTGTAGCTTCTTAGCAGCACCTTTGTAATGGCTGTTTCCTACTGCTGAATGCAACTGTCAAAGGTGACATTCCATTGAGGATGCTGCTGTGTGCTCTGGTTGTAGCACTCTATGTAAGTTACCTCTTTTCTGAGCCTTATGTTTCTGTAAAATAAGAAGTCTGTGATGCTCTCTGGTATTCTTTTTATCTATCCAAGAGTCTGAGCTATTTCACAGAACTATTTACAGGTAACAGGACTGTCTTTGCCGAAGAGAATGGAAATACATTTTTCTAGCTCCCCTTCTCTGACATTTTGGATGGCTAATTTCCTTTCTTTGCCACTTCTTGCCCTCCTCTGTCTCCCTTTTCATTATGCTTATCAAATGTATTTATTTCTGCTACTATCCATGTCTAGCCAAGTCCTTCTTCATATTGTGGTTTCTGTGTGTGTGTGTGTGTGTGTGTGTGTGTGTGTGTGTGTGTGTATGTGTGTGTCTATTCCGCAGGGTAAGCACTTAATTTCATACTAGCTTCCACTAATTAACTACAAAATTAAGTAGGTGAATTCATTGATTCAGCACTTGGTTTGATGTTTATATTAACACACTGAAAGGGAAGCCCTGGATGTGGCCAGAGGCTTGACGGGAATCTTTCCCTCCCCTCCGGAATCTCCTTTGACTTCCCACACTAGATTTCTATCTTGCTATTTCTCAGAAGTATTCATGCTTTTGGGGAGCAGCCAAGTGACCAAAGCTGTATCAGATAGGAATGCCATTCTTTGTGACCACAGAAATAATCATTTCTTGTTCTTTTTCTGCCCCAGCTTACTGGCCACAGCTCCAGTTCTACTTTTGATGCACCTGGAGAATGCTCTCAGGATGCCTACCAAGATTAAAGTGATAGGTTTTTAATGTCAAATGCCCTATAGCCACTGCCCACCTGCCCCCTACCTCGTGGGGAAAATAGACTAAACTCTTGGTTGAAATCCTCACCTTGTTTCTACCAGAAAGAATGTAGGTAGGTAGCCATAACAGCATCCACACCCACATCAGAACAATCAACTAGTGTTCAGCAAAAGTCATATCTATTTTCATTTCTGTTTCCAATAATCATATCTTGTTTCATTCTTCTTTGCCTTAGCATATAATAACTACAAGTAAGCAACAGGTATGTTGGCCATTTGTCACAGAACTGTGTTTACAATTTTTTGAACATTTTTCTCCATTTATGTAAAGATTTATGGCTTCTTTCAAACCCTGAAAGTAGTATCTAGCAGAGAAAATATGTTTTATGATAAAATAGACTGGAACATGGTTTGTAATAGAGTAACATCCATCGTAAAGAGGCCTTTTCTTGGAACCCATCCAAGCAGGTCAGTAACTTGTCAAAAGTAATTGGATTAAGAGAAAAATGTTGGATGAAATATATGTTGTCTGAATTTCTATACCTTCTGTATTTTGTGTCCCTGTTAAGAGTCCTGAATTAAGCAGCATTGCCTTAAGGTAGTGTATTTGTTCTACTTATTGAATTATATGCACTGATCATTAGGATAAACTGACCTTATCTTCCCACTGCAGCATTACTAGTTGCCTTTGTCATTGTCCCCCAGTGCTTCACTCATACCCCTTCCATAACACTTACCACATTACCTACTAATTATATGTTTGTTCTCTATCTTCCCCCATAACTCTAAGCTTTGTCTATTCAGGGAACCAGACTTCCTCTTTGTGTATCTCTTTGATACATACTGCGTATTAAATCAATATTGAAAGAAAATAAATGAAATAGTGAACATTTAAAGCTTAAAGTGTATTTAAAGCAAGACTTAATTTATCTGATAATACTACAATTTGAATTTTAGTAAACTTTTATTTTGCAAAACTCATTATCACAGTGTTTTAAATTATTGTATCTAACAGTGCCATTAAACTCATCATATAAATTAGCGTCTTAAGTCACTATTTTGAGTCTTAATCATATTGACACATGGCTTTAAAATGTGGTTGAATTAGTATAACTAAAAGAACTAATTAGTTTCAATCAAGTTACCATTTTGCAGGGACAAAAAAAAAAAGAATGAATCATAGGTTTACACTCTGTTCACATAGTCTGAATAATTTAACTAATGCTTTTATAATAAGACATGCTTTCCTCCAACGTGATTTTTGGTTGAAACTTTGCACCAAAAGAAGATGTTTCATTGAAATTATCATTTCGCACTAGCAACTACTTTATTGCATTTTTTAATGTGCTAGGAGTGGAACAGACTTTGCGGCAATTTTTCTTTCACTTGGGGTCTTACACATCTTTAAAAATGTAAAATAAAGTGAAAAAAACAAACTAACAAAAAGTTGCCGGAAATTTACCCTCCCTCCTCTCCTTCATGCATGTAATTTTTCAAGAATCTCTCCAATGGATCTTGGTTAAAGAATAGATGATTCTTAGAATAAATTTATATGGAGTATCCACAATGCCAGAACTCATAGCTGCCTTATTATCTATTTTATGTAGGCTTAAACTTTTGAATCAGGAAGTCAGACATGGGCAATCAAGGAAGGTTTGGGCCCATTATGTTTTCAGATATTCATTTTACCTAATTGCTTGAGTCTACATAATTGGATTCATAGTATTCCACAGTTAGCGAATGACCTTTGTATTTGTTTTTCTTAAGGCCAATGGAGAAAAATGTTAACAATAAAATATCCACCAAATAGCTATTTTCTTATGGAAATTTCAAAATATTTTCCTATCACAGTTTCCGTTTTCTTATGCAATTTCTACTCAATGAAAACCTCTCAGCTTTCTGGAACTTCTGAATACATCCGTATTTCATTTCTGTTCAATTTGGAGAATGTTCAATGTAATGTGCAGATATGGATTGATGTATCATACCAAGGTTTTTCATGGTATTTTATAGCACTGACTTTCAGATAGAACCAAAAGGAACATAGACCAAATGGTAGTATGACTGGAATTATATTAATAAC
The DNA here is from genome assembly GCF_000001405.40 of Homo sapiens. Classification (NCBI taxonomy): domain Eukaryota; kingdom Metazoa; phylum Chordata; class Mammalia; order Primates; family Hominidae; genus Homo; species Homo sapiens. The sequence goes on along the minus strand of NC_000011.10, from coordinate 40,271,922 downwards.
TGAATGAGTGGGAGATACCACAAGTGGCCTGCTCACTCTGGTTCAATTCAATTTGTGAAAATCATAGGACATGATAGAATAAAATGTTACTATGTGTCTCCCTGGGTCTAGGAGGCAGATATGAAATGAATCCATTGATGTCATGTGAGCCACACAAGAGTTCTTCCCTGACAGACATTCATGTGCCTTCACCCACATCGGTAGACAGGGGTCTACATTCGGAGCTGATGGAAGTGAAGAATGAGTGTGTTATACCCCAGTGAAAGGTTCAGGAGTGAGCAGAAATACTGCCTTAGTGGCTTCAGGAGGCAGAGAAATGCCAAAGCCTACATTCATCGAAGCTGTTTCAGCCAGAGCCAATAACTGAGCACATTTGACATAGTTCAGTTCAGCACAAGTTATTAAATGTCTGCTATGTGGTATGCTAACCACTATCAGTTTATGCTAGTTTTGAAATCCTCCCTTCTACATAGAGTTTTAAAGGTAGTAAGTTAGAAGGGAAGAACTTTACCTTTCATTCTCCACCTTTGTGTTCTGTGGTTTAGCGAAATTCGTTTAACTCTTCCAACACTCTCTTTCCTAATTTGGAAATGCAGCTGCTCTGCTGTCTCTCTCCTATTCAGTGTTGTTGAAAGGATGGAAACATGGCAAAGCAGAAGAAACTGTAGACTTTTCATTTAGGAGGGGCTGAGGGCTTATAGTCTGCTGGAAGGGAAGGGGTATTGGGAACTGGTTTTGGAATAGGAGACCAGTTACATTTTCTTAGGTAATAAATATATCTGGGTAATTGGGGGTAGCAATGTTGATGCAAATTATTTTGGGATGAAGTACATCCTATCCTTTCGTGTATGAATATCTCTTAGGATGTTTAAAAGGCTGCTCAAATTGAAGGTTTGCAACTTTTGTGGCAACACCCTGCTTTAGTAGGTGCTCAAATGTCAGTATGCTCAGCTTTTCCCCACTAGCCACCTTACTCAGGAAGGAATAATAGAAAAAGCATTAAATTGAGCTCCCCAAATTGTTTATGTACACTAGTGTGATCAAAATCACCCGATACATATGATAACTCTCAATGTCATTCTGCCTAAAAACAGTCAATGATCGAATTAGTTGCAGCTATAGATGCTGTGGTAGCAGAAGTTTTTGTTTAGTGAATTGCCAGCTTTCAATGAACTGTGCAAGGAGCAACTGTGTGAAAATAGAAGTCAGTAATCCCCCTGTTCATCTCTTCACCTCTACCTCATTGTAAGGAGGATTTGGGTTCTTAGATTGGTTGAAAGAATAGAGGTTCTGTGAATAAAATAGAAGAGGATAATTTTCTGTTCAAAGAAAGAAGAAGAGAGTGTTATGGGCAGAATTTTGTCCCTCAAAATTCATAGGTTGAGGTCCTGATCACCCAATGCTTCCAAACCTGAGCATATTTACAGATAACATCTTTGAAGAAGTAATTAAGTTAAAATGAGGTCTTTATAGAGTGGGCCCTAATGCAAAATGACTGGTGTCCTTTTAAGAAGAGGAAATCTGGACCCAGATGTGCAAGCAGAAAGGAAAGACTGAGAATACAGTGAGAATGTGGACATTTTCAAGCTAAGGAGAGAGGCCACCAAAGAAAACAAACCTGCCGACACCTTAATCTTGGACTTCTAGTCTCTGAAACTGTGAGAAAATGAATTTCTATTGTTTAAGCCACTCAGATGGTGATATTTTGTTACGGCAACACTAGTAAACAAGTACAGTGGCAGTGCAGTGTTTCCCTTAACTGGACAGGGGAGCTGTGGCTACCATTAACATAAGAAATAAGGAATACATTCTCCCCTTATCTCCACCAGCAAGCATGAACTATCAGCTTGGCAGTCCCCCAGTATGGGAGGCGTAGGGGTTCCCTAGAAGTGTTGCTATTTCAGGAGAAGCCTTAGCTGTAACCTTAGAAACCCCACATGTGGGATGGTTTTATATGTTTCAGGTAATCTAACTTCCTTCTATCCTGCATTTATTCCAATAGAAATAGATTCTAAAAAGGAATCCCAAGTTCCAAAAGGAAAAGACTTATTAGCCAGATGTTTTAGGATCTGTCTCAAATATTAGGATTGTTCATGCCCGCCCCCGCCCCTAATTTGAGTTACCAATGTGCTATTAAGGGATTTTTACTCTTGGAAAGGGATAGGGATAAAAAATGTATATCCCTTGAAGTACACAAAATCAGACTATATATTGCTACCCCGTTATTTGTATATTATTATTTACTGTGTAATATAATAGTGAAACAGAACTCAGGTTAAACTGAGAAGAAAGAAAAAGTGGAATCTTATTAGTTTAATTTTGTGTCATTGTAGGGGAGTGGTGACTGTCAGTTTGGAGTGACATAGTGGAGTATTAAGAGCAAGTATGAAATGAGATAGACTTTGATCCTAGTCATGGTTAGGTGCTATCACCAGGACTCCCTTTAGGATTTAAATTTCCTAAATATTGCTTTCCTCATCATAAATGGGATAATAGTAAATAGAAATAATGGTTACTCTAAGTGGGGACAATAATAATACCCACTTCATTCTGATATCATTAAATTAAAATTAGTGTTAGGTACTTGATTGACACATAGTAAGAACTCAATAAATGTTAACAATTATTAGTCTTCATGATATTTACTTTCAATATGTTCTTTGTAGTGGAACACTGTTTAAGCTAAATAGAGATTTTATGTTGACTTGATTGCTTGGCACCATTGCTGTTGCTTCTCATTATGAGAAATATCACGTTTGTAGCATGAGGAGTACAGCTGGGTTGAGACTGAAAATGCTCTAAAATAGCAACATCAGCTGTAGATTTTAAATACATTCAAAATAATCCTACTTGAGGCCTGTAAGCTAAGGTTCTATCTAAAACACAGAGGCTTTAAGTACCAATATTGGCTTCTTCCTGCAGAAAGTAAAAGCCAAAAAGTACTGAATTCAAAACGGCCTTAAACAGGGCGAAAACAATAGGCTTGGTAAAGTAAGCTACTTAAGTGATTCTACCTAGAGTCTCTAGACTGGCGGTTCTCAGTCCTGGCTATGCATAGGATCTCCTGAGGAAGTTTAAAATTATCAGTATGGGTGCCCAACCTGCATTTTCAGACTCCAGGGATGTAGCCAGAATAGAATAAGCATGTTTTCAAAAGCTCCACAAGTGATGCTGAAGTACATGCTAAACAGAATCTCCAGATGGTTCCCAAAATGTCATGTGTTAAAAGCCATATTTTTAATCTTTTATTTTTTTTGCTGATTTTTTTTTTACCAGTGCTACGGTTTGATGTTATACAAATTCTAATCCAGTCTCTGAAAATTATGGGGTTTTCCTAAAACAATTGCTTATTTATGTCTTTAATATCTCTCCATCTTCTCTTCTTTTAAATATACAGTACCATTGACAGTAATATAAATTCATGATGAATTTTAAGGATCTCTATAAAGTAATAAAAGTATAAAGTTCTATATAAAACCATGTGCAATATTTTCCTAATATAAATTCAAAGTCCCAAGAGATTTTGTTTTCAATTTAGGAAGCATCATGGTTTTTTCAAGTCTTCTTGAAGTTCTGTGATGAAGTCTGATCTTAGGACCCTCTTGTATCTCACTTTGAAGTGTCTTTAGCTGCAATATTTAATGGTAGTAGTTTCTCATATTAAAAAAGGCAAGTACTAGTTGCTTTGACAAGTCAACAACCAACTAGAAAGCACATTTTGTATTTCAAGGACCTCACCATCTGGTAGGATAAGGCTTAAGAGAACAACTCCACCACACTTCTGAAAGTTATTCTTGCTCTTCCCTGTACTATATGAAAAAGTGGTGATATAACAAGGATACAGGGTCTTTACCTAACTCGGGAGCTGTACGCCATTCTCAGAAAAGATTGATTTTTCCTTCCACCCATTGACTTGCTGTTCCTATGTAATTTCATCTCCAGAAAAAAGAGGCACAAGGAGAGCAATGAAGGGTTCGAAGTAGGGAGTTTATGAAGCAGAAAGTCAGTAATTGCAGGAAGTTAAATATGTTCCTGTAGATAACAGTGAGTCTATCACACTTTTTAGGATACAAGCCTAACATTATTTTCATTAAACTTCATTCTGTATTTCCCAGTCTTCTTTTCAGCTTACAGGCCCACTCCCATTTGAAGCAAACCAAGTATTTGAAAATTCAGACTTGAACATACCAAAGTATGATTATTAGTTTTATACACAAAGAGGCTCCCAGAATGCCCCATTAAGTACCTCACTTTAAAACATACTTCATACAGGGCCAGGCGCGGTGGCTCACGTCTGTAATCCCAGCACTTTGGGAGGCCGAGGCGGGAAGATCACGAGGTCAGGAGATCAAGACCATCCTGGCTAACACGGTGAAACCCCATCTCTACTGAAAATACAAAAAATTAGCCGGGTGTGGTGGCGGGCGCCTGTAGTCCCAGCTACTCAGCAGGCTGAGGCAGGAGAATGGCGTGAACCAGGGAGGCAGAGCTTGCAGTGAGTGGAGCTTGTGCCACTGCACTCCAGCCTGGGTGACAGAGCAAGACTCTGTCTCAAAAGAAAAAAATACTTCATACAACATATATTTGCACTCAGATACATTTAAGCAGCTTCAATGTGTGAAATGAATTACCACTCACTAATATCATACAGTAATTCAGTTACAACTTAGTAAGTTAACATATTTTTTACTAAACACTTATTCAGAGCCAAGATCATGCATGCCATTGAGGATGTAAATGAAGTTTGAAATATTTCTTCGGTTAAAAATTATTTTATTCTATCTGAGGACACAAAACTAGTGATAAGAGAGAACCAGTTCTCCACCCTTATCCTCAAGAGGAGAATTGTATGATCGAAGCAGCACATGCCATTGAAGAGCAAAAAAGGGAAGGTTTAGGATGAAGCTAGCTAAATTTTAAATTGGACCTTGACAAAGAGAAGTAAAGACTGTGTGTGTGTGGGTGGGTGGGTGGGTGGGTGGGTGTGGTGTGTGTTTAGAACAAACATACACCGAAATCCAAACTTCTGGAAGTGAATTTTATGTCAACCAGTGTGAGGCAATGAAACGAACATGAATATTAGAGACAAAGCAATATCAGTCTGAGTACTGTCTCTATTATTGACTGACTATACTCCATTGGGCAAGCTATGAATTCTTCCTTCATCAGTTTTCTTACCTTTGAATGGAGTTAATAAAACCAGCCTTAGAGAGTTGTCAGGATTTCCTAAGATACCCATGCCGAAGATTCAACAAATGTCTGTGCCTTCTTTTTGCAGTCATATTATGTATTACTTAAAGCAGTGCTTTAAGTAATACATAATACTTCAGTATAATACATAATAGCCTTCCCAAAGGCTATGATTTATTTGATTATTTATTTAGATGGTAACTTGGGAAGTGTTGGAATAAGACTTGACTGTAGCAGTTTATTCCTTTTTTTGTGTTGTCGTTGTTGAGACAGGGTCTCACTCTGTCATCCAGGCTGAAGTGCAGTGGCACAATCAAGACTCACTGCAGCCTCGACCTCCCTGTCTTGGACTCCCAAAGTGCTGGATTAAAGACATAAGCCACCACATTCGCCGCCGCCTTCTTTTTTATTTATTTTAATTTTTTTTATTTTTTGAGACAAGGTCTTACTCTGTCCCCAGGCTGGAATGTAGTAACAGAGTCACTGCTCACTGCAGCCTTCATCTCCCAGGCTTAAGTGCTCCTCCCACCTCAGCCTCCAGAGTTAGCTGGGACTACAGCTGCCACCCAACCGTGCCTGGCTAATTATTTTATTTTTTGTAGAGATGTGGTTTTGCCATGTTGTCCAGGCTGTTGTGAAACTCCTGAGCTCAAGAGATCTGCCTGCCTCGGCCTCCCAAAGTGCTGGAATTACAGGCATGAGCCACCATGCCCAGCATCCTCTTCTTTTTAAAACAAAGTCACATTGGAAAATGTGCTGCACGTTTTTACTTGAATACTATATTAACCATTCTACAAATGTAAAAATGGACTGTCTATATCTGTTTAAAATCTGTCAAATTCTTCCTTCTCGTCTTGCAAACAAACAAATTATGTTTAGATTTGCCATTGCCCCCGCAGCAACTCAAATCACCGTGAATTGAGCAGACTCCTAGTGAGTGGATTTTAATGATTTATTTATGTATGCATATAATCCCTCCATCAAATACGGACCACATACTTGTCTGCCTGAGCTGAATTTTATTGATATTTTTTTCCTTGCTTACAACTCTACTGTTCAGATTTTAATTCCTGACAATGCATTAGTGCCAAATGGCACCATTAGTGCTGTTAGGAGTTAAGTTTTGCTGAAATATTCAAGTCCTGCTGTGTCTATCCTCCAGAAAAGAGAACAATCCAATCTTCCTCATTGGTTGTGACTTTGGTTGAAGTGTGGTGTTTAATTTGAGACACTTTGGGGTTGCAAAAGAGATAATGGAATATTTAGACTATGGAGGATTTAGAAAGCAGGGCAAAATTGAAGCCTTTTTAAAAATGTCTGAAACTGTGATGTTTACTTTGAAAAGTAAGTTTTCTAACAGTATGTATATTCTTAGAGCCCATTTAAGTTACTTCAACAGCTGCAATAATAAAATGACACGGGAAAGTCCGCACATAAATGCACAAGGCAAAGCAAAAGGACAAAGTAATGAGATCAGTCATCCCAAGAAGATAATGAAAGACAGACCCACTGAGCCTACTCAGGGAAAAAACATGGGCACAGATATTTACAGTACAATGAAAGAAATGTTGATAGAATTTTTTACAAGGTGCTATGGGAAAATGGAAGGAGGGAAAATTAATTTGGCTAAAAGTGGGAGCGGGGGTGAGGAGAAGGGAAGGCTTTATTCAAATCTCTGTTGCCTTCAAAACAACAGATTTCCCAGTAGAACAAAAAACACTTGGACTGCTTTTTTAAATATGAGAGACCTTGACCTTTAGCCGTTTAGTTCAATATTGTAAAGCAATACTGGACAGTGTATTTCTCTGTTTTCCTGAAGTAGCCTAATAGTTCTTGCCATGTATGTAGAAATGGATGATCTGTGTATGTTACAAGTCTCTGAAATTTGAAAGAGATGGGCAGACTGGAGCATCTGGATGTCTGGAAGAAGATGTGGGAGGGGCCCCCATTCTTCTCCAGTACTGAATTCAGAATGAGAACAGGCTCTGAAATATCAAGCACAATTTATCCCAAGGACAAAATTTCTCTTCTTGGCAGTTTTTCCCAGGGTAAGTACTGAGAGAAGATAAAGAATGATAGAATAGGAATTACTCTTCAAACCAGGTTGAAGACTTGGCTTTTCAAAGACAGCCTAGTTATATTCATCGGCACAGAAAAAAATTATGGTTCAGAGGATGCAAGTCCTTTTTATCTAACAGACAGAGAATTCAGCTTATGAATATGCAGGTAGCTCTTTTTCAGCTCTTCTTTTTCTCACTGTGCTGTGTTTTTTGGGGTGACTAGAGTGAGTCAGAAGTATAGGTGTCGAAGAATTTATTTGCCAAGTAAACTTCAAACGTAATATATTTTTAAATTATGATTTAGAATTGAGAATGGTTTTGAAAATTGGAAAATTTTTTTTAACCCAGCAACTATAAGAAATTTTAAAGTGTTGGCAACCAAAGTGCTTCTAGCAAATAACTGCTTTTTTGTTTGTGTGCACTGGAGGTAGCGTTTCTTCCTGGAAAGGAAAGAACGTGGGCTTTGGAGACACACAGTGCTCTCTGTTTTCAAATACTGGCTCTGGCACTTATGGATTTAGTAGGTAACAATTAGTGAGCACTTACTATGTGCCAAGCACAGTTCTAGTTCTTTATACATAGTTATTAAATAGGACACAGACCAAGCAATTACAATATACAGATCTAAAGTATAATGGATCAATCAAGATCTAGAATTTATTTCTCAATCCGGTGCCTTAGACCACTCAGCCATGCTTTCTTAGGAGGACTGGGCGCGGAAGGATAAACTTCTATGTAAAATCCTCCAGAAACCCAGGCTCCTTCTATGTTGTCATCCCTCATTCTGTCTGATTTGATCTTCATCTGGGTAATGTTGGCTCTCCAAACCATGCCCACATATCAGACTATAGGATGAGCAGCTTCGTTTAAAGAATGTCACCTCCAAGAAGTATCCATCAGTTATGCTCACATTCTGTCATCCAGAATTTAGCCGCATGAATGGCCTTTCCTGCGGTGAAGAAAGGAGAATCAAGTGTCTGCTGAGTACCCATGGTCTCTATTAAAATGCCAAGGACAGAGCCGAGCACTGTGGCATGCGCCTGTTGTCTCAGCTACTCAGTAGATTAAGATGGGAGGATCTCTTGAGCCCAGGAATTTGAGTCCAGCTTGGGCAACATAGCAAGATCCCATCCCCCGCCCCCAAAACTGTAAGGGATAGGACCACTACATTGTGTGATTCCTGGGACTTCCATTCCTGTAGGATATAATGTGAAGGATGACCCCTGGATTTGAGCCACAGAATGGTCTTGCTTGGGAAATACTGAAAGGGTGAAGTAGAGAATGGATAAGGGAAGATAATGTATAGTTTTTCATGACATATTAACTTTTTTAACAGCCAAAGAAAAACCTACCAATTTTATCTTCATTTCTGTAGGCAACTCTGTCACACTGTTGTTGAAAATCACTGGTCCCATGTCCCATAGCAGTGTGAAATTCAGACAGTCTGGCATATAATTTGTGCTCTGAATCAGTACTATATTTCCCCTCTACCTCAGATAATAATAGTTTAATCACTACTATAAGAATTAGGTCCAGCCAATAGATTAATATTTATTAAGATCCTAATATATTCAGGAAACTGTGGAGCATCTTATTTTCTCTGTTTGAGTTGTGAATCATGGTAGCTAAATCTATTGAGTATATGCAGGAGATGTAAGCTCTGGCCAAAAAAAATTCTTTTTTTTTTTTTCAGTTATACTTTAAGTTCTAGGATACATGGGCAGAATGTGCAGGTTTGTTACATAGGTATACACGTGCCATGGTGGTTTGCTGCACCCATCAACCCGCCACCTACATTAGAGGTTTCTCCTAATGCTATCCCTTCCCTAGCCCCCTACTCCCCAACAGGCCCTGGTGTGTGATGTTCCCCTCCCTGTGTCCATGTGTTCTCATTGCTCAACTCCCACTTATGAATGAGAACATGCAGTGTTTGGTTTTCTGTTCCTGTGTTAGTTTCCTGAGAATGATGGTTTCTGGCTGCATCCATGTCCCTGCAAAGGACATGAACTCATCCTTTTTATGGCTGCATAGTATTCCATGGTGTATATGTGCCACATGTTCTTTATCCAGTCTATCATTGATGGGCATTTTGGTTGGTTCCAAGTCTTTGCTATTGTGAATAGTGCCACAATAAACATACGTGGGCACGTGGCTTTATAGGAGAATGATTTATAATCCTTTGGGTATATACCCAGTAATGGGATTACTGGGTCAAATGGTATTTCTGGCTCTAGATCCTTGAGGAATCGCCACACTGTCTTCCACAATGGTTGAACTAATTTGCACTCCCACCAACAGTGGAAAGCATTCCTATTTCTCCACATCCTCTCCAGCATCTGTTGTTTCCCGACTTTTTAATGATTGCCATTCTGACTGGTGTGAGGTGGTATAATAATAATCTTGTTTTGATTTGCGTTTCTCTAATGACCCGTGATGATGAACTTTTTTTTCATGTTTGTTGCCTCCATAAATGTATTCTTTTGAGAAGTGTCTCTTAATATCCTTCACCCACTTTTTGATGTGGTTGTTTGTTTTTCTCTTGTAAATTTGTTTAAGTTCTTTGTAGATTCTGGATATTAGCCCTTTGTCAGATGGATAGATTGCAAAAATTTTCTCCCATTCTGTAGGTTGCCTATTCATGCTGATGATAGTTTCTTTTGCTGTGCAGAAGCTCTTTAGTTTAATTAGATCCCATTTGTCAATTTTGGCTTTTGTTGCCATTGCTTTCGGTGTTTTAGTCATGAAGTCTTTGCCCATGCCTATGTCCTAAATGGTATTGCCTAGGTTTTCTTCTAGGGTTTTTATGGTTTTACGTTTAAGTCTTTAATCCGTCCTGAGTTAATTTTTGTATAAGGTGTAAGGAAGGGGTCGTTTCAGTTTTCTGCATATGGCTAGCCAGTTCTCCCAACACCATTTATTAAATAGGGAATCCTTTCCCCATTGCTTGTTTTTGTCAAAAAAAATTCTTTTTTTAGCTTCATCACTGCATGGAACTTTTGTTTCTAGGGCTATGGGATGATGGACTATTTTCAAGATATGTTTCCCATAATTGAACCTGGCCACTTGTACTGTACCCTTTTCATATTTTATAACTTCTAAAACTTGTTTTTATCACAAAGATTTATAGTCTTGTTAAATGTTGGTTAGGCAAGATGAAAATAGTTTCTGTAGTCTTCCTATAAAATCACACATATTTGCTACTCCACTGAAGAATGCCCTTTTCTTCCTTCTCCTTCACACTGGAAAATATATCGGCCTTAACAAATGATCTTCCCTTCTGACAAAACATAACCCTTACCTAAATATCTAGGGGTATTTTATTATGAGACAGAAAAAAATTCCAGTAAACTTTAATCTTTTCATTTCATTTGTCAATAACATTCAGTATTTATTTCTTTCTTTTTCAAATCAACGACTTTTGTTTTCAGCAGGTGAGTTGCTACACATTCCTTAGTCCAGTACATATTTTAAAAGAATTGTTTTCAGGCTGGGTGAGGTGACTCACGCCTATAATCCCAGACTCATGCCTATAATCCCAGTGCTGTGGGAAGATCACTTGAGGTCAGGAGTTTGATACCAGCCTGGGCAACATAGTGATACCTACTCTACAACAAAAGTTTAAAAATTAGCTGAATATGGTGGTGCTTGCCAGTAGTCCTAGCTACTTGGGAAGCTGAGACAGGAATATTACTTGAGCCCAGAAGTTCAAAGTTACAGTGAGCTATGATTGCAACGCTGCACTCCAGCCTGGGTGACAGAGCAAGACCCTGTCTCTAAAAAAATAAAAAAAGAATTTTTTGTATGTTTTGTGATTCATTTTGTGTATGCCATGCATTTTGCATTTCTTCTAGTTAACTCTTTGAAAGAGATTGAATTAATTTCAACAATCATGGTATATCACGAAAAGAAATAAAACAAATGTCAAAGGTTGCTGACTCCTGGGCTGCTCTATCCATATGTTATTTTCTGATGATAATTTGGTTACACAAATGATGGTCTCTGATGCTGGTCCTCATCCTTTCTTAGCTCCTTGGACGGGAGCTTTTAATTTTATAGTTCTTGCACCTAAGTGGTAAACGGGACATTTTTGAGGGATGGGTATTTTTTTTAATTTTTTTTTTTTACTTTAAGTTTTAGGGTACATGTGCACAATGTGCAGGTTAGTTACATATGTATACATGTGCCATGCTGGTGCGCTGCACCCACTAACTCGTCATCTAGCATTAGGTATATCTCCCAATGCTATCCCTCCCCCCTCCCCCTAACCCACAACAGTCTCCAGAGTGTGAGGTTCCCCTTCCTGTGTCCATGTGTTCTCATTGTTCAATTCCCACCTATGAGTGAGAATATGTGGTGTTTGGTTTTTTGTTCTTGTGATAATTTACTGAGAATGATGATTTCCAATTTCATCCATGTCCCTACAAAGGACATGAACTCATCATTTTTTATGGCTGCATAGTATTCCATGGTGTATATGTGCCACATTTTCTTAATCCAGTCTATCATTGTTGGACATTTGGGTTGGTTCCAAGTCTTTGCTATTGTGAATAATGCCGCAATAAACATACGTGTGCATGTGTCTTTATAGCAGCATGATTTATAGTCCTTTGGGTATATACCCAGTAATGGGATGGCTGGGTCAAATGGTATTTCTAGTTCTAGATCCCTGAGGAATCGCCACACTGACTTCCACAATGGTTGAACTAGTTTACAGTCCCACCAACAGTGTAAAAGTGTTCCTATTTCTCCACATCCTCTCCAGCACCTGTTGTTTCCTGACTTTTTAATGATCGACATTCTAACTGGTGTGAGATGGTATCTCATTGTGGTTTTGATTTGCATTTCTCTGATGGCCAGGCTACAGTAACCAAAACAGCATGGTACTGGTACCAAAACAGAGATATAGATCAATGGAACAGAACAGAGCCCTCAGAAATAACGCCGCATATCTACAACTATCTGATCTTTGACAAACCTGAGAAAAACAAGAAATGGGGAAAGGGTTCCCTATTTAATAAATGGTGATGGGAAAACTGGCTAGCCGTATGTAGAAAGCTGAAACTGGATCCCTTCCTTACACCTTATACAAAAATCAATTCAAGATGGATTAAAGACTTAAACGTTCGACCTAAAACCATAAAAACCCTAGAAGAAAACCTAGGCATTACCATTCAGGACATAGGCATGGGCAAGGACTTCATGTCTAAAACACCAAAAGCAATGGCAACAAAAGCCAAAAGTGACAAATGGGATCTAATTAAACTAAAGAGCTTCTGCACAGCAAAAGAAACTACCATCAGAGTGAACAGGCAACCTACAAAATGGGAGAAAATTTTTGCAACCTACTCATCTGACAAAGGGCTAATATCCAGAATCTACAATGAACTCAAACAAATTTACAAGAAAAAAACAAACAACCCCATCAAAAAGTGGGCGAAGGACATGAACAGACACTTCTCAAAAGAAGACATTTATGCAGCCAAAAAACACATGAGGGATGGGTATTTTTAAGAGTGCAGTCTGAGAAGCAACTGCTTGCCTGAATTCTGGCCCCAACACTCCACTAGTAGCTGTGAGTCTTTGGGCAAGTCAGCATACTTTGTCTTGACTACCTCATTTGCAAAATAGGGATAACAATTAGATGAAACTCAGAGAGTTGTTACAAGCATTAAACAAGTTAATACATGCCAGGTATATGATAAGCCTCTGATGCCATTTAGCTATTTATCATAATTTTCTTCATCATTATTTTCATGTGGACTTGGTTAATAATAATTCTGTCATTCCTTATGGTGATGTGTTGGTTTCTAGATCCGTTGGTTTATTGGCATAGGGAAGTTCAGCTGCAGCAAGTGAACTGTATTTCTGCTTTCTGCTTCACCCACTTAGGTGGGACATGAGCAGCAGGGTTTTAAGTAAAGTATATTTTGGAGAATCCAGAGTTTTTCTCTCCTTCTATTGAGAACAGATTTAGGTTAGAGTCAAATGTAATTATAGGCTTAATAAAAGATAAGCCTAACAACTCAGAGTAGAATGGAAAAGGTGCTGGGATTTTTGCTATTTTCCATATCTGCTCGGCAAGTTAACTGGTCACAAAATATGACTGAGCATTTTCTCTATAAGGAGCATTTTGCTAGAGCCTGCCAATGATACAACAAGAATGTAGGAATTGCCTCTAGGGTTTTTAAATTCTAGTTGGCAAAAAGATACTAACATATATGAAATAAATTATATATGTTAGTGCAATATACATAGAATTAGAATGGGATATTTGAAATAATTATCACCCTCCAAATACATACTGAGAAAATTGAAAAACCAGTATGAATTGGAGGAATTGGAGAATCTAGGCTGAAATTGTTTTTTGAGGTGGACTGTTTTTATTTCCAGAACTCCTAATTATGGCTGAGGCACATTCATACAAATGTCTGAGCATTTAGATTGGATCCAAATCCAAACGTGAAGACCAAGGAGTTGAGCACATTCCTATAAAAAGCTTTCCCTACTGCAGTTGTACCTGTAGGTAAAATATTCATCTAGAGACTATGAAACGTGGTGAAAATAAAACATACTGGTGAATTTTGTTGTTTTAAAAGATAGGCACATTGCTGTAATATTTAATGACACAGAGCAGCCCACCTTGTAATTTTAGAAATTTCGAAGAGTAATCCTATTACAGAGGCATATACCCTGTGGATGTTCTACCCGGGACCTGTTATAGCCGTTAGCAATAGTTATCTATACTGCCTTTTAAAGTAAGTAAATTTATTTTCACATAGAACAAGAAGTTCAGGGAAAGAGTGCTTCTGGTTTATCTCACTAGTTCAACAGCAGCATCAAGAACAAACGTCTTTCCATCATTTTGCTCTGTTCTCAGCTTGTATGTAGCCTTAGTGTTCAGGCAATTGCGATTGCAGGCATCATATCCAGACATCCAGACATGACATAGGCCAAGTAAAAAGAGTTTATCTCTTCCTTAAGTCTTTTAAAAGTAGGGAAAACTTTCTCAGAACTCTTTACTAAGCCGTCTTTTATGTTTTATTGGCTGGAAATATATGTCCAAACCAATGACCAGGAAAGAAAGTGAGGCAGCCATGATTGTCTTAGGCGAGTCAAGATGACTCTTCGGGGCTGCATCAAGCGGCTTCTTTCTCAGAAGCACATGGCCACATGGAGGAGGGAAGACACCTGAATGAAACTCCGGTTTACTTGGGAACTAGAAATAATGGGAATAAAGACAAAATGTTTTTTAGGCATCAATACTGTCTATTTAACTTGACTTATAGTAAATACTCTTATGTTCTTATGTTTTTATACTTGGTATATAGTAAATATGTTGTGTCCTTATTTTCATGGAAGAAAGAACGAGAGGAAGGAAAAAAAGAAAATACTTTCGTATTTTGTTTTGTTTAGTCTTCTCTACTCAGCCAATAGAATCCTTTGTATTTGTTTCTATCAAATCCAGGTAAAGCACAATAAACATTACTGGGCCAAGCATTAGCATCATATTGTCAGAAACTGATTATAATTGGGTGGCCACTGCTTCTTTCTTGGCAAGGGGTCAACTTATTGCAGTAATGTATTAAATAGCCCTTCAAAATACAAGAGCCAAAAAACAATGTCCTTTGGAACTAACATTCTTAAACAGTATCCAAATTAATGGAAAGTGCCTGCATTAATGAAATAAAACATCAGAGCTTTGGCAGGAGTTGATTGGCAGAAACACCCGATGGCTTGATACATCTGTCTGCTGAAGACATAAATGGATTCCTCCTTTTAAAAGAGAATGAATGACTCTGGCTGAAGCTAAAGCTCTCATCTAAAGAAAATGAATTTCTGCCTTCTGCCAGAGTACCTAGGAGCACAATTCTCAGCCTAGCATCTTTGTGCCTACTAAAGTAAGATTCTGGCTGTAAAGATAAGAAAGATTCTACATCTGCAGGTATGAATACTACATCATTTAGTATTCATTAAGAGAAGATAAGATAAAGGGGTATTGTATCTTCCTTCTTGATTTGTAAGGATTCAGGAGATGTGGTTATATAGTTAGTTGATGGGTTGATTTAGAAATTTCTTTATTTGTTCATTTATTTATTGGTTCATTCATTCATTCACTTATACAAGTGGAATTACTTAAGAGTGTCTGTTCTTTTCTGGGCACAGTTACATACTGGATGTGTTAAGGTTACAGAAGCCAGAGTCCTAGATTTGAGCCATTCTAGGGCAGAGAAGGAAGGGAAGGGACTATGCCATGCACTCTACCAAGATTTTTACATATATTCTTCCCAACACTCCCCACAACCCTGTAGGATTGTCATCATTACTTCCAGTTCCGAGAGTAGAAAATGGAGACTCTGAGATGAGGTACCTGTTCAATGTGACTCTAATTTTTGGTGATGATCTTGGCTTATGAGCCTGGGATTATGTTATTCCCAAGCTAGGATCTTTCCACAAAAGAGTGGATTGTTTTCTACTCCAATCAAATATTTACCCTCATTCTCTAGATGCCCAGAGAGCTTTGCTATCAAATCCTTATAGTCAGTTGGCAGATGTTGCTCTGCAGAATGCATGAGTGGATCCAAAGCAATCCAAGACAACTAAAAAGGTTGTAGATCTCAAAGGTGAAGTCAACTGATGGTCATAATAGGAAACTCTGTATTTAAGAATAGTAGAATGGTGCTTAAGGAATGAATAAATGGACTCTGATTTAGAGCCTTTGTAGCTTTGCTAGAAATAGTAAAACATGAGTTGGTATATCAATGATGCAGTATCAAATTTGTTTTCTGCAGGATATTTTTGGCTTCTTTTTAAAGACTTAGTTGTCTCCCAGATAAGTGAAGTTGGCAAACAAATGGCCTTTATACAAATGAGGTTTTATACCAAAATATTTTGTATTTGGGTGGAAAGTGATTCTTCTTCATCAAGTGCTTCTTATCCTAAGGCTAGAACAACTCATTGACATGCATGGGGTGGATTCTACTCTTCCCATTGTGTGAATGAGGAGGCTGAGTTTCAGAGAGGCAGAGTAGCCTGCAGGAGGTCATTCACACAGCCGCTGAGCAGATGCATTGAGCATTTCTCCCCCTTTGCATCAACTCTATTTGGGTTAGCCATTATTGGACTGAACAAATTACTCTGTAAAATTTTCTAAAAATAGCTCTCTCAGAAATTATAAATAAAGTTTGGGTAGACTTTATGTATCCTGAGTAGGGGGACAGATATATCAGAACGTTGAGTGTTTATCACCTTGCTGTATTGACGCTTTGGAGCAATAGCTAGAATCATCATGAAAGTTTCAGGAAATTTCCAGTGTTTCTCAAACATGTCAGGCTTGCTCCACACTCAGTGTTTTTGCTTTTGTTGTTTCCTCTGCTTGAAATGCTCTAGAGCAGGTGGCTTTGTGGCACATCCCAGACTGCGTCGGGGTTGGGCTCAGGTGTCACCTTGTCCGGGAGATCTTGCTTTTCCACAGGTATAAAAGTATAGTCCTATCCTCATACTTCCTGTACATCCTCCCTGATTGACTGGGACTCTTGTCCAAAGCATTTATCAGAAAATTTACTCATTTTTAGGGCCGGGTGCGGTGACTCACGCTTGTAATCCCAGAGCTTTGGGAGGCCATGGTGGGAGGTCAGGAGTTTGAGGCCAGCCTGGGCAGCATAGAAACCCTGTCACTATAGAAATAAATAAACAAATTACAGCTAGGCATGGTTGTTTGTGCCTGTAGTCTCAACTACTTGAGAGGCTGAGGTGGGACAATTGCTTGAGCCCAGGAGTTCTAGGTTACAGTGAGCTATAATTGGACCACTGCACTTTAGCCTGGGTGACAGAGTGAGATCCTGTCCCTAAAAGACAGAAAACAAACAAACAAAAGCTTACTCATTTTTTGATTGTCTCTTTCTGTCTCTCTCCCTCTAGTAAGCTAAGAGACAAGACATTTTGTTTGTTGTATTTACTGTTACATCTTCAGTGTCTGGAAGAAGGTACATAGTAGGCACTCATACATTTGTTGAATAATGAATGAAAATATTCATATGCGTATATCATATAGGAACATACACATATGCTATACAATTCTAGAAGTTCTATTATGTGTATCATGTTTTTAAAAAGGAGGAGTTGAATAGATAGACCTAAGAATAACACATCACAATAGCAATAACAATTGGAAACATTGATCTGTGATCTTTTGTCTTCATTAGACTGGGCAATATGAAAGATGGACCATGTGCAGAGAAATGTACAAGTGAGCAGCACGTGGCTGAAATTCTGCTGTCTAGCTTTATCATTCTGCCCCTCCACAATCTATGGCATCACCATGCTTTATTCAGATCCTGAGTTCCCTCATGCTCTCTTTTCTACCTTCCATCTAAGTCTACTTTTAAGCACTCATTTTAATTAAAGTGTGAATGGCTAACATGGTATTTTATCAGCCCTGTTAATTATTCAGTTAGGACAAAATATGAAAAAATTATTTGTTCTTAGCATTTGCTGGTAGTTTGGAGCTTTATTGGCATTGCCACACCTTTCTGGGCACACAACCAGGATTCAAGTGTTACCTGCAAGGATACGGGAAAGGTCAGAAAACATTGGGACCTAGAAGTCAGCTTGCTGACCAGATAATTGTTTTCACTATCTACTTTAAATATAAGATCTACAGAAATGGAATTCATCCCATAGTTTGATAATCTGCTTTCAGTAACAATGTTAAAGGAAAGGGCATGATTTTTAACTATAAAAACTTATATAATGTGAATAAAATCTTCATAACGTAAGCAGTACCTCAAAGTAATAACGTATGATAAGCACTTTATAACTATTAACTCATTTAATACTTAAAACACACAATGACATGTCTCACTGTTGTTCTGTTTTATTGTTGAGAGAATTGAGACAGAGAAAGGTTATTTGACTTGCATAGGTTCCCTCAGGTGGCTTACGTCGAGCCAGGATTTGGATCCAAGGTAATCTGTAGCATTGGGCTGCAGTGCATCTGGAGGGTTAAGTTTAGTAATCCATAAATCGTGTATTTCCATCACTTATTTTACTAAGAGCAAATCATGTTCACCCTTATCCTTTAAAGAGAAGTGCAGCACAGGAAGTCATTTCCATTGATTATCTCATTTAGTCACCACAAGCATTTTTTGAGGTAGTTACTGTTATGCTCATTTTACAGTTAACTGAGGCTTATTGAGATTGAGTAACAAGTCTTAGGTCTCTCAACTAAAAAGTATCATATGTGGCATTCAAAACAAGATCTGTCTGTTTTTATACCAGCTTTTTATACCAACCTGCTTCTTTGCTTAGCAGTTGGCCCACAACACCAAGTAAACAAACAAACAAGCAAGAGGAGATCATTGTTTTATAGTCTTAGCATGTGCTACGTTTTTGAAAATATGCCATTGTAAAGTCAAACATACTTCAAAGAGTTAAACTGTTTTTACAAGTCTTATTAAATTTCTTAGTCCAGAAGTAACCTTAGATATTTGAACATAAAAGTATATATACCTAGGTGAATGATAACTTTGGAATTAAGCACAGAGTGTTTCTGCAGCTATTAAAAAGATATTTAGGGATTGCTATTATCTGTAGAAATGCCAAGTGGAATAATTGGAGGATTTGGTGAAAATTCTTCTGATCCAAAATTATTTTCTCTTCAGTGTCTCAGACGTCTCTAAGATGTCACCCAGATACCATAATTTTATCTCTGCAAACATTTTATTTTGTAATGGGGAGAGACTTTAGGTCTGGGAAAGTGAGCCTAAAGTCTCCTATTTTTCAGAAAGAAAGTATTGATGATATTTTGTGCAGTGACATGTCTATATGAAAGTGCTTTTATAATGCACATTATGAGAATAAACATAAAATATGCCATATATATGGATTACATAAATCTTTGGATTGCTTTACATTAATTTATCTTATTTTCTCTATTGGAGCCATATAGGAATTTTCTACTTTGTATAATAAAAGTCAGAGGAACAAGTAAAACCAATCTTAGAGCCACATCCATAAGCTGGGCTATTTTAATCTTTGCCATCCTGTGGGTTTCGAGCTATCTCTGCTCCACACAGAAACCCTGAATGAAAGTAAAGTGTAGCAAATATTTTCAGAAAGGACTTTTTATTTTTTGCCTTCTCTTGAAAACCTAAATCAGTACTTGACCTTTTCACATCCCTATCAAGATAAAATGGAGTCTTGGTGTGCTGACTCAGAACTATAAAATATGTGGTAAGATCCTTTTGTCTTGAGAGCTCTCTGTTTCGTGGGGTACTCTGCGTGTGTGTTGGGAGAGTATATGTTAGGGGGGTGTATGTGTGTATGTGTATATGTATATACATATATGTGTTAGGGTTGTGTGTGTGTGTATATATTAGGTGGGTATATTATGATTATAGATGTGTATAAATGTGTATTCGTGGTGTGTGTGAGTTAGGTGAGTGTGAGTATATGTATATACATATGTGTGCTAGGGTTGTGTGTGTGTATATATGTGTGTGTACCACCGCTTGAGATGATCATCCTATTCATGGTCAGTAATGTTGCCACTATCATTAAGTATGAATAATATTGTGTGGTTTATACAATGTTTTCACCTGAATCATGTCATCAAAGCCATCTGATTCCATGAAATAGGATAGATATGAATAAATAGGTAAATGCATAGAATATAAGTTTAAATAATTCATTGACACTCAGAGAATCCAAATGCATGCAGCTGGTTAGAAGCTGTGTCCAGATGCCAAACAAACCTCCTAACACTGAACTCCACAGAAGGCAGTCCAAGGTGCACCCAGAAAGTAGCAGCCTAATGAACATGTGTTCTTTGCTGTGTCACAACACAAAATGCTGCAGTGAGAATCCCAGGAAATGACTTGTCAATGCATCCTAAGAACTGAAATTTGTGTAAAGCATGGCATAAACTCTTTTAAATCAAAGTAACTTATTAGAGCCAAGGTGTTTCTTTCAGCTGTAATCAGAGAGAAGATCCTTTACTTCTAGGTGAAGGTGCTAGTTTAGGTGAAGGTGCTCTTTCTTCCTTGGTTTCTTATCTCAGATATGCAGGCCCCCTGACCTTTGAATTGAACCGTTCTACTAATACATAGTGCTTTGCATTTTAGTTATTCTTATTTTCCTTCGAGCCAGGCTTTGGGGCATGAGGCTGGGGGAAGAGTCAGGAAATGTGGAGGCTTGGAAATATCTGTTTGTAGGTTTGACTGTACATGTAGCTATTTAGAGGAGGAGTGGGCACAAAAGGAACTTCTGTGTACTCGAAGGTGCTCCTTGTACCTTCAGTTTGTATCAATGGGTGAATTTTGCCTCACCCACTGAGCAGTTAAATAACATCACACAATATATTCATTGTCCTAATATTTAATTACCTCCTTTTTACAGAAGCAAGAATAATCTATATTTCATAGTATTATAATGAGAAGCATAATTAATGTATCTAAAATTAAAAAGAGGCAACCAATAGCAAGTGACCACTAAAATTATGGTCCTTTGCAATGGGTAAAAGATTATGTACATTGGTTCTCAGTGACCTCCTTTCTGACTGCTTAGGAAGGTCTGGTCTTGTTTATGCATTTGTTTCTTGCAAAATGTACTACTGCTGCTTGGAGCATCCCAGTGAGAATAGCAGATTTTCACGGATTTAAAACTACCTAAACATGAAAAGACAATTCTATCTCATTTTTATAACTTTGATTAATTAAAACCACAGCTCAGGAAATAGATAAATGTAGGCAGGCACATTTCACTACTGAGGCGAGAAAAGATCTGTCATCACAAGTTCATATGAAGATCACAGTGGTTCTGGTCTTCAGTCCAAATATGTGGTTAGCTAGTCTACAGAAATAAGGAATGTCAGATGACTTTTGTTAAGTTAAAATAATTGAAAGGGTCAGAATTTTTATTATTATTATTATAATTTTGAGACAGAATCTCACTCTGTCACCCAGGCTGGAGTACAGTGGCGCAATCTCGGCTCACTGCAACCTCTTTCCCCTGGGTTCAAGCGATTCTCCTGCCTCAGCTTCCCGAGTAGTTGGGTTACAGGCGCCCGCCACCATGCCTGGCTAATTTTTGTATCTTTAGTAGAGGCAGGTTTTCACCATGTTGGTTAGGCTGGTCTCAAACTCCTAACTTCAAGTGACCCACCCTACTTGACCTCCCAAAGTGCTGGGGTTACAGGCATGAGCCACCATGCCAGGCTTATCATTAAATTT
This sequence comes from Homo sapiens, assembly GCF_000001405.40. Classification (NCBI taxonomy): domain Eukaryota; kingdom Metazoa; phylum Chordata; class Mammalia; order Primates; family Hominidae; genus Homo; species Homo sapiens. The sequence continues at coordinate 40,250,444 of NC_000011.10, read as the reverse complement.
AAAGAGAGTTTATTCAAGCAGAAAGTTTGAGGACTGCTGCCCGGTAAGCACAGATTCCAAGGAATAGAAGTCAGTGTTCTGAAGTATAGAAATTTGGGATCATATCTATAGACAAAGATTACATAGGGAAGCTTAACAGAATTTCGGTATCTTTCTATGTAAAGCTTAATGCATAGTTACAAGGGTCAGATTAGTCAAGGTGTTCTTTTTCTTTTGCAAAAGTTATATTTGATACTCCACACTGAAGATGTAACAGTCATGGGGTCTTTTGTGCCATGTGGTCTGAGTTAGGGACAAGATAATAAAGAAGGTAGTTCATCGATAACAAGGATCCAGTGATTAGAATTGGGAGAGGTCTGGTCTCTGATCTCTCCTAGTCATTTACAGAACAAGAACAATGAAGAAAAGAGTTAACCTATAATCTAAGAAGCAGAAGTTGCAAACATGCAATGCGACAGTCTCCAGGGCTTAACTTGCCCCTTGGCGCAATAAATTTAGAGGGTCCTGAAATTTTATTGTCTTTTATACTTTATTCTGCACTAAATTGGGTAGCGATGAATATCTTATCAGAACAAAAGGCAGTATCATACTGTCTGTGCCTCTTTATTTTATCAACTCCCTCTGATTTTGAAATTGTAAAATAAGCATCACTTTTTTTATGAATGGATCTTTGAAGGAAAAAAAAGCGAGAGAGTCCTGGCCTTTTTTAGGGAACAGAGACCTTAAGTATTAAGTATGATGTATTCAGAGATATCAGAAAACTTTTATCCAGTTTTCTGAATGCAGTTTCCCAGTAAAGGTTATTCTTTTCGTGTGGGCATGTGTATACGCATACATATATACAATATATTTCATATATATACATATATGATTATATGTAGTATATATAATATTTATTAAATATACAAAAAATACAATTTTCTTTTTCTGATATCCAAATATTTTTGATCTCATTACCTTTGAATCCATCTTTAATTTAATAGTCACTTTGTTTCACATTTGGATGAAGTATGAATTCAGTGAATTTTATAATTCTGTATGTTATTATTGGGAAATGAGACTAATTTAACTCCAGCCAAGAGATTATTATTTATTTTTTATTTTTTTGAGATGGAGTCTCACTCTCTGGCCAGGCTGGAGTGCAGTAGTGCGATCTCGGCTCACTGCAACCTCCGCCTCTCAGGTTCAAGAGATTCTCCTGCCTCAGCCTCCCAAGTAGCTGGGATTACAGGCTCCCACCACCACACCCGGCTAATTTTTGTATTTTTTAGTAGAGATGGGGTTTCACCATGTTGGCCAGTCTGGTATTGAACTCCTGACCTCAAGTTATCCACTGGCCTCCGCCTCCCAAAGTGCTGAGATGACAGGCGTGAGCCACCACGCCTAGCCTCCAACCAAGAGATTATAATTGCTTGCTGTTACTCTGATAACAGCAAGCTCTGGCCTGATACTCTTGGGTATCAGGTACTCTTAGGATGAAAAAAAGCAGTCACTGCCGTTGTAGTCTCTGATCTCAAGCAGTGGTCTTCAACTAGGGACAGTTTTACCTACTCCTCAGAGGACAATGTCTAAATACATATTTTTTATTGATATGTAATAATTGTACATATTTATGAGGGACAAGTGATATTTGATATATGCGTAAAATATGTAATGAGCAAATAAGAGTAACTGGGAATCTATTACCTCAAATATTTTTCATTCTCACAATTGAAGTGGAGGTGCTACTCTTTTTTCATTTTTCAAGACAGGGTCTTACTCTGTCACCCAGACCAGTGTAAGTGCAAGATCCTAGCTCACTGCAGCCTCAAACTCCTGGGCTCAGGTGATCCTCCTGCTTCAGAATCCCAAGTTGCTGGGACTACGGGGTCATACCACCATGCCTGTGGTCTTCCTATGTTACCCGGGATGATCTCAAACTTTTGGCCTCAAACGATACTTCCTCCTTGGCCTCCTAAAGCACTGGGATTACAGGCATGAGCCACTGCACCTACCCTGATGCTACTGTTACCCAGTGGAGGGAGACCATGGATGCTACCAAACATTCTACAACACACAAGGCAGCATTACAAAAATAAATTAGCCCAAAAAGTCAACAGTGCTGAGGTTGAAAAATCTAGCCTATAGAGTGAGAAATATGTAATGCACTGTTATAAGTACTATCTTAGGAACATGAATGAATAAAGTGCTGGGAAAACTCAAAGGAGAGAGAACTGAGGGTGAAGAGGTGTTGAAAAAAGCTTTATAGAAGAAATGACATTGGAACTTGACCCAGAAGAATGAGCCTGCTTTAGCCAGGGAAGGATGAAAAGGCAGAGAGGCATCCTAGGTAGGGGAGCAAAGATAAGAAAGTGTAGAAAAGTAATCATGTCACAAGGCTTTTACTGTGTGCAGTTACTATAGTGGTATACCTCGATTCACGATTACATACAAATGAGGTTAACATCACTCTATATGGGAATTTTTCTTTATGTGGATTTTAAGCTGCATATATAAAACCTCCTTAGAGAAGAGACATAACATCATTTTCTGCTAAGGAGAGGAAGCTTTCCAGACTCCCTAGTTTCAGTTGTCTTACAGTCATTTGTAGATATGCAGTCAGTATATGTACAAATGACTGCTAATTCTTCCAAACTTTTCTAGAACTAGAATTCAGGGAAAGGGCTTTAAACAGCTAGAAATATCTGGAAGGTGACATGACCTCTCTATCTGGACAACGGAGAATATCAAGACCTTCAAAGACCTCAGAGACAGAAAAACAAACCAACAAAAAACGCACACACAAAAAGCAGAGAGTAACCCAATGATTGTTCAGTATTGACAGTGCAATGACCTGGAGTGTAGGCTCTGGGAATCCCACCCCAAAAACTTTCTCTGTGTGATTTTTGATAAGTGATAGAATCTCATTTTGCTTCCATTTTCTTCTTTTTGAAATGGGTATAATGTTATCTCGTCATAGGATTGTACACCTTTTATAGCTTGGCTTGAATAAGTTCTCAACATGGGTTCTTTTCACTTAACCCATTGCGATCTGAAAACATGGGGGTTTGTTTAAAGACCCATGGTCAGTCCTGTGTTGGGAGACACTAAAAGCAAGATTCTAGCCTTCCTGGTAGGCAGAGAAGACATTGCAAAGGATAGCTTTATAATAGGAAAATGCTAAGTGCTGTGGGCAGATAATGAGGTTGTTTAAGAACCATTCAATTAACAAAATGAAACAAGTGTGGTACACTCAGTGGGTGCGCTGGAGAAGTCTTTTGAAATGTTGATGCCGATAGTAGACATGGTGATTTAAAAAGGTCCATATTTAAATTAGTTAAAAAAAAAAAAAGAGAGAAAAGGAAGGAGTTACAGGCTCTGAGTGGGTAAGATTGAAAGCAAGCAAGATTAGTTTAGATAGAGGAAATATTCAGTCTCTTCAGTGATTGAAAGGCAACCATAAACTCCACCTGGGGGAAACAGCCTCACTTTATCTCCCACTGAGCAGTTGGTATTATTTCTCTTTGTTGGTGTGTTTGAACGTGCTTAGATTTCTGATAAGTCATGGCAAAAATAGTAAACAAATTATTTTTTCTTCCTATGAGCATCAATACTAGAAGAAATATGAACATATATCTGACACATATACTTTTTATTTCTAATGCTTATTTTTTAGATTAAAGTTAAATCAGTAGTGAATTGTATTATAAAGGAACTACCTACTTTTATAATCTAAGAAAGATGAAAAAAATATGCTTTTACCTATAACCTCATGGGTATAGAATGATTTGAGGGCTCAAACCAGAATTATTAAAAAAAACAGAAGATATATTTCAGTTTTCTTTTAGTTAATATCTTCTTCTCTGGTACAAATATTGGAGACGATGGAGACCACATGCTTCTGTTCATATTTCTGCCGCTAATAGAAGATGAGATGAATTTCATCACAGTTAAGTTAGAAGAATGAATCTATCATGTATGTCACCTCAAAGAAGCATCTAAATGAAATGCCATGTTATCATTTTCCACAGTCCTTAATCACTACAGAGATGAAGTACTAAATCAAAAGTCTGCAGAGTGAACCAAAAACAAAATAACGTTGAGTATTTGATGTCTAGAAGGAGTATGGACCAATTCTACTTATTGTCTTTTTTCTTTTCCTATAACACTTGATAAAAAGTTAGGACTTTAGGGCTGGGCATGGTGGCTTATGCCTGTAATCGCAGCACTTTTGGAGGCTGAGGCAGGTGTATCACCTGATTTCAGGAGTTCAAGACCAGCCTGGCCAACATGGTGAAACCCTGTCTCTACTAAAAATATAAAAATTAGCCAGGTGTGGTGGCGGACACCTGTAGTCCCAGCTACTTGGGAGGCTGAGGCAGGAAAATCACTTGAACCCAGGAGGCAGAGGTTGCAGTGAGCTGAGATTACACCACTGCACTCCAGCCTGGGCAACAAGAGCAAAAACTCCATCTCAAAAAAAAAAAAAAAAAGTTAGGACTTTAACAATATGTATCATGTATCTAAGAATTTTAACATAAATTAACAGTTCTCAAATACCTAAAGTTGAATTTATAATACTAATATAATGGTGGAAATAATTAAAATAATAATATCTATAAAAATAGTATGCCTTTATTGAACACTAAGCCCCAAGCACAATGCTAGTGGTAGCATTTTATTTAATACTAAAAGCAATCCTATGAAAGAGATAATATTGTTATCTATATTCTACAAGTAAATAAAATAATCCTTAGAATAGATTAATAATTTGATTGAATTCATGCCGCCAGAGATGATGATAAAATCAATTTTATCATTGAGTGAACCTATAATTTTGTTTAATGAATTAGATTGAAATGGAATAATACAGACTAGAAAACCATTAGAATGCATCACAGGTAAGGTCCTAGGATTTGAGGATCGTATCAATAAATCATCAAAAGCCACAAGTTGTAGGCTGTCAGCACCTACTCATTGACTAGTACAGATTCTGTAACATGTGTGGGCTTTTCCATTAAAAGCAAATTACAACAGTGACTGTTTACTAAGTGCCTCTTTGGCAAAACACTGTATTTAAGTATAAGCCATGGTTTTTATTGTCATAGGCTTCTAACATAGCTGAGAAAAATGGCATTTATTTATAAATAATATAGTAACATATGCAAATAATAGAGTAAAATCTAAGAGAGTTTTTAAATAAAATGTACAGAGTTACATTCTTTAGAGGAAGGAAAGGTAACTTTGACTTGGGTGAGAATTAAGTCAGGAAATTGTATAAGAGATGAATTTGAACACAATTCCTAGTTGGTCTCAGGAAATGGCCAAGACTGATGAAGATCCGGTCAATTTTGAAATGCTTGCTGGGTTCATTCATGGATGAAAAATATCAGGATTTTTACAACAGAGGTCACAAACAAAGTAGCTGAAAAATGAACTGCTCAACTGCTGAATAATTCTTTAGGAGCCTATTGATGTTAATAATGCAATTTTGTCCTAGTTTTTTATGAGCTATTAATTGGAAAAAGTCTATTTATACAGTTATAGCAATCCAGATGCCATGGAATATGCCACTGTCTTTAGTACAATATAAGTGGTAATAATAAATACTTTAAAGTCAAATTTTATCTGTTCCTTGAAGCTTATTCAAATACTTAAAGTCAGTCTCAATGAGCTCTCTCTTTTTAAGAATCTCTCTTTACATAACGTGTACTTCAGGGCCAAAAAAAAAACCTTCCCCTTAGCCCACTGCTGAAAATCAACTCAAAAAACACAGGTTAATAAGTGAGAAGGCATACGAGTTTATTAACATGCATGGGAGAGAACCACAGCAATTACCCTACCACGTAAAGGGACATAAGGAAGTGTGGATGACTTTGAAGGGAGTAAATGATTATTAGGAAAATTTAGTGGGCTTGAAGAACATAAAATGGCCTGGAACAAAGTCTCTTGGGCTGCAGAGCAGACAATGGTTTGTGGCGAAAGTCTATCCAGGTGTATTGACAGACTTGCCCTTCTTCCTACCATAGGAGTTCAGTTAATGAAAATTCAGGAAAGGGACCTTATTTGGTGGATCTGGGCTTTAGATAAGGAAACTTCAGAGAACAACTTTATCCTGTGCTTTGGGAGAGAGAGGACACAGAGGATTGAGAGACTGAGAGCTCAGATGGGGGGCTGAAGTGGGGGTTCTCAGAGAGATCTTGAGGCTTCTTCTTCAGTTCAGCATGTCAAAGTGCCAAATTTTGGGGTATAAGTTTCTGAGGCCAACATATTCATTGCTGTATTATACTCAGCACTTAAATGTCATCCTAGCTCTTTAAAGCAAATTTCTTGTTTGTGCATCTCCACTACTTAAACAGACTATAAACTTCTAGGTTCGCTTGCCTTTTTCTAACACATTCTTAGTTCTTTACACATGAGACATGATGAACACAGATGTGATGATTGGTTAATAGATATAAGTTTTGGCTGGGAGCTGTGGCTCATGCCTGTAATCCTAGCACTTTGGGAGGCTGAGGCAGGTGGATCACTTGAAGTCAGGAGTTCAAAACCAGCCTGGCCAACATGGTGAAACTCCGTCTCTACCAAAAATCCAAAAAAAAAAAAAAAAATACCCAGGTGTGGTGGCAGGAGCCTATAATCCCAGCTACTCAAGAGCTGAGGCAGGAGAATCACTTGAAGCTGAGAGGAAGAGGATGTAGCAAGCCAAGTTCACGCCATTGCACTTCAGCCTGGGAGACAGAGTGAGACTCTGTCTCAAAAAAAAAAAAAAAAAAAAGATATAAGTTTTTTCCGTATGTCTAGGAAATGATTAAATAAAATAATAACAAAATTATATAAAATTTAAGTGATCAATTAAAAAAGTGATATACATAGGAAACCTAGCACAAAATGAGTAAATGGAGGGTTCTCAATAAACATCAGTTGAATAAATGAATGAGTCACGAATTCTAACTTTTGTCACTAACTAGTTGTGAGACATACTCATATCACTTCTTCTTTTGTAGCCTCAGTTTTCTCATCAATAATATGAGATGTATGAATTTGAAGAATAGTTTTCTACCTACCTTTCAAATTCTAGGAAGGTACTTGGTGAGTTCCACAAAATATAAAGTATATTCTTAGCCAGTGATAGACATTTAAAGCGCCTTAGCTTATGTTGGGCCCAAGATGTTCTTTCAAAGAAGAGCTCCACTGCTAAAATTGCTTGAAAATTGTTGGTATACATTAATTATAGTGTAGAAATTTACCTTTTTAAACCAATTTGAACACATAAAACTTAAAAGGGTATCTTGCTGTCATTACATTACCATACAGGAAATGGACCAGAGGTCCTGTTATTCCAGAAGCCACATTCAAATGAATTTGACATTAATTTTCTAGAAATATTGGAGACAACATTAATTAATTGCAAAGGCACATACAGTTATTTGGTTGCAGAAAGCAAGAAATGTATGTTTATTTGTCATGCATACCATGAGGAGCTTCAAAGAATATTTTTTTTCAGACTGGAATAAAAAATCTTATTTTTACTCTTCTCATTCCATATTCTCTTTTTAGTTAAGAGCATGCCGAAAACATTCTATTGAATTGCTTCTTTGATGAACACTTGGGTTGTTCAAGCTTGTCATAATAGATGACAATAATAATGATGCTACTGATAACAGAATTGTTTTTTTTTGGATGATACACTTTTTTCTAGAATTTGTATCCTCTGTGTTGACCACATTGTGTTTGCAATTATTTAGGTACAGACACTAGCTTTCTTTATATATTAAATGCTAATAGGACCCAGTGTTTCAGGTTCACTTGTGTATGTCATAAAAATGAACCGAATCCATTAACCTCTGATTTAATGATTGGCTTAATTACTAGGGACTTTGGCAGTACCCACTTTTACATACATGATATCTGGATACTGCCTTGTTATTACATTTACATCTCCTAAACCATTTAATGAAATTGGGTTTAAGTCCAGATGATCTCTCAGATTTTATAAACTTAAACCATTCCCCGACTTTCTGATTTTCTGCTAGAAAGCAGTAATAATGAAAAGGAGAAAAGGGGAAAAACATAAAACTCATTTAAAAAATAAACAAAAGCCATTTCAAAGATACTGTCCCATACAAGAATGAAGAAAGGAAGATAAGTAAATGTAGTTAAAGCATGAGCCGTGATCATCACACACTCTTCATTCAACGGCTGAATTTGCCTTTTAAAATTATGCATACCAACTCTTTGTGTATTAACATAATAAAATTGTAATGCAATAAGAAAAAAAACATTTCCAAAAACACCAGAGAAGTCCAGACGGCTGATTAAAAGATGCTAAAATGTACAGCTCGCTGGAGACTGGAGTTCCTTTTTAGGTTGATTTTGAAGGACTTGTCCAGGCAAGGAGCCTTCCAGGAGGAAATGCATCCTTGTCTGGGGTCCAGTCAAGGGCTGGACTCCCAGCTCCCCAGTGAAAAATTTCTCTAGGAGAAATTCCTGAAGCAGGGCCCAGACAGAAGGAGTCACCAGATCCTCAGAAGGGGGAGGAGATGATTTACTCTCTCTCTGGTCTGATTTTCAGTTGCAACACTTCTCAGGCAAAGAGCATGCCAACAGCCTTTCTCTTCTGCTTTGCTTGTCTGTGGTGGATACTAGCAACCTATGTGGTTCTAAAGTATCAAGCTGAGATTATAGTATCAATGAGTTGGAACATCAATAGTGCCAAGTGCCATTTAAAAATCTTTTCATCTTCTTGTGTGTTGCTTTTGGAGAGGAAATGTTTTCAGATGTGGTTTCTAGCCTTGCAGAAAAATGGCATTTTCAGGCTGTATGGGACTCTTACATCATCTAGTTTCAATCACCTCATTTTGCAGAGCAAGAAACTGAGAGTGAGAAAGAAGGGACTGGCCAGAGTTACTCAGCTAGACAGTGACAGACAACAGTGGAACTTCTGGTAAGTTGTGTGGCTTCTGGGCTTTTCCTTCCAAATATAAAAAATGGAATGAGGGATAGGCTTAGATAATCTTTTAAAGGTTTTTTTGTTCTAATACTCTACTTCTGTTATTTATTTATTTATTTATTCATTTCTCTGAGACAGGGTTTTGTTGTGTTGCCAAGGCTGAAGTGCAGTGGTGCCATTATAGCTCACTGCAGTCTCCAGCTCCTGGGTTCAAGCAGTCCTCCCATCTCAGCCTCCCGAGTAGCTAGCACCACGGGTGTGCACTACCATGCCTGGCTAACTTTTTATTTTTTCATAGAGACAGGGCTCTTGCTATGTTTTGCAGGCACTCCTGCCTCAAGCAATTAGAACTCCAGGCTTCAAGCAATTCTTCCCCCTCAGCCTCCCTAAGTACTAGAATTAAGTTACCCAGACGATTTTTAAATTTTAGACACCTGTCCATTATTTCATAACCAAAAGGCTTTTATAAAAGTAACATATTTTTATGCCTAAACAACAGCGTTGAGACATTTTGATGAAGCCTAAAGTTTTAGTTAATATTTTGCATTGTGTAGAGATATTTACTTTAGAATGTGGCCTAGAATTAGGCTAAACACTTTGAAAATGTGCTCTGGTTTTGAAAATGGTTGACAATTTCCTATATTACATTCTAAAACTATAAACATCCTAACACTATAAATGCTTTCTTAATGAAACTATAATATATATTTAATATTATTACCTATATTGTGTTACTCATTACTAAAAATGTTCAGATCACATAAATGACTAAGGCCAATTAAAAAGTCATACTGTAGAGGACAGAAATGCCCATATAGGTTTTAGTTAGTTGAAAACTCCATCACTTATAAGCATAGATTAGGTTTTTCTTTTTCATTTCTTCAGCAGGCACATTTTAGACAAACTGACAGCAAATCCATTATGTAATGGCCACTAAAAAAGCTTTCATCAAGAGTGTGCATGTTTAGTGTCTCTGTGTGGGAGAAACTGGGTTATGGTAGTTGAAAAGGCAAAAGATTCAAGAGTAAGATAGGACTGGGCTTTTAAGTTCTGGGCTTCATGGATAATGCAATCAGAATTCTCTAATCCTGAGGTTGGAGTGTTGGTTGACTATAGACGGAAGCTGTCTGCGTCTTCAAACCATTAGACATGGAGGTTCTCAGATATTTATTTACATAAGTGACATGTAACAAGTTATACATGATGATATTCACAGGAATACCATAAGGATCTAATGATATAATGTGAATGAAAGGTATACATTCTATACACTGGAGAAATCTTTTTTCTTTTTGTGTTACATTTTAAAACAAATGGATGCCTGGAAAGACATGGAATGTTAGAGGACAGGGTGCGAAAAGCAAATAGTTTTTTTTAATAAAGTTATGGTTTAGAGCAAAGAGACTGCCAGGAAGCAAATGAAATATTGATGCCAGAATATCCAGTATCCACGCTTCTTAAAAATGTTACCTATGTATGAGTCACTTGGAGATAATGTTAAAATGCCAGTTCCGATTCAGGTTGTCTGGGGGTGCGTTCTGAGATTCTGCATTTCTTAAAAGCTCGCACGTGATGCTGATGCTGCTGGTCTTTAACACTTTGTGTAGGAAGGTTTTATGTCTTCAGATTAAGGGTCAACTGAGTATCTTTTCAAGAAGAAACATTTGTTGGGGTTTATATGCCAAGGCAGTATCATCCAGCCTGGCTAACACCCATCTTGCTATACCATAAAAAAGCTTTCTACCCTTTCTGGGTTTATTATTAAGTGTTGAGAAAACATTCGGCTTTTACTGTTTGGCTGGGGTTTCTGGCTGATAGCAGCAAGGTAGGAGTTTAAATTTAACAGAATTAGGAATAAACAGGATCTAGAGAGACAGTCTATCCATTACTAAGGGAGAAGAGTTGGTTTTTGTCTCTTTACAAGGCCTTATCTAATAGAGGTCTCTGAATGCTGCATTAAGAATCTTGGATATGTGATTGGTTGTCTTAACTATCTTTTTCCTTCACATATTGCACATTTACATTAGCTTGGACCCTTCAGTTTCCTAATACAAGTATGAACAGGAAGAAGCCATGTGAGATTTCCCCCTCTTTTCATATTTTAAGTTCAATTTAACAAACATACACTGGTTAGTAGGTTACAAAGTAGTGGACGAGGCACTCTGAGGGACATGAGGATCAAAAAAGAAGATAGGTTCCAAGTACTGTCAGTTTACCTATAGAGGATACGGACATGAAAAATAACCAAATATAAGGCAGTTTGAGCTTAAAAACACTAGATTTGGGGGAAAATATGCTTAGAGAGCTGAAAGAAATTGAAATCAGTTCTGCTGGGGAGTTAGGAAGACATTGTAAAGGAAGAAGACTTTGAGTAAGGATTTAGAACATGGTTATTTGCACATAGAGACAGCAAATACTGAGACCAAGTCTTTGTCATGTTGTAGGTTTGTAAACAGAGAGCAAAAGCAGAGACATAGGTTAGAGTAATTTAAGTAGTACCATGTTGAAATTTAAATGTCGTTCTTTGGAATTCAGCTTATACCCTAGGTCTTGTATGGGACTGTTACCGATAATGGATAACATTTTAAGGCAGTGTTTTTCTGCATTTATCAACTGTTGATTTATTTTTCTACTGGGCCTAGTTCTCTGGACTGTGCAGGAGGGAAAATCACCTTTTATATAAACATACCTCCTTAGCAAATAAAATACAGCCTTTCAGCAGGTATATGAATAAGATAGGGGAGAAGAAAAATGATTCTGAAACCTCTTTAAAATCTATTTCTATATTAACTCTTTTATACATTAGATGTTCCTTCTTTGCAACTCTTAAACTCATGTGATAAAAATTTTCTTATCTCTAACTTAGGTGAATTTACAATTTTCTTTCAAATAAGTGTTTTCCATGAAAGTTACACTGGAGTATTGGCTGGTCATAAAGAAGAAATGTTTTATATCTTTCCTTTGATATGCTGTGCTTAGCCATTTTTTAAAAAATGATTCTGCTAGGCTCCTCTGAATTCTGATTGTCCTGGATGGTGCTGTTGCCTAAACAGAACGGGGCTGTGGTATTATCTGGTATTACCAAAGTCAAAGCAACCTGAGGATCAAATGTAGACAGAAATGAGGATAGCCAAAGAACATTAGCCATTATCCAATTGAAAAGCAGGTTTGGGGCCAAAGTCAGAAACTGAAATACATTCAAAACTTACAGATATTTAAGAACATGTCAGGAAACAGTGGCTAGAGCAGGGCTCTGTTGAGGAATTACAGTGTGGGGTATTTGTTTTTACTGGATATTGATTGTGTTGGCTGAGATGGACTTAAAGAGACAAGAAGTGATTTGCAGATATCACTCCCATCTCTTTTGTTGCCTACCCTTGGAAGATATTCTCTTAAGAACACCAATAGCGTGAAACCTGTGCTGCCGTACAAATTTTGGATCCCTTTGAGTTCCACTGAACAAAGCAGTGTACCATTTGTGCTGAGTTTGTTGTCAATATATCCGAATTAATTCAAATCCAGGAAGTGCACAGTGTTAATTTAAGTCTATGTGACTCTGAATTTTTTGTAAACTCTTTTCAGCGGTGGCTGTTTGCAGATCACTTTGCAGCCCTTCTCATTTGTGCTGTTGCTTATCCTTCTTTCACTTCTCTCCGTTCCTTCTCATGCTCCAACTTCGGTGGTATAGGATATCGTGATATTATTTTGATTTTTGTCAAATCAGACTGCCAAATCCAAATTCCAGGCAATACTCAAACTTCAAGGGCATAGATATTTCATACTTATCAGGGTTTTCACGATTATCTAGCATTTATCTTCATTTTTTAGTTTAAAAACAAGTAAACAACTAAACAAGATATTGAAAGGAAATATGGAGGAAGATAGAATGAAGGGTGGCAGAATAAGAGAAAGGGAATGAGGAAATTAAACAAACATTTATTGGGTGCCAACGTATACCAAACACTTTGCCAGATTCTTTATATACACAATGCTACTTAATCCATACCGCGACCTTGTCTTAGGGTTGTCATTGGGTTCACTTTATCAGTGGACAAATAGAGAGTAAGAAAGATTCTAATCAGAGGTCCAAGTCATGCAGGCACTGCCCAGCAGAGCTGAGGCAAGACTCTGGACCTCTAATGCTCTGTACCACCAGGCTGATAACTGCAGTGAAAGTGCTGACCTCTCTTTTTCACAAAGTAGCTTATACTATGCCAAGATAAGCAATTTAGGTAAAAGGCAGAAGAAAGATGAGAATTGGGTAAAAGTTACAGATCCACTCCCTTCCAACTAGATTGCACTTTTCATTCACTTTGGACCTAACATATATGGGCTGCTTTATGGTGGCAATAATATTTTTATGTGACTATGACCTGTCTGTGCCTTAGTCAGCAATATGGACTTGTGATGAGTACACCCTGAGCTATTTAGTAGGTTGATATATAGTCTGCTCATGCTTAATATGCAGAAATTGCTTTTTAATATAAATCAAGATGACTGTGTTTTTTTCTTTGTAATCCATATCTCAACTTCTGTGTTACTAGTAAATGGTGTTCTCAGCTCTGCACATTTGTTTTTAAAGAGCTACATATTAAGCACTTACTTCATACTAGAATCTGTGTTAGGAGACACATTTGTCAGGACAGTCTGAACTCCGCTGTGATAATATATAAACCTTGAAGTCTTGGTGGATTAACACGACAAACATTTATTTTTCTGTGTATGCAGAGTCTACTGTGGGCCTTGCTGTTCTCCAGGGCAGCTCCCTCTCAAGTCCTGTGTCAAGGGGCTAATCTGCTTCTATGTTAATGGCTTTGCCATTCCAACATGTGGCTTCCATATTGCTATTACAGGGAAAAAGAGAGCTGGGGGAGGGGGGTGCCTCAGGGACCTTTTTTCTGCCTTTCCCTAGAAGCGACACACTATATTCTGTTCATAATCCTTTTGTCAAAACAAGTCATCTGGCCCCACCTAACTGTGAAGGTGGTGGTGAGGAGGGTGCTGGAATGTATAGGTTTCTCTATGCCCATGAAATAAAGAATTAACAGATACCAGTTAGTTCTACTGATATATCATAAGCTCTTGGAAGAACAAAGATTGAATCTTTAAAAGTTATTTGCTTCCATGGGAACTATGCAGTCATATGAGGAAAATAATAATTACAGAGGAGTAGTTAGGGCTATATTACAATTTGATAGGACCTATAGCTCCTTAAGCCAGCAGCTGCTGTTCTCTTTAGAGAGTTCCTTTTTCATCTGAAATAATTGACTTGAGACTTAAAAACGTCTGTCTTTTGTGTTCATGCTGTTTGCTTTGTTTTCTTAAATATTAGAGGTCAAAATATGTTTAGAAACCAAATCTGGGTCTTAGAGCTTTTTTCCTGGAGCAGTGGCCTTGTGGTAGCTGTTTTTTTTTTTCATAGGCTGAAGAGGATTTTCCATGCCCACTGTGAGCCGTGACTGGCAGAATGAAGCTGCGCACCCTGGTAGCTCTTTCTCTGTTGGGCACTTGTTCTTTATAATGTCTCAGCATTTATTACTGGCCTGGGCAAATATTGAGATAGAGTTCTGGCACTGGCCATATAAAGCAGCAAAGCATAGGCAATTGAGTAAAAATAAGAATACAAATAATAATAATAATAAGGCCATGCAAATATATTTAGGTTTGAGAGAATGAACAGATCCATGGAATTGGGTTGAAGATTGTATCACACTAGAGATTCTAGATATTTTCTTCTTGGGTTTGGTACATATGTTTCTGTTAATACTTTTGTATTAAAAGATAATTGGTAAAGAGCTACACAATTAATGAGTGTCATGTTGATATGTATGGAGGGAAGAATAAAACCTGAACCATTTTTTGAAAGTTTTTCTTATAGTGAAAACACTTTTCACGACTTGTATCTTATTTATAACTGGAATATGCCTTATCCATACACTTAGGTATTTGAGCTTTTACTGTCAAATATTTTCTTTCAACAATTTGTCACTGTGCCTTGATTCTCAACTCCCATCGACTTTAAGGTTATATCCATATAATAAGTTTGCTTTGACATTTAGACACATATTATGACCTCTAAGTAAATGTTTTCAGTAAATCTGGAGAGGAAGTATGATAGTTTCTGGAAATTTGAAGATAAACTAGAAAAGTAATCTGTGAAAATTACACAAATAATAGTTATGCTAATAATATAATCAAAAACATTAATTGGGCATTCATTATAATCCAGCTATTGGGCTAAATGTTTTACAAGCATATTTTTGTTTAATCTGCATAATTGTGTGAGACAAGGACTATTATATCTGTCTGATCTTTCAAAGTTAGCCAAGAATTGTCCTGCCACAAGATAGTTAAATGATTTCTAAATGTGTGGATAATCCACAAAACCAAATTATAACTAAGGAAATTGCTGCTTAAATTCTGTTTTTTAACTTGCATGAAGATAGTCTATTTTAACAAAAGTGCTGCAATCAGGGTAATTGGAAACAGAGATAAAGCAGTGGAAATGTGTTTAGTTTTCATCCAAAAGTATCCAAAGAAAAAATCTGCTACTTAGTACGGTGGTTCTCAATGGGGAGAAACCTTGTGTCTCTACCTATAGGGCATTGGGCAAAGTCTAAAAAAAGTTTTGATTTTAGGCTTTTGATTTTAGACTGGCACCTTATGGATAGAAACTAGGGATGTGCTAAACACCCTCTAATGCACAGTGTAGCCCCTACAAGTAAGGTTTTTTGTTTGTTTTAAGACAGGGTTTCTCTCTGTTGGCCAGGCTGGAGTGCAGTGGCACAGTCATGGCTCGCTGCAGCCTTGACCTCCTGGGCTCAAGTGATCCTCCCATCTCAGCCTCCTAACTAGCTGGGACCACATGCGTGTGCCAACATATCTGGCCAATTTTCAAAATTTTTTGGTAGAGATGGGGTCTCACTATGTCACCCAGGCTGCTCTAGAACTCCTAGGCTCCAGTGATCTTCTTACCTTTGCCTCCCAAAATGCTGGGATTGCAGACATGAGCCTGGTCTGAGTTTTATCCATTCCAAATAGTCAGTAGCACTGAGGTAGAGCTTGTGTAAAACATCCTTCTCTTACTAGATAGGTGAACTCTTGTAATTAAGAGCTCAGTCAGTGGATCTGGGGCTCGGGGTTTTGACTCTGCTACTTGACTTTGGGAACTTAACCTCTTAAGTCTTAATGTAACTACTTATAAATTGGAAATAGTGATAATACGTACCTTACAAGACTGTTCTGAAGACTAAATGAGAGAATTCTACAAAATGATTAGCATTGTGCCTTGCATTGTTAGATGAACTTTAATTCTAGCTGACAAAAAAAACTTTGGTTAAACAAAGTATGTTCTTTGGGGACCCTTAAATACTGCTGCTTAGCAGGTGTTAAAAAGAGCTGCTTCCAGATCAGACAGCTTTATTTTGAATCGTGTCTCCTGTACTTGTTAACTGTATGACCTTGGGGAAGTACCTTAGAACCCTCTGTGCCTCACTTTGTTCATATATAAGATGAGTGTAGTGAGTAATGTGTATCTTCTAGAGTTTTCGTGAGGCTTAAATAAGAGTATAAATGTGAAGTACTTAGAAGGATGTCTACCACTTACAGGCAGACAGTGTTAGCTCTTATTATTCATATACCTAATATTGTTAGATAAGGCATAACATATAAATTAATCTTCAGACCAAGTGAACATTACCCCTTCAAATACCAGTCCTATGTTTTAACAATTAAAGTAATGAAAATCACTTTACAATTATTTTTAAAACTCTTGCTTATTTAAAAATGAATACTAAATGCTTTTAAACATGTCATTGTTCACTCAAGGTCCTTGTCATTGTAATATTGTTTCTTGTACTAGACTATGATATAGGAAGCTCTTAGAACAATTGAAGTATGAGGATTTTTCTTAATCCAGATTACTAAGACTTTTATTTTTGTCTTTTTTAAAAAAATACTGTTTTTGTATCATTTGCATCAAAATATCAGCTCTCTGCGTCTAGGATCTCTATCTTGCCTTTTCTAAATAACTGTATTTGATCAGCTGATTAACAGTATTTATTGAATGTGCTATATACTATGCTCTAAGAGAGCATATATTGTTTTGGTAGATTAGCGACCAAAACAAAATGATTTTTCTTGAGGATTTTGATTTAGCAGAAGTAAGCATTGATGACATAATGCCAGTTAAATAACTATAAATTTAAATGTGATCTATGCTGTGACTGAGCCATCGCAGTTGCTATACTTATGGACAAACCCCACTCATGTAGGACACAAGATAGGCCTTCATAAGGAATTGATTGTTAAGTGGAAATCTATAAAATGAGTGGGCATCAGCAAGGCAAAGAGAATGAGCATTACAAGTCGATGCAACAGTATATTTAAAGGTCCTGATTCCAGAGTGGGAGGCATTAAAATAAAGGGATTTTTAAAAGTCTAGTGTAGCTAAAGACTGAAAAACAAAAAATCTAGTTGAGGAAGCTAGAAAGATAGCCAGGAGCTCAATCAACCATGGGCTTCTAAAGCATGTAAAATATTCCAGACTTTATCCAATAGAAAATGGCAAGCCAACGGAAAGTTTAAGCTTCTGAATAATATGATAGATCTTCATGTGAAGAATGGCTTGGAAGTAGGAAAGAATCGAGGCAGAGAAAACAGAAAGCGTCTGCAGTAGTCCAGGCAAGATGTGATGAAACTAGTGAGAATCCTGTCTGTATTAGGAGTAAACAGTCTCTGAGAAATGGCACCTAAAAAATCTCCCATGAGAGGAGGGATGATATTTAGTTCATGAACTTGGAAAATTTTATTTTCACTGTTTTGGCTTTTTAATCTTTTACTTGTTCTTGGCCACATTCTGAAGAATTGCAGTTGATGAATAAGCAACTTCCAAAACAATGAGAAGAACAAATGTACAGCAATAATAAAAAAATAAATGTTATTTGTATAGTACTTTAAACATTACTATTGCATTTGATTAGCAACTTTTTATAACAAGTGATGTTTACCCTTATTGTCCCTAGCAAGTGACTATGGTCCGAGTTGAGGTCTCTTAATTTATTGGCAGTAGGAAATGCTTATTTCATACGCCTTGATGCATAACAGGAAACTTTGTCTTGTCTTACAGAGGTGGGTGAAATTGAGTAGAAGTGATCTTTCATTTTGTTATTTGCATTATGTGAAGAGAGATATAAAAATGTTGACTTTGGCCAGGCATGGTGGCTCATGCCTGTAATCCCAGCACTTTGGGAGGCCAAAGTGGGTGGATCACCTGAGGTCAGGAGTTCGAGACCAGCCTGCCCAACATGGCGAAACCTCGTCTTTACTAAAAATACAAAAATAGCTAGGTGTGGTGGCAGGCAACTGTAATCTCGGCTACTTGGGAGGTTGAGGCAGGAGAATCTCTTGAACCCAGGAGGCAGAGGTTGCAGCGAGCCCAGATCATGCCACTGCACTCCAGCCTGGGTGACAGAGCGAGACTCTGTCTCAAAGAAACAAACTACCTAGCTAAAAGACAAAGTTGACTCTTCTGTTTCCATTTTTAGCCACTAGTGTCTTGATTAAAAATACACAACTTTTGTTTACCTATGTAACAAACCTGCACATCTTGCACATGTACCCCAGAACTAAAAATAAAAATTGAAATAGAAAAAGATACAAAACTTTCAGTGTTTAAATAAGGAGAAAGTTAGCTATATCTGTGCATGCAAATATGTTCTATGTGAAATATAAACTGTGTAAATATTAAATATGTATGTGTGTATACACACACAACCAGACTATATAGGGTCTTCAGTGTCAATATTTAGATAACTGAATGTTCATTTTAAACATCTATAAACCTGTTTATATGTCTAATTCTAAAATGTCTGTGTCTATCTAAACCACTTCTAAAATAGGTATAAAAATATCTTAGGGTTATTGGGAGAATTAAATGAGATAATTTAAAGTGATTTAGTACCTGGCACAAAATATGCATTTAATAAATTTTAAATAGGCAGATATAATTAAAATATAGTTTTCATTGCATATTGACTAGTTTATTATAAATGTATATGTTGATAATTTAATGTACTTATATGTGTATACAAATATACATATATGGATATCTATACACTATATTAGCTATTGATTATTATAATAAAAATAGTTGTGCGGTGATATTCAAAATGACATATCATCTTACAGCCAATTTTGATAAAATTTGTTAGAGTTTGCATTTTACTTTATTTCTGTCCTGGGGAGTTACTGTAAATCTGAACGTGAATGCTAGTCGTGAAGTTCGTTTGTTTTTTGTTTTCTTATTTAAGAGACAAACTGTCACTCTGTTGTTGCCAAGTTTGGTCTTGAACTTTTGGGCTCAAGACATCCTCTCACCTCAGCCTCCAGAGTTGCTGGGACTACAAGCATGTGCCACTACGCCCAGCCATGAAGTTCTGACTCCACGTGTACTCATTCATTCCTTGTTATTTAAACAAATATTTACTGGAACTCTATTCTGTGCCAGCCCTTGCAAATCTTACAGTCTGATGAGAAATGAACATGAAAGCAAATAACTGCAATAAAATGGCATGAACACTGTGCAACACAGTGGCCTTTTAAAGTAAGGGGCATCTGCTGCTTTAAATGGCATATGGTTAATTATTATGGACATATTTGTCTATTGTTAAACTAAATAGAGAAGACTAGAAACTAAATAGAGGAGCATTTCTTTCTAAGCATCTATATTTGATTCATCCTTTTGTCTTCATCTACCACCTACATGCTGCTGATGACATGCGAATGATTATCAGTAATTGCTATCACTTTCTCTTACCCCAGATTCCTATTTCCATCGGATTTTTGGCAATCTGTAGGTAGATGTTCCATAGATATCTCAAATTCATTCTGCTTAAAATAAATTCATTGTGTTCCTACTTCTCACAAAAATTGTTTCTTCTCCTATGTGTCTAATCCCTGTTAGGTGTATCATCACCCACAAAATCACCCCAACTGAAGTCTGGGAGTTCTGATCAATGTTCAGTGCCTGCCTACACCCTGCTGCTAATTGGTCATCAAATCCTCCTCATCCCCTGCCAATTTTCTTCTTCTCCCTCTTGGGTAAACATGTGCATGGTACACACCCCTTATACCCCAAATTAGTGGGATAAGAAGGCAATTTTCAAGTTGCTAGGCAGCAGCAGTTGAAGAGAAAGCTCAGAAAATTAAGTCAGTGACTTGGATATCAAAAGCTATCACTTTGTTGTCCCTTTTTCTGAAAGTAGAAAATGTTTCTTCTCTTTAACACGAAATAATAAATTTAAATTCTATTGATCTGTGAACTTCAAAAACAACCTCATACATATCTCCACATTGAGCATTTGCTGAATGTCTCTGTCCTTTCTTCTCTTCCATCACTGATATTTAGTACTTCCAAGGGGAGTCTGAGCTATGAATCTCAGAGTCCTTTTCAAATCTCTGACTGCCAAGGATGTGGATGAGAAATTAGTACTGCAGTTTATGTTCACGGAGAAGTATGTTATTCACTGAGATTCATCATTGGAAAGAAATGACTGATATCACAAACATCACGATAATAAAAGATATCATAAATTAGCTCTGATCAGATTCTGAGTCTCTGAGTGTTCTCAAAATTTTCTTCTGGTCCACAGTCTTTGAAGAGTCATTTATTAACTTATAAGTGTAAGGTGCAAAACTATCTGGAGCATATCAGGTCTACAGTATGTGGTTCAGCCAGTCCCCCTTGCAGGCTTTAAAAAGAAAATAAATCAGTGAGCATCTAGGTCCCAAAATCTAGGAAAATGTTTCAAAGTTCCTAAGGAAAATATATTGGAAGAAGAAATGACAGCTTTATTTTATCCTTTTTTCATTTGTATGTGTTTTGTAAAATAGTTTGATATCCTGACAAATATGTGGGCTGCTATTAATATTAGCCATAAGGGCCAGGTGTGGTGGCTCACACCTGTAATCCCAGCCCTTTGGGAGGCTGAGGTGGGTGGATTATTTGAGGTCAGGAGTTCAAGACCAGCCCGGCCAACATGGTAAAACCCCGTTTCTACTAAAAATACAAAAATTAGCCAGACCTGGTGGTATGCACCTGTAATCCCAGCTACTCGAGAGGCTGAGGCAGGAGAATTGCCTGAACCCGGGAGGCGGAAGTTGCAGTGAGCTGAGATCACGCTACTGCACTCCAGCCTGGGCAATGGAATGAGACTCCATCTCAAAAAAATATATATATATATTAACCATAAGTGAAAATGAAAAGTTTAAATGACTTTAAAATGTGGGGTTTTAAATAGTATATTGCAATAGTTACAGAGGAAAAGGCTGTGTAGAGGGTGAGGAATAGATAAAGAAGACAATTATTCCTTGAATAGGTAGAAAAAAGAGAAGATTAAATTTGCTTTGAATATTTCTCAAGTAAATGAGTTATTACTTTCTGAGTTCCCAAGTGACTGCTTTTTCCCTCCCTTTGTAAAAGAATTAAAACTTCTGATGTGCCTTAATATTTCACATCTTGTTCGGTCTGTGCATCCTGATCTGGCAAGATAGCCTGACATTGTTGGCAAACAGTGGTGTCATTTCAATATACATATTCATTGGTCCTTAGCTAAAATTAGGTTTGCTGAGTAAATAGATTTTGTACAGCCAACCTAAACAGATCACTTCCCAGGATGCCAAGGGAAAACACTGTCAGTGGAACTTACTTCATACTTTATCAACATGTTATCATATTTACCAAATGAGAGAAGAAAAAACTGGACCAAACGAAAAGCTGTGATCACAAACATAAACCTCTTGAATGCAGACAAGCGTCCTATATTTGAAAAGATGATTTGTGAGCATTCTTCCACAAGCAAGGGATCATTGTTAGTGGATGCTTATAATTCATGGTGGAGCGCTTTAGGAAAATATGCCTGCTAGTCCTTATGCTGCATTTATTCTGCTTTCTGTAAACCAGATGAATGTAGGATTATTTGTATAGCATAATAGCTTTCAGCATGGAAATAGATGGAAAGTTTATTACCTGTTTCCTCCCTTCCCTTAGGAGAGATTTTTTTTTTTTTACTTTGAAGTAAGATTCTCATAAAAAGGCTGCACATGACAGTGCATCTTGTAGTTTTCTTGGAATAAAGTCCAAACTATAGTCCATTCTGCTTTGCCAATTAATCTGGAAGCTACAGAAACAATGGCAAATGTGAGGATAAAAATTCAATGGATTTTGCCTCACTGGAAGAATGCAGTACTTCTCATGTGGAGATTATTCAGTAAATATTACAGGCTTTCTGACATTGCTTAGTTGAGGGTTACGTAACTGTAACTCTCTGCTAGCTAATAGAATTCTATTTAGACTAGATGATTGAAGGAGATGAGAAAGCAATGAGCTATGAGATAGATAGGAGGTAACAGAAAGAGAAAAAGCTTCTGGCTGGAGTGTGGAGACCCTGGAGTCTGAAGGACATGGATTTGAATCTTTCCTTTGACTTTTACTAGTTATCATGTCTGTCAGCTTCAGTTTTCTCTTCTGCAAACCAGCAATCATAAACTGTCATGCAGATTGCTCTCTGGTTTATGTGGGTTAACATATGACTCATCATTCTCTTCACCTAGCAGGCATCATGTCCACTCTGAGTGGTAGATCTTTTTCCTCTTCATAGCACCTCCTTTTAAAAATATTAAAAATTAACAATCTATGTTAATAAGAAAATCAGGTTCCTTCATTTTCAAAGAACCATGTTTAGGAATCTGTGATTTTCTATGGTACTTTTTTTTCCTTGTACTTTTGTTATCTTTCCTCCTCTTTTTAGCACCCATGGTTTCTACAGTTTACATAACCATAACCCTCTGCTCTCAACAAGGAATAATTGAATGCAGGGGAGTCATCATGCATTCGGATGTGACACTGCATACCCTCCATCAGCCTAAGACTTTTCACCTCTTTCCCTTTCCCTGTGTTTCCCTTTCCCTCCTCCCCTCTCAGAAACAAGCCAACCTATGCTTCAGCTCTATGACTTTTTGAACCAGATACATACATAAATATTTCGGGGGGATGAGTGTCAGTGGTAAACTTACTGACCTAATTCTAACTTCACAAACAGGCTGTGGTTAAAGGAAGAGAGAATAGAGATACAGGTAGGCTAAAAACTGTCATCATCATAACAATCATCTTCAAAGGAGCATCACCTACTTATGCAGATTGAGAGAGATAAATATAGGATGTTTTACCTGATGCTCATAATCCACTGGGAGGAGAGGAAGGGGAAGATGTATTTGATTTAATCAATTTTAACACCAACTTCATTTGACAAAGACTCCCATCATAACAATTACACACCTCTCCATTCTAGTTTCCCCATGCAGTTCATTCTCAGGATGTTCCCTTTCTACACTCTTGCAGGGAGAACACTCTTTGTGTGAGTGGCTAGATTCTCAGTGTGCTGTGTTTCAAAGTTAATATCATATTCTGGCACCATATGGGTGATGATAGAGAAAAACAGCCTTTGAGGTCTCACCTTTCAGGAGGGGAGGATGTGAGATTTAATTAATGAATGATGTAAGATCTTCCAGCATCCTGAGATAAAAGACTCTTTGTAAAATCAGAGAACTGCCAATTCCCTAGTCTAAGTGAATACCTGCTGAGCTAACAGGCATTTAAATAACTATTGAAATGCAAAATATGCAGCTTGTATATGTACATATGTATATATGCGATATAAACTACATTTTAATCCTAGAAGATAATTTAAGCTGTCCCCTCAGGTTACATCTTTAAAAACTGAGGCCAGAAATGGATTTTCTCAGGATCATAGCGCTTATTAGGACCAGATGCCAAAACAGAACTCAGATTTCTTAGACCCAGTGCTCTGTGCAACATGTAAGATGGCCTCACTATTGATGTTCTAGATTTAATCTACGGAATCTGACTAAGAACTGGCCTCAGACCACTTTCAAGCATAAGCAAGGTTAGTAATGTTGTATGAAAGATCACAGATTATTTTTCATCTTATTGGGCATACAAGAAGATATGGGCTTAAAGCCCAATCTGTGCTAGCAAAATATTATTGGCAACAATCCATGCCATTTGCCAAGGCAACAACTGCATTCTGGGATCGAGTGGAGTTTAATGTGATGCTGTGGTGGTATTGAGGCTTTGTAGAAAATTGGTCATAGGAAGTATATAGAGCCTTTCTGTATAGCAAACCAGAGGAAAGACCCAATAGTGAACGTATTGGCCTAATACTGATCTAGCTTATCATTGTTGCCGATATACTAGGAGACTCATCTGAGTCATAGTGGAATGAGCTTAAGACTTTGAACAAGATAAGTTGAGATTAAACACCCACTTTGGTATTCTCCTTACTAACTGCATGATTTCTGGCAAATCACTGAACCTCTCTGAGCTTCAATGTACTTTTTTATAAAACTGGAGTAATAATTTCTAGATTTTGTGGTTTTAGGGAGAATTATATAAGATAATTCAGGTAAAGTTGCATTGAATAGTGTTTATCACATATCTATGTAGTCTCTCAGTTAGAAGTGTAGTATTTTGAATCTAAATCTAAAGAAAGATGTCAGTAAGAATTGGGAAATATAGGCTGGGCGTGGTGGCTCACGCCTGTAATCCCAGCCCTTTGGGAGGCCGAGGCGGGCGGATCACCTGAGGTCAGGAGTTCGAGACCTGCCTGACTAACATGGTGAAACCCTGTCTCTACTAAAAATAGAAAAATATTAGCCGGGTGTAGTGGTGGGCACCTATAATCCCAGCTACTTGGGAGGCTGAGGCAGGAGAATTGCTTGAACCCGGGAGGCGGAAGTTGCTGTGAGCCGAGATCGTGCCATTGCACTCCAGCCTGGGCAACAGAGCGAGACTCTGTCTCAAAAAAAAAAAAAAAGAGAGAGAGAGAGAATTGGGAAATATATTGGGCGTTTGCTGTGTAGAAAGCAATCCTCCAGAGATGAGGAAGGAAGTGTTTATACAACCAATTAGAACATCTGTATCTTCCACTAGTTAGGTAGCTTCACTCAAATATGATAGTCACACTTCCAGATATTACCATACTTACCTCACATATAAGTGGCAAAAGCCCGTTTGAAAAGGTGAGACCAAATGAGGACAATAGAACTTAAGATGGTGGAAACTTTATAGGAAAGGTCCATTTTCCCTAGCTCACCTTGTTAAATGTTTTATTTTTTTAAAATTTTTCTTGGTTTCAGAGTCAGCTTAATTAGTTAATGTTAAAGTCTCCAGAGGCCACATCATCCCTGTCTTTGATTTTTGAATTTTTTTAATGGAGTTCAGGCCAATTCACGACAAAAGTTTTAGCTATTCAAATAGCTCATGTCTGTTTCTCTAGGAATATTCAATTTAGGCTATTGTTTTAGGTGGCTTCAACTGTCTAGATAATTCATGTTTTTATGCAGGCAGCTTATAGGTATTCATTTCCACAAAAGTTTTTACTGGTCTCTTCATATTTTACAGTTGCTTTAGTCTTAGTCAATAACTGTGGTCTATATAGCAGCTTATTATGGGTTATTGTAGTAACTCTTTTATTTTAAGAAGAGGGGATTGACTTCTATTTGTTTAACATTGTTTGGGTAGATTTCTGTCTGACAGCAGAGGATGGGAAGTGAAATGACTTTTGAAAATATTTCAACTTTATGAAGCTATGAGAGTCAAATCAGTTAAAGTAAATAAATGGATATCACAAGTCTTTATTGTGTCATTGATGACTCCAATTAAGAATAACATTAATTTATTCAGTGCCTATTTTTGTCACATTATTCTTAGATGTTCTCCATGCAGGCTAAGCATTTGACATACGTTATCTCATTTAACCTCAACAACAAATCTGTAAGGTCAAAAGTATTATTTCAACTTTAGAGATGAATCAATAAATAAAGGCCTTGAAGAAACAGTAGGCTATTTTCTCATATACCTATAGATAGTGAGGAAAAGAACTGAGACTAAGAATATGGTTTATCTTGAGTCTAAAGATTGTGATCTTTGGGCTATGTTGCATTTTCTTTGTGTTAAATTGTATTTGTCATATTTTATTTATTGTGGGCACCACACGTCTTGAAAGGTGTAAATCGGAGAACACTGAAAAAGTCAGGCAAATAATGAAAGAATTGGATTTGGGGCATATACAGATAGATTAAAAGTTATTAAATAAAGCCCAAGTTGTGGGGAGGGGTTTTAAACACACACATGATAAAAGATATAAATGCTAGGTGCAATTGGAATTATATATAAACCAGATCAACATTATATAATAAGGATTTTAATGAATGTGGAGGCTATTGAGTATTTGACAGCCTCTATAGAATAAAAAGCTATTGGATTTTGAAACTCATCCCGTGGGAAATATTGGAAGCTCAATCACTTGAGGAATAAAAGCTAAATTGGATAAAACATATCTCTAATCTCCAAAATGATCTCTCTGTGCAAAATGCATGCACAAACACACATACCATTCAAAGGTACTTTTAAGCTTTACAAACTACATATCTCAGTGCATTTAAATAATAGTCTTAATCTAAATAAAGAAAACACTTAAAATGAAAAACCTTTTTAAAAATTAATTTGCAGTAGAAACAAAACTATTGAAGGATAAATTGTAGAAACTGAAGATTCTTTACAGTTAGATGGGAAACATGCAAGTCATTTAAAAATAATTAGTTCTGCAAAAGTATACATGAATGGAAGGTCTTGGAAAGGAGGCAAAGAATTAATTTCCCCAAAGACGCTGCAAATAAAATTGTGGTTGGCACTTTTCATTCTGCAGAAACACCTTTTATTGGTATTTTGTCTGTTCCCTTGGGTGACATTTTAAAATAGTGTGTGCACTAATGATTGTCCAGTAACACAAATGAGAAAGGCAATTTTGAAACATTCCACTCTGGACAGACACTCTGAGCCCAGCCTTGGTTGGTCTCTTCTTAAGGAGGCCTAAAAATAAATTGCAAAAGTAGCTATTCAGACCTCTGTTAAGTGGGAGTTTCAGGTTCTGCAGTGTCTTTTTATCCTGTCCAGTGCTCCTGGATGCTCATTATTTAGCAATGAAAGTGAGGATCATGACATAGAAAGAGGCCATTCAATTGCCCTGACATGTTTCTTTTTGTCGTTTGCTGTAGGTCCCTGAATCACACTAGCCCTCATGATCTCTTGCTCCATGTTCACTTAAGTTCTAGTGTCCTTTCTCCTACTGATTTTTAAAGGCTTCTCTATGTATTTAATCTCTGGTGCCCCAACCACTTCAGGCCTCAGTGGCTTTGCTGATTACATGATAAGAAGTGATGCTATTTTTGCCATGTTAACTAGTATCCACTGGACTCAGGGAAATATATCATGATTTCCCCATTGCAAACATAATAAAGAATGGACCCATTACCCTGCCATTCAAAGTCTTTTATAATATGGACACAGTCTATATTTCTAACCTTTTTTATTTTTAGTATATTTCTTATATTTTCTTTTCTATATTTCTTAACCTTTACTTACATATGCCTTTGCTCCAATGAGACCGCTCACTGTTCCTGAGCTTAATGCTTGGCCACTTTCCTGCTCTTGCTAAAGTGTTCCCTCTGCCTCTACTGTCTTTCCTATTTCTTGTGTTCTCTCTGTTCTATTCACATTTATCTGACGATCGAAACTGTATTATTACCTCCTAAAAACATCTCTTGATCTTCCCCCACTAAATGAGACCCTTTCCCACTCTAAGCCTGCATGGTGCTTGCCTGGAATCTTCCCTGTGGAGTCATCCTAATCCACTTTGAGCACTCATTTTGTCACCTAAAATTTCTATCACAGCAGTTTTAACATAGAAGGTGATGGATAAATACTTATTGAATGTACAGGAATTATTTCTTTGAAATCCACTGCTTTATTCAAGTAAAAACTGAGTTCAGAAGCAATCCAAAATGCCCAGAGGTAGAGAAAATAGGTAAATGTGTTATAGCACATCAATACATGGACTATGCTGCAGTAATTAAAATTAAGTTTATAAAGAAGATTTAATGCCTTGGGAACATGATTATGCTAGACAGTAAACTCTTAACATCCACAAGGAATTATTTCTGTTCCCTTCAGAAGTCTATGAATTTTTAATAATAGCATAGTAATAGTAGCTAACTCTTACTGGGTATTTTTAATGTGCCAGGGCATTATGAGTTGTCCTCTATCTTATTTAATACAAACAAATACATGGGGGCTCAAAACAGTTAAATGATTTTCCCAATAGCAAACACTTTAAGCGAGGCCATGAAATAAGGTGACTAAAAGGAAGGATACTGAAATTAGAACTCCTGAGTGTCAGTCATGGGGGCTCCATCACCTGCAAATTACTTGCCGTTACTGGGTAGCTGTTTTGTTACTATACAATGGAGTTACAACAGTTGTGAGAATCAAACATGGTAAGTAGGTACAGTACTTAGCACAATACCTGGAAATGGGAAAGCTGTAGGAAAAAATAAGCTATTTGTATATACAGAATCTAGTATTGTAGCAGGACGAGCCGCAGACAAAACTCCTCAGACACCAAGTTAAAGAAGGAAGGAATTTATTCAGCCGAGGGCATCGACGAGACTCCTGTCTCAAGAGCCAAGCTCCCTGAGTGAGCAATTCCTGTCCCTTTTAAGGGCTCACAACTCTAAGGGGGTGCACTTGAGAGGGTCGTGATCGATTGAGCAAGCAGGGGGTACGTGACTGGGGGCTGCATGCACCGGTAATTAGATGGGAACAAAACAGGATAGGGATTTTCACAGTGCTTTTCTATACAATGTCTTTAATCTATAGATAGCATAACCGATTAGGTCAGGGGTCAATCTTTAACTACCAGGCCCAGGGTGTGGCGCCGGGCTGTCTGCTTGTGGATTTCATTTCTGCCTTTCAGTTTTTACTTTTTCTTTCTTTGGAGGCAGAAATTGGGCATAAGACAATATGAGGGATGGTCTCCTCCGTTAGTATTATACCTGGCTAAATAAGTATCTGTGGACTGAATGAAGAAATGGAAATGGTATCTAAACCCAAATGTGACTGGCATTCTTCACTGAACTCTCCTGCCTCCCAATAGCATCTTCACCATTGATGTCAATTACTGCAAACATAGCAACAACAAAACACATTGAGTTCCAAATTTTGGGCAATCCGATAGACTGATCCGTCAGTTTAAACTATTCACATTCCCTGCATGATTCTAATTTGTCACTTAGAAAAATACAAATCATTACAAGTCAAAGACATTTAGAATAAAGTAAAAACAGTTGAACATGTGAATGCCAAGGACTATTGTAGTGTTAAGGGGAGAAAACAGAAAGTACATTAGAGATACATAGGGTAATAATTGTGTATTTTAAAAATAGGGTTGAACAGCACTCTGGGAGGCCAAGGTATGCAGGTCACCTGAGGTCAGGAGTTTGAGACCAGCCTGACCAACATGGTGAAACCCCGTCTCTACTAAAAAAACAAAAATTAGCTGGGCATGGTGGCCGACGACTGTAATCCCAGCTATTTGGGAGGCTGAGGCAGGAGAATCGCTTGAAGCCGGGAGGTGGAGGTTGCAGTGAGCTGAGATTTCATCACTGCACTCCAGCTTGGGCAACAGAGTAAGACTCTGTCTCAAGAAAAAAAAAAAAACCAAAAACACAAAAATAGGAAATAGGCTGAAAAAAAATTTTAAAATGCACCAAAATATTAACAGAGATTGTTTTTGTGTTGTAAAATTATGTTTCCCTTTTAAAATAGTTTTTAATATTTTTGTGTACTGTTTAATATTTTATTAAGTTTCATTCACAGTAAGAAAAAATATTATTTTAAAAACTCAGGTCTTCAAAAGTTAAAAAAATGAATTTATTAGCTCTAACTCTAGAGCATTTTAAGCTTAGATTCAGTTTGAAAACTGTTGCTTTTGCCAACAAGATGGATCTTTAATATATTTTACATGATTCTGTACAGTATTGACAGTAATGAATTCAAACTTCAGAAGCACTCTGCAAGGTCAATCAGAGAGGGCAGGGATCACTCATATTTAGGCCTTCATTCTAATGAATATAGGTAGGAATAAAAATGATTTTTACAAGGCAATCGCATATCTATGCTTATAAAACCAAATAGATTGACTGATGGCCATTATCCAGTAGTAATCTATCTGTATTTATTATAACATATATATGAAAAGCCTAATCAAATGAAGTGCTCAACTCTAAAACTTTCATGACAGTTAACAATTTTTGGGAGGTGTAGGAGTCGACAGACTTTTCTGTCATAAATCTTGACATATGTTAGTGATTATTACTCTGCACAGGAGATAAATGATAACAGGAAGTCATAGTCTCAAAAGGTTTACCATTCATAGGTATTTGGACAATTATAAGCAACAAATAAATAGCCTGGTGAAATACAACTGAGGATAATTTGGCATGTTGAAATTCCCTCTAAAGTGAAGTGATGCAACTGCTTTCTTATTTCTGATATTTATTAAAAATAAACTTCACTGTGTATATTTAACTTAGGTTATACATGATGTTATGGGATGCATACAGGTTGTAAAAATGTTACTACAAAGAAGCAAGTTAACACATCTGTTAGCTCACATAGTTACCCATTTTTTGTTTTTATGGCAAAAGTAGCTAAAATCTACTCATTTAGCATGAATACTATATACAGTGCAATTTTGTTACCTTTAGTTCTCATGTTGTAGCTTACAACTCTGGACTTAGTATTCATCCTACATATTTGCAACTTTGTATCCTCTGATCTATATCCACCCCCCCAATTTCTTCCCCCTCATGCCCTGCCCCTGATAATCACTGTTTTGTTCTCTATGTCTGCATATTTGGATTTTAAAATCCCACATGTGAGATTGTGCAACATTTTCTGTGTCTGGCTTATTTCACTGAGCATAATGTCCTCCAGATTCATCCCTGTCATGGCAACTGGCAAGATCTCTGACTTTTTAAAGGGAAATAATGAATGGTTATGTTTCAATCAATTTACTCATTTAACAGGTATTTATAGAATATCTCATACGGGCCAAGGATTGTTCTAAGTACTCGGGATAAAGCAGCAAACAAAATCAACAAAAGCCCTGGCCACTTCTGTGCTTAGAAACGTAGGGTAGACATGGGTGGATTGGTAGAAGGATATATTAAAGAAAACAAACAAATATACAAAGTGTATACGTGTCAAGAACAGCACTGTCCCATAGAAATTTCCTCAGTGATAGAAATATTCTATAGCTTTGCTGTTCAATATAGTAGCCACTGGCTACAGGTGACCATTGAATACTTGAAATAAACCGAGTGTGACTAAAGGACTCAATTTTAAGTTTTGTTTTGTTTCAATGAATTTAAATTTCAATTTGAATAGCCACATGGGGCTAGTGGCTACCGCATCTGAGAATGCAGATCTAGATAGTTATAAAAGCACAGAGTGTATGTGAGGGATGGGCAAGGCATAGAAAAGTGATTGCAATTATAAATAGAGTGGTCAAAAAATGCATCTTGAAGAGACATTTGAGCAAATAACAAAAAGAGGTGAAAGAGCTAGCCTTGCAGATATTTAGATGAAAATTGTTTCTGGCAGAGGGATTGGGAAGTACAGAGATCCAGAAGTGGATGCCATCTGGCTTGGAAGAGTCATGGAGGCCAGTGTGGATGCAACAGAGTGAGTGTGTGGAGAAAGGTAGGAGATGAGACCAGAAAGGCCATTGCCAGGGTGGGGAATCAGGAACTCTACCCTAGGTTTGGATGGATGGATAGATGGATGGATGGATAGATAGATAGATAGATAGATAGATAGATAGATAGATAGATAGATAGATTCTTTATCATTCTTTAGCCATTCTTTATGGCAATAGATGATAGATAGATAAATAGATACATACATACATACATACATACATACATACATACATACATACATACATACATACATAGATTCTTCATCTCAAGTTTCACAATTTAGAAACTTATGGGTCTCTTAGTTCCTCTGACGATCTTTGTTGATGCGGAGGCTGGTTAGAATATTTTACAGAAACATATTCTTATTTCAGATTCACTGAATCTAGAATTTTAAATGTTCTGTGATTCTCTAAGTAGCTCTTGGACTTGCATTTCCCCCATCACATTGAGCAACATTTATGACCATAACCCTTCTTAGGCCTCTTCTTGCCCTAGCAAAGTTATTCTTTTATTTTATTGGGATTGAGTTCACTTTAAAATTCAAATGTAGTGGAAACATGTTATAGGAGAAAATTTCCCAATTTTCATAGGCAGATAATTCTGTAAAATTAATGAGAATTATAGGTCATCATGCTAAAGGAGATCTGAATGCAAAACATTTTGGGATAAAAAACATTAGTTATATAAAACTGCACAGGATGTTAAGGAAATTTTAAGTATTCAGATCTATCTTGAATTTCATCTCACTGAAATATACCTGTCACATTATAAACCTTCTCAATTATATTGACACTTAGCCACAATATAATGGACTTTTATTTGAGATTTTGACTTTTTCTATGACTTCATTTTTAAAACGAATCTGATTGCTTTGCAGGGATATTATAATGCCCCCTTTCCAATGTTTATTTTTAATCAAGAAAATGTTTAAGCAAGGCTGTAGTTTTTTCAATTAAACTTCAATAATTTGGAACTGCCATTTTTCAATTTACTTTTCAAACTTTGTATTTATTTTGTTAGCTAGCTAGGTCATTTGTAAATAGTCCTTACTAACAGATGGAAAAAGATGAGAAAAGGCACTATTAATTGGGTGCCTAATATGTGCTGAGGCTTAAAAACAGTCATATTATCTGTCATTTATTGCATGACACTGAATAAATTTACTGACTGAATAATACAATGATGAAGAATGACTGTTAACATTATTGTTTTATACATACATACTATGCATTGTAAATGCATTTATCTCATTTAATTTGTATACCAGATTGGCAAGTTCATGAGTAATGCTTTCATGGTAAAGAAATTAAGGAGATGCAGAAATGTATCTAAATATACACAAAAGTAGTACGTGATAGAATCAGGACTCAATCCAGAGCCTTTTGACTATAAAAATCTATGTCTTTTTTGTTACAGTCTTTGTCTGTAATAAAAATTTGCTAATACCTGAAAAATAATATGTTGCATATTGGTTTTGCTATTTACTAGCTGTATTTACTATTTCTTACTAAAGTTTATTAATGTTGCTAGACTTTAATTTCCTTAGCTATAAACTTGAGATATTAATATTACCTATATTATAAAGTTATTATATTACATGAGATAATTCATGTAAAACACACAGAACAATGCTTAGAACAGAGTAAGCACTCTATACATATTAACGCTTATTAATTAAAGGTCTGCATATGTACATAGATAAAAAAATTGTTAATTCCATGTAGCTTAATAAAATAGATTTTCTAAGCTTCGTGTTCTTTCACCCTTTCCAACCACATCACTCTTAAATTTTAGTCTTCACTAATTTACAGATTATGTGCAACCAGATACCATTATTAATGAGCTTAAAGGAAAATTAATTAGCTGCCTAATGACTTCCTTCCTCAGAACTGAAAATGATCCTGGATTTCCTCAGATGCTCTGTGATTGCTGCTCTCTGCCTGTAATCAGTGTTTTCAAAAAGATTGACTTGGCATTTTGCTGTCCATCCCTGAATTCCCCAACCCGCTAAAGAACTTGCGGTCTTCCATGACTCTGATGACCTGTTAGCAAACTGTTACTTTGTGGTGCAGAATATTGACAGGCATGTTGATTATGCCATTTGTTTTCACTTTTGCTTTTTGTTTCATAACTGGGGAAATTCACAGAACGCTTTTATGCTTGTTCTTCCAGTTTCTGGGAATCTCCTGGATCTTTTTCTTGCGGTTCTGTGTTCTTTCTGGGCTATTCTTCCTCCCCTGTCTCCCATTTTCCGCTTCTTAATCTCATTTTAGAAGAGAACTAGCTTGTTCTTATCAAATGATTCATTTGGCCTCTTGAAAACATTGTCTTCCATCTGGAAGAAATAGTCCTGTAGGACAAAAAAATTAAAACTCTATTGAGATGGGGGATTATGATGGCTAATGGAATAACGGGAATCTATTCATCCTCTATCACAAATGAAATGGTCAGATCAGTCTTGGTTACGTACAAGTATTAGTAGCAAATATGAAAGTCACAGTACAGCTGGGATTCCAGTCATAGTAGAAATCTACAGCTTTAGCAGTTACATATTAAAATTTAAAAATGGAAGAAATGCAAGAGGAAAGGGAAGGAGATGAAGACTACATTTTTAAACTTACATAAAAACTTTACCCCAAGTAGTGAGTGATGAGAGCAACACTCCAAGATAATGTATCTAAAAAATTAAGATTTGAAGAGTTATTTTTTAACAAGGAGAATTTCTTTCTTATTTTTCTTATTTGCTCCATTTGCTCCAGTAGTGAAGTTAGGAACCTAACTTTGTGCTTTGCCTTTGCTACTGATTCACAAAAAATACAGATTAATCTCATTACCAGCGTTGAACAAAGAAGGCCATGTTTCTCAGCTCACAGATCTTTTCCCTCTCAGTATTCTTGAATGCTCTGCAAATTTCCCTCTCTGTTCTTTGGCCTTTGGGCTTGCCAAAGAGTGTCCATTCTTTGAGCTCTCTCTCCTTAGGCTTTTTGCCTTCTTAGCGGTTCTTAATTCTCTTCTTTGTTTCTTTCTTGAGCCAGTCCTGAGCTTGGTCCTCTCCCAGACTGCCTTTGTGTTTGCACTCTATGTGGAAATTTCCATGGGCCCTCTCATATTTATGCAGTCAAGACCAAGGGCATGTCTTTTATTTCTTTCTTGGACCCAGCAGGGGTTTCCTGCCTGTTTTTGTACGTCAGTTTCTGAGTTAATTGGGCTAATCAATCTAACAAATTTTCCTTAAGTTGTCCAACACCAAGGGCTATCTGGACAACAGTTATTGCAGCTAATCAGTGGAACCCCTAAGGATAGAATTTAGTTTTACTGGGCATGATTTAAAAGCCTGTTTCACCCTCTGAAAATAATTTCTGCCATTCTACAATTTATTGGATGTCTGAAAAATATACTTGAAAATGGTAAAATTGTGGATGTGAAAATGCTTAGTAGAGAAAGATGGATATTCAGGCAAGCATAGAGGTTACAGGGTGGAGAGCACTGAACAGCGTTCAGGAAACTTTGCACTTTGCCTTTGCTACTGATTAGCTTAGTACCTCTCAGCAGCTCCTTGAACTTCATCTTTCTCATCTGTAAAGTGGAGATAATATTATGTCGTGATTATAGTGTAGAGAATTTTAATTAGAGATAGACTGTGAAAGTATTTTTTGAAAAATTAGACTCAAAATTGGGATGCTGGTAGTGGACACAGAATAGAAAGAAGAGCAGGAATAATAGTAATATCATTAGTTGTAGTACTGCTGGAGGGTAACAATCGAAGCATTTGGCACCCAGTGGCAGATTTGCATCATTGATTAATGTCAATTATGCAGACAGGAGTAAGGACTTCCAGGTCCCTTCACACAGGCTGCGCACAGTACAACTCCAGGGAGTACCAGCAACACCTTTAATGTAAAATGTGAGCTCACTAGCTCTTTAATGATTCCTCCAATTATTTTTCAGACATTTTTGGACACAATGACTAGACATGGCTTAGCGGGGAAAAAAAGGGCAAAGAAAACCTTTGGAGTGAATTAGTCTGCCTGGGCCACCATAACAAAATACCACAGACTTGGTGGTTTAAACAACAAAAATTAATATTTTTACAGTTCTGGAGGCTGGGAGTCTGGGATCAGGATGCCAGCACAGGGGCTTTTGGTGAGGGCTGTCTTACTGACTTGCACATGCCAATCTTCTGGTAGTGTGCTTACACAGCAGGGAGAGAGTGAGCTCTCTGGTATCTTATTTTATAAGGACACTAATCCTTTTCCTACTCTGATGACCTCATTTAACCTTGATTACTCCTTATCTCTAAATACAGTAACTTTTGGGCTTTGGGCTCCAACAAATGAATTAGGGAGTATTTTGAGGTAGGCAGGCCTATGCAAATCTACCCCAAAGTCAAAGGAAGTTGAGAGGCCAAAGAAAGGGCTCACAAATCCAGTTTCTTAAAAAGAAATATGTAATAGGGACTTAGGAACAGAATATGTCTCAGGTAGGGACAAGACAAGACAGTCTCGCAAGAATGGATCCCAGGTATATAATCCCCCAAACCCAGGGATTATATACCATAGGGGAAGGGCACATGTGCTTCAGAGGGAATGTGTAAGAATTTGCCATAAGGACAGGATTTACATAAGTACATGCTCTTATATAAGGAACAGTAGATAAACTGGAAATTTCAAAGGCCTTCCCAGAACTGCGGTTAATCAGAAGCTAACATGGCAGGTAAGCATCAAAGATGGAGTTGCTCCAGCCTCCACAGGGGGAAAGGTGACACAATTTAGTCCACAGCATGGAGTAAGACAGATCTGAGTTTAACTTTTGTTTACTAACAATGGGATTAAATTCTCTTATTGCCATTTTCTAGCTGTGTGAGGTTGAGCAAGTACTCAAACTCTCTTTGAGCTCCTTTTTTTTTCTCATTTTCAATTTGGGATCATACGATCTACCATATTGTTTGTAGTAAGGATGACCAAGTATGTAACATATATGATAGAAAACTTGGCACATATTAGATGCTTAATCAATACAGCAATCAGTAGGAAGAAAGGAAACTCATTCTTAATGTATCCAATGCTCCAACCTCATTCTGTCACTTGAAATTAAATATGCCTGTGTCACTTCAGATGAAATCTGTCTGAGCTCTCTGAGTAGGGAGATTATCTGATTATCTACCAGATGTAGATATATCTATATCTACTACATACGTGTATAGTAGATACCACAGCTACCATTCTGATTTTATGACAGAAGACGGATCTTGGGAATCAGGGTGGCCATATAATGTTCCTTTGTTTTGGCTACTAGGAAGGGGAGACCACAATAATTTGGAGGAATTCTGTTAAGATCATTCAGCTACTCAATAGCAGCACCATGATTCTTGGCCTCTTGACTCCAATCTGCTGTTTTTTAAATTATTCCAGTAGTTCCCAACATTTTGTCCAGCGTGACATATTCAACTGGTGATGGTCACACAACATATCCCTACGGGTGCTGGCAATACTCAGTGCCATCATGTTAGCCAAATACCATTCCTTTTGCCCTTACATGAAGAAGAAGACCAAAATCCAAGTAAGAGAGAAAAGCTATTAATAGGCATAACTGAATATCTTCTACTGGTAAGATTGTGGACATTATTTCCAAACTTTGCTGCTCTAACAGTACTACATTATTGTAGTACTTGAGACACTTCAAAATATTGGCCCAGCTGCATTCTGCGAAATGGGTCAAGATTTGTGGCTCTAAGTTGAGTTTTGCTCCGAAGTTATGGTCCTTTTGTTAAAAGGACAGGACAAGAAAGTACTTCCAGGTGGTGCTGGCATTATGGTTCTGAGATGTTTGGCCTATACCTTGATATTTAATTCCCATTCTTGGTAGCCTGGGAATCATTTTCTAGTTTCCTTTATTTAGCAGAATTTCCAACTCAGCCATTTCACTAACACTTCTTGGTGATTGCTCCCCAAGTTACTGCTGCTTCCCAGCTGTTTGCCAGTGGTAACAAAGTTTGAAGGCTAAGCACACAGAGTCTGAAACTACCCTGCTTGGATTCCAATCTTGACGTCGGTATTGAATAGGTATGTGACCTTGTACAAGTTACTTAGCATCCTTGCACCTCTGTTTTCTCTTCTGACAAATGAAGTACGCCCCTCATGTGTCTGCTGTGTTGTTTACATAATTTAATATAGGTAAAGAGCTTATTAGAATGGCACACATAATGGATGCTGTTGGAAGTGCTGGATATATTATTATTTTTTCACTGGGAGCAAAGACCCAATCTAACTCTTTGTACATATTGGAAGAGATATAACATTTCATTTATAATTCCTAGTTGCTTCAGAAGTTTGTTAATATTCCTATAGTTTTTTTTTTTTTTAATTTTGCTTGTGTTTGTCTTGCCTGGGCCCTTGTAAAAGTTGTGTGTTTTTACATACTACTAAAAGTAGTTTCTAATCTGAGCATGTAATTACCCTGGGTGCTTTGCTCCTAAATCCCCAACAAGCATTGAGTTTGTTTTTCAGAGCCACTGTGCTTAATTAATATTTATGCAGGACTTAGTAAAATCATGAAAATTAACAGATGTCCTTACCTAGAACAGGTGGTGAATATATCAACAACTGCAACAAGAACAATGATGATACAATAGTACTTTTTAGATGGATCAAAATTACTACTGAGTGGAAACATGGTTTCCACATTTACTACTCAATCTGGTAAACATACTGTCAGGCAAATAAACATGACTCTTAGAATAATTTAAGATATTCACGTGACATATGAACTTTACTTCAATGTATATAAACAGAAAACTAAAAATAACAGCATCATCAGCACATAGGGTTTATTCTGTCCCATGGAGAAGTCTGGAAATAATGCAGAGAGGGTATGATAGCTACACAAAATCACCAGGGATCCAGGCATCTTCCATCTCTCTGTCCCAACATTCTAATACAAAGCTCTCAGTCTCAAAGTAAAAACATGATCCACAGTGACCGCTAAAGCTCCAGCCATCATATCAACATTTCGGGAAGCAGAAAGGAAAAATGGAGAAATCACATTATGATGTTATCTCTAGTCTGAATTTACATCTTTAAAGCATCATTCTTGGAATGTTTACCTGACATTTTGGCTTATATCTCATTTGGCCAGAACTTAGTCATATAACTACACCTGGGTACAAGATTCTGGGAAACAAAGTATTATATTTGGGGCTCAGTGTAGGCCCCAAAGCAAACCTACCATTTTACTAAAGCAAAGGGAAATATGACCTTTGGACACAATGAGCAAATTTAAAATTAGCTTTTTTATTTTGAATTTCTGTACTTTGATGATTTTCCTTATTGTTTACATTTTTAGATATAGTTACTTCTTTTGAAGCATTTTCTCAGTCTTGAAGTCTGTTTACAATTAAATAATGATTTTGTTTGTTTTAGTTTTATTCAAGTTTTTTTAAATATACACCACTTGCTTTCAAAAAGAACTGAGAAAAATTCCCATAAAAGCACATATCTAACAGAGAAGCTTATTTTCTCGTTATCTATTTAATAAAAACTTACTGTTTATCTTCTTATGTGCCAAGCACGGGTTTAGGTACAGGGAATAGGAGTAAGCAACACAAGATATCATCTAATATGGGACTTACATATTGATGGGGAAAGATACAATGAAATCTATAATATAATTTCAGGTTCTGATAAGTAAAGTACTGCAAGATACTTGAGTGTATTGCAAGGTACTTGAGTATGTTGCATGATAAGATATGGTATTTTTTGGCTGGGAGCAGTTGC
Organism: Homo sapiens; assembly: GCF_000001405.40. NCBI lineage: Eukaryota > Metazoa > Chordata > Mammalia > Primates > Hominidae > Homo > Homo sapiens. The sequence goes on along the minus strand of NC_000011.10, from coordinate 40,211,060 downwards.
TCAGGCCTGTGATCCTAGCACTTTGGGAGGCCGAGGCAGGCAGATGACTTTAGATCAGGAGTTTGAAACCAACCTGGCCAACATGGTGAAATCCCGTCTCTACTAAAAATACAAAAAAAAATTAGCCAGGCATGGTGGCAGGCACCTGTAATCCCAGTTACACAGGAAGCTGAGGCAGGAGAATCACTTGAACCCGGGAGGCGGAGCTTGCAGTGACCTGAGATGATGCCACTGCACTCCAGCCAGGGTGACAGAGTGAGACTCTATCTCAAAAGAAAAGAAAAAGTTGTATTTTTTACAAAATGGTTAAGGTAGACATTCCGAGTGAGAGAGACAAGCAATACAAATGCTCTCAAGGAATTGTTCTTACAGGAGCTTGTCCTTGTGCTCAGGAACAACAAGGAGGGCAAAGAAGCTGGAGTCCCAGGATGGAAAGGGTGAGTTGTAGGAGACGATTTCAATAGATGCAGGGATCAGAGCCACGTAGCCCAAGAAGGGAGATAATTTTTCAAAACTTTGAAGAAGACAGCCAGCATCCTGCAGCAGGTAAAGCAAAATAGAAAGCTGAACACTCTTTTACTGTTCATTTTCCTCTTTTTCCATTTACCAGTTATTTAATAATTGCCTACTCTATATGAGACCCTTCATTAGGTCCAGAAGATAACACATGAATAATAAGAAATATTCTCTGTGCTCAAGGTTTTTACTTTCTATAGATTTGAGACAAGCCCAGAAAGCTTATAAGCTCTAAACTTTATATTGCATATCCAGCAGGTGTTTTTTGGTTTTTGTTTTTTGTTTTTTTTTTGAGACGGAGTCTCGCTCTGTCGCCCAGGCCGATCTTGGCTCACTGCAAGCTCCGCCTCCTGGGTTCATGCCATTCTCCTGCCTCAGCCTTGAGAGTTTTTTTTTTATATATATTCTTTTCTACATAATGGAATCTTTATACACAAATAAATCTTGAAAACCATAGCTTAACTCTTAAGTTTATTTGTCTTCATTCTTGAAGACATAGAAATCTTCATCCCACTCTTGAACCTGTCTCACATCTCTTCCTAAAGGATCCTGTACTATCCAAGTGTGTGATGTACTACTCTCTCTAACTAGCATGCCCTTCCTTCCTTCTCTAGCAAAGTTTTATTCTTTCTTCAAGGCATCTCCTTTGAAATAATTAACTGCATCTGCTGGTTTTCAACCCAATACTTCTCTTTTATCAGGCATCCTAGTATATTGTTATGATTTATGCTTACATTATTCTTTTTCACTAGAATTAAAGTTCTTGAGGAACAGAATGCAAAGCGTTTTTGTTGTTGAATCTCTCATATCCAGCAAAGTGCCTGACACATGGGTAGTGTTAAAAATATTTTTGTCACACCTGTAGTCCCAGCTACTTGGGAGGCTGAGGCATGAGAATCGTTTGAACCCAGGAGGCAGAGGTTGCCGTGAGCCGAGATCGCACCAGTGTATTCCAGCCTGGGTGACAGAGCGAGACTCCATCTCAAAAATATGTATATATATTTTTGTTAGATGATCAAACGTCCCATCAAAAAAGAGGCTAATGTTTGGAGTAAATAGAAAATTCCCAAATTGTACTTTGATTGTATATTATTTTCTCTCCAAGATTGATTATTTCAAGGAAAGCCTTTAGCCTTTATCACCAGTTATTACTAAGTAAAATGTGTGTATTTTCATATTCCAATTTAATCTTCTGCATTGTTTACTATTTATATCTTTTGAAGAATCTACTAGAGGACCTTATATTCCTGCATATTTATTGAATTGAAACCACTTAGATTTAATTCATTTTATGATGGACAGTAGAAACACGGCTGTTGTGAAACAGCTACCTTGGGGGAAGCATAAACCCTGGAACAGCCTTATGTTTATAAATATACTAATTTATGTACTAGACCACAAGCTCTTCACTAGTGTGTGAATCCCTTAAGGACAGGGAATGTGCCTTATTCATTTTCACATGTCCTTTGTAAATTGCCGGGATACAGGTGCACAATCCTTTATTTGAAATCTTTAGGGGAAGTGGTGTGCCGACAAATGTTTAACAACTGACCCTCAGGAAGAAACACACACACACACACACACACACACACACACGTGCACAAAAGAAAGCCCTGATTTGGAGCATTTGACTGTTTTCTTGTGTAAATACCATCCCCCTTGGCTAATTTTAAACTACCGAGTTGAAGTCGGTGAATGTGAAGTTTGGAAGAAATGTAAACAATTGACCAAACCATAAGCTGACTCTAGGAAAACATCAATAGGGAACTAAAGGAGTTTTAGATCTCAAAAGATTTCTGATTTTAAGAGGCTAATACATGCATATGTTATATATGAGGTATCTGGGGCAATACTTGTAATAACATGTATTAATATTTATGCAGCAAAATAAATGAATATTCATACTAACAGGGATATATAAGCACCAGACATTGGAAAAATAGCTTTCAGTTGTCAGGGCTTTTTTTTCCCCTGCTTGTTTTTTCCCTGCTTGTTTTCCCTGCTTGTTTTCAATTTAGAATTACATATAAGATACCAGGACTCTACTTCAATACTAAAAAAAATTAGTACTTCAATGGAAACGTATTCATGATTTATATCACACCAATCCAGGATATTCAGTTCTAGTCCTATTATTGCCTTTAAGCTGTTTTGCACATCTGTAAATTGTAGGTATCTGACTGGTATGCAAATTCTGTCTTTTCCAGTAGAATTTCAATTGACTTCCCTCCCTCCCAGTGGAAAAATCACTTTGTCTTCATTTGCAATTTGCTCAACATTCGTTTACTCCATGTAATTTTGTAGTGTTTTGACTTTTCCTTTAAACTGGTATAGCGTCTGCTTGATTTCCTCATATCATATGAGCAAAATAAATTATTGAACTCATGTTCATTTTTATATGTGCATAAGGGTCATGATTGTACTTTTTTCTGAAAATTTCTTTTAACACAATACAGGAAAGAAATCAGATATGTTCTAGAAAGCTTCTGAAGGCAGAACATGGACTGATGTAGTATCATAAGCAAGTAGGTTTCCTTAGTGTCCCGTAGTATTGTCAGAAATGAAGAGGCAGGAAGCAGTGGTGTGGGCTTCGCTGGAAGTTGATTCCTTCACTCAGAGTGCTCCATTGAGGCTCTGTACCTCTGACTGCCATATGTAAAGGGTGCTGTGGAACTGGATGGAATGCTATCTTTAAAGCTTAAGTCTAATTTTTCATGGTTCTAACTCTTCAACTGAGTGTGAATCAAGTGAAATAGAAACACTCAGTAAATCATTAATTAACCTAAGATGACCAGGAGCTTGGATGAACAGATGACCACACACTTGGCTGATGAACTCTTAAAATTCCTTAAAAATAAGTTCTGTTTCAGGAAAGCAAGGATGTTTTAATCATCAGAAAAGTATCTCTTGCCATCCCTTGACTCTCCTATTTCTTTGTTTTTGAGACAGTATCTCACTCTGTTGCCCAGGCTAGAGTGGCAGTGGCATGATCATTGCTCACTGCAACCTCAAGCTCCTGGGCTTAAGCTGTCCTCCTGCCTCAGCCTCTGGAGTAACTAGGACTACAGGTGTGCATCACCACACATGACTAATTTTTAAATCATTTGTAGGGATGGAATCTTGCTATATTGCTTCCCTGGGCTGGTTTTGAACTCTGGGCCTCAAGCAGTTCTCCTGTCTCAGCTCCCCAAAGTGCTAGGATTAAGGCCTCTTATCCTTTAAAACCATAATGCCTGGCTTTATGCACAATTGTGTCCGATTCACAATTTTCCACAGCATGGAAAGCAGCTGTAACTGTGTTTATATTCCGTCACCCAAACTTCTTATTCTACCTCCAAACGAATCCATTTGCAAGAACATCAAAGGAGAGAAAAAATGCCATTTCAGCTACAATGACAGTTCCGTACAATATATTAAGATTGATCAAGGCTTGGTAATGAGTTCGTGAATATTGGCCTTCTTTCTGGAACTGAAATGATTTGGGGTCTGAGAGATTGAATTGTTTGATGTATGGAGGGCTGCCATCACTGTTTCTTACAAGGAAATAATCTGTCTAGGGTTGTGTTTGTTTGTTTGTTTGTTTGTTTGTTTGTGAGTGTGCATAGTGTCCCCTTCCCCCAGGTTTATGCCTCTTATCTATTGCCTATAATGCAGAAGTCATTCTTACCAGAGCCAAATCTAATGAGTATATGAATTCTATCTGTTAAGAACAAAAAGAGAGCTAGTGAAATGCAAATTTGGTCCTTCCCCACCCCCAACACTTCCACATACATGTACATTCACATACTAAATCCTAACAGTAGCATGATTTAGAATCCCTCTTGTATGTCCCACCAAATAACCAGAATTGACACACATCTTTAATAGACATGGACTCTGGGACTCTAGGTCTAATTGCATACCCAAAGTCATTCCAATCAGATGTACATTCACCATTCAGGAGGGATTATTTTTCCACATCCTGCATTGAACAATTACTTAACCTGCCTGAAAAATGGCAATAGGCCAGGTGCGGTGGCTCACTCCTGTAATCCCAGCACTTTGGGAGGCCGAGGCAGGTGGATCATTTAAGGTCAGGAGTTTCAGACCAGCCTGGCCATCACGGTGAAACCCTGTCTCTACTAAAAAAAAAAATACAAAAATTAGCTGGGCATGATGGCAGGTGCCTGTAATCCCAGGTACTCGGCAGGCTGAGGCAGGAGAATTGCCGGAACCTGGGAGGCGGAGGTTGCAGTGAGCCGAGATTGCCCTACTGCACTCCAGCCTGGGCGACAAGAGTGAGACTCCATCTCAAAAGAAAAAAAAGAAAAATGGAAATAAATATCCATCCCATTCTCTGTCCTATAAAATTGTTGGGAAGATTACCTCAATTAATTTTCTCAATTTTTATATCTTTATATTTATTGAGATATATGATGTGTTAGGCACTATACTGCTTATTATAGGCTAATAAGATAAATAACTTTGCCCTTGAAGAGCTCTAAGCCTAGGATACAAGGTACTGTCAGTACATAGTTCTATAAAATTATTTTGAAAATATATTTCAGAAGAAAGATACAAATAAAATATATGTTGTGAAAATAAAATATTACTTTTGAATATAAGGGAGCTGTGAAAAAGGAGCAACAGAGATTGCTCAAGTAATACCTTTTTAGAAAGAAAAAGGTACTTAATGAGCTTGTGATTTCCATCTTTTCAGTGAGAACCAAGCGGGCCTCTCAGGGTCAACTATTAACATACTTGTAACTTAATGATATTTTCTTTGATGAAGAACCTAGTTGGTCAAATAATAAAATAACCTGATTACCTGACTGACTGATTACCCCTTAATTTTAAAAATCATGCTGAATATTTTGACAGGGGTGAGAACGTGGGAAAACATTCAAAATAGGAGAATGTCTAGACCTTAGAGAGATGAAACTTCAAGTAGTGAAAGGAGGGAGGGTGAATATGAGTATATATAGCAAAGTCTGCAGGAGAAAAATAGAATTTTTAAAATAAAACTAATGTTATGAACATCATCGAGTTTTCAAGGTCATGACTGTAGTCTAGAAAAAAAATTACTAGCTATTATTCTTCTCACCCCCGTAATTGAATATATAGTGTTTTTTTCTTGAGGGTTTTAATGAGATAAAAGTACCAAGTCTTGGTATCCTTTCCCTGGGCTGCTCAAACCTCACATAGATTGCTTTTATTTATAGGGTTAAGAAAACATTACTGAAAGCTGAATGCATTTGTAATTCATTCTGAGGATACCTGATCTGTGGGTTATATCCTGAATTATCACACCGTAAATTTTATTTTTCTCAGGTAAAACAAAACCCCTTTAGTTGCCTCTTCTATACCTGGAGTTACTATATCTTCAGGCACTCCCTTAGGGAGATCCTTTGACAAAGACAAATATGAACCTAAGGCTCAGCACCTTCTGTGAAGGCCCTGGGAAGGTTTAACCTGGAGCAGAGAAGCTTTCTTCAGATATTTAAAGGATGTGTAAAATATTAGGCATATTCTATACAGACCCCAAGGGTAGAACCATGATCAGTGGGTAGAATTCCTAGTGAGACAGATTGTGCTTCCTTGTAGGGAAGAATTGTCTAAGGTCAGGGTTGATGAAGGAAAGAATGAATACCCAAGAAGATAGGTGCTGGGACCCCTGCTCATGTCCAGAAACCTTTAAGTATCAGCAGCGAAAATTGCACTGGCCAAAGCTAAGCAGGCAAGGAAGTTTATTCAAGGATATTGCAATAGGGAGTGGAAGCTAGAACTAAATCTAGACTCAACTCTCTGCTGAAGAACGGGAAGGGTTTTTCTAAGAGTTGGGTGAGCTCGGGAAAAAGGCCTGGAGGTTGTTAAGGGGAAGTCATAAGCCATCTGTATTTATCAATTGTCTTTATCCAAAGGGAAAATACACTTTCCTTGTCTTTATGATAGAAGGTAGTTTTGCAACTTAGAATAAGGCAGGAATGTTCAACTCTCAGAAAAACTGGGAGATAGCGATGCTGTCTCCTTGTTGATTACATTTCAAAGAGATGGCTCCTAGGTCCTTGAGAGAGGTTGCAAAACTGACAAGAGGCTTTTAAAAAGATTTACATGTCAAAGGGGCAGAGAAAGGATTTATAATTACATGTTTTCTAAAGTAAATGCTATAAGGAAAGGGACATTAGGGACCTAGAGTCAGGAAGAAGCCTGCTTAAGGCTTAGGCAAGCTGAAGGAAAGGATAAGGCTGCTGGGTCAAGCACGTAGGAGGGATGTTGTAACCAAAAGTCAAGTGTAGAATGGGTGGTCTGAAAGGATCACCATTAAAATATCTTCCTGGACTAGCAGGGGACTCACATCTGTAATCCCAGTATTCTGGGAGGCTGAGGTGGGAGAATTGCTTGAGGTTAGGCATTCCAGACCAGCCTGGGTAAGTAACATGGTGAGACCGCCCCCCACCACCCATCTCTACAAAATATCAGCCAGGCATGGTGGTACACACCTGTAGTCCCAGTTACTTGGGAGGTTGAGGTGTGATGGTCTCTTGAGCCCAGGAGTTTGAGGCTGCAGTGAGCTATGATTGTGCCACTGCAGTCCAGCCTGGGCAACACAGTGAGACTCTATCTCTAAAAACAGTAAATAAAATAAGATAAAATATCTTAAAGATCTCAGATTTCCTGTGTCTGCACTTTAGCTAAAAAGATCAGGAAATGGGGAGCAGCTCACAAGGAATTCCATTCATTTAGATATTTATCCAGTCAGTGCTTCCACATTGTTTAGATGAAATGCCTGCATTTTTAGTGAGGGAGCTTGGATCGGTCTGAAATCTAGAGGCCCCATTTTCAAGTGAGATTCTGTTTCATACTAATTATTTTTCCTTCATTATGGCTTCCTTCCAGGACCCCAAATCATTTCCCTTTTCTGTTTGTAGAATTCAGGGATTTAAAAGTTCATGTTTTTGCAGTTGCATTCATCAGCATTAGGTAGAAACATTTGGTGGCACTGCTAATAAATTGTGAGCTTCTACTTTTAGTAACCAACTACCTCACTCAGGTTAAGGAAACCCAGGCATTATGAAGCTAATTAAACATAGTAAACATCCCCTCGGTTTTTTGCATTTGAATGGAAGAAAGGTATAAAAGTCAACAAAGCCTGTTTTATGCTTGTTTAAGAGTTTTGATGATAAGAGAAGAGGAAAAATATCACTAGAGCATTTATTTACCCTGCTCTTAAAAGGCTTTCAGATATAGTTTGTAGCTTTTGTTTTTATTAAATGTTGTGGTTCTTTATTGTATATTAATATTAATGGAGTTGCTGCCACTAAACTCACGGCCTATCCATATCATTTCAGACTGATTGGAATTGAAGGTGGGTGAACTTCAGTTCTTTCAGGGAGCCACAAATAAAAATACCCAGTAACAAAGGGATGATTGAATTTCCCAATAGAGTCTGTGCAAGGCTTGCTAATTTAGAGGGGCATTTTCAAATATTACAGTGGCTAGGATTTCCCTGGGGAGTTCACTTGGGCACAGCCAGTGAATCAGTGTTTAAATGACATTATTTTTAGAATGATTTGCAAGAAAGGACAAAAAAAAGTAAATAGATGATTTTATAATTAATATTTGAAGTGACTTGCAAGTGCAAATCATGCAAGACCCATTTGTCTCTTGGAGAGGCAGCTGAGCCCTCTTCTGTCCTGCTCTGCAGGATGTTAGGTCAGGGAAAATGCTCCTGGAGTAAAGCAGTGAATTTGCCTAACAGCTTCCCCGTTAAATGGCCAAGCTTTGATTATTACCCTTGATAGCTTTGCCCCTTCCCTTATTGCACAGATCCCTGCAGGCTGGTTTGAGATTGCTCCTCAGCTGAGGAGCAACCATAATTGGAAAAGATAACTGACCATCACACAGGATCTGTGGACATTTGTCAACTGCTGTCATCCTTACAGAGCTAGAAATGGCCCTTCCCCTATTCGGGAAATTAAGTCCACAAAGAGTTTTAGAATTTGGGACCTCTAAGCTTAGTCTAGCCCAACTCATTCATTTTACACAAAGGAAAATAAGGCCCAGAAAGTTTATGTGACCTGCATATGGTGGTATAATGTGTTGGGCACAGAGGGAGAATTATAACTCAGCTTTCCTCTCCCTGCTTGACTTTCCCTTCACCTGACACCATTTCTTTGTGATTAATTTTCTCAAGGTTAGAGGATAAGTTGGGGCTGATGTGTGAGTGGGAACACAGTTGTTAATCAGCTATTAAAAAAAAACAAAAACAAAAAAAACCTGCCTACTTTGGACAGCCTCCCTCTGGCCAGCCAAGTGTGGAATCCCTCTTTTTTTTTTTTTTTTTTTTTTTTTGGTAATCACACAGGACCCTCCGAGGAAGCCTGTCCCTATGCTTTACTGAAAAGCTATTTCCCAAGTGTTGTTTTCCTTAATGATCCCAACCACTCTGATTGTCTCTTGCTGTTATACATATGGGAAAATCATGGCCAGAGGTGTTCAACACCTTGCCCAAAATCCATAGCTTATAAGTGTAGGAAATGAGATTTGAACAAAGATCTTTGTGATTCTAACACCTTGGGTCTCTAGCCAAAATTATATGTTAATTTGGCCTCATTCTCACTTTCATCTAAACAACTGATTTAGCCAAATGTAAGGTGTGATTCAAACTGGTGTGTAGTGAGGGCCATGCGAGGTGGCATTTGTTGCCTGGAAACTTCTTCCTTCATTTTCTACCCCACGTTTCCTCTTGGGTATTCCAGCCTAAGTTTACTTCTGTTCTTTCCCCATGTAGCTGTGGAGACAAGCACCTATTCTAAAATCACTGCTCCCTCTAGAATGGATTTCCCTCTCTGCCTCTTTATAAAGCCTTAAAGCAGGTATTGTTCAAAATGGACATCTGAGTTCTTATGGGAGTTCTATGGGTCATTCTTACATCTGCGCTTCCATGGGGTCTGCAGACTTTACTGACCCTTTGAGAGAGGAAGGCACCAGCTCGTGGGTGGAGTTGTTGAATAGAAGGCGTTCACTTCCACTGCTGAGGGGGAAAACAAGAAAGCCTCTTTCTTCCAGTTAGTTTGGGAAGATAAAAGTGAAAGGCTTCATTTCGTAGAAGTAGAGGAAAAGATTTGTTTAGTTTGTTGCTGTACCTAGTAACAATGATGCATTTCCTTTTCTTTTCTCAAAAAAAGGGCTTAAAAACAAAAACAAAAACAAAAACAAAACAGTGAGCCAGTGAGAGAAAGAATGAGTGGTGACTAAGACAAAAAAACAGGGAATCCATAGATTGATGAAATATCTCATTTGCAAACGAAACTCTAAAGAAGGTGAGGTTGGTGCTAATAAGCAGCTCCCACTGCCAAGTGTGAATTTGAAGGCTGAGCCTGGCAAGTTCAGTCGGGTGTGTGCCTTCTGCCTTGCGTGCCTGCAGGATGGATACACTTTTGCATGACTGGAACCAAGACCTCTCATTCTCTCTCTCTTTTTCTCTGTCCTCCCTGCATGCATGTGCACATGAGCATGCATCACATAAACACACACACTACATTCCGCTTCAACTTATTGCATAAAGGTTTGTTCAGCTGGCTACTTCAGAGAGGGTATATTTTCATGAGTAGCAATGGTTTGGTGGAAGAGCCAAGGAAAAAGATGTGACGCTTAGGAGTTCAGATTAGCAATTCAGCTTTACCTGACTTACCAAGGATTCTGTGGTGTTGATTCAGGCTTATCAAAATTTTGAAAGACTGCTTGAAAAACTAGAATTTTTTTTCTTTTCTTTTCTTTTTTTTTTTTTTTTTTTTTTTGAGATGGAGTCTCGCTCTGAAACCCAGTCTGGGGTGCAGTGGCATGACCTCAGCTCACGGCAACCCCCACCTCCTGGGTTCAAGCAATGTATGTATGACCAAAGGTAATAAACTACGGGGAACTGAGAAAGGCATGTTTATTGAGATTTTTCTTCATCTCTCTGTGTAGCATTCTTTTCCTTCAGGTATGCGGCAGGACACCTGTCACATGAAGATCTTATGGCCCATTTTCAGGGATGATGAAAGCTGGCCTTTGTGAATAACCTTCACACAGAAAGGTTGGGGAAAGTCAGAGAATTACCTTTCTGCTTCTGGTGTTTTCTCAATTTCTAAGGTAACGTGTTTTGAAGCAGTGTGTTCTAAGTACCCATAAAAGCTTTATGAAGAGTTTTGTTTTGTTTTGAGATGGAGTCTCGCTCTGTCGCCCAGGCTGGAGTGCAGTGGCGCGATCTCGGCTCACTGCAACCTCCACCTTCCACATTCAAGCAATTCTCCTGCCTCAGCCTCCCGAGTAGCTGGGATTACAGGCACCTGCCACCAAGAATGGCTATTTTTTTTTTTTTTTTTTTTTTTTTTTTTTTTTTTAGTGGAGACAGGCTTTCTCCATTTTGGCCAGGCAAGTCTTGAACTCCTGGCCTCAAGTGATCCACCAGTCTTGGCCTCCCAAAGCGCTGGGATTACAGGCACGAGCCACAGTGCCCAGTTGTATTAAGAGTTTTAATTGACAAGCAGGGATCACTGAGACAGCCACAGAATGACCAAGGCCCTCAGAGGCAGGTGGTCCTGAGTTCCGAGTTTTCTCCAGCATTTATAACTATGTGACCTTGAACCAATTATCCTCTCCAAGTTTGCTTTCTCATCTCGTGGAACATAACACCTACTTTGCAGGATTCTTGTGAGGTTTAAACAAGAGAACATCCCTGGAGTTATCTAGCAGAATATCTGACAGGCTGATTCTCATATTCTGTAATAGCCTGTGCTTTCTGCAAGGAAAATTCCCAGAAGGGAAACTAGTTGGAAAGCAAAATTAATAATAAATTAAAAAAATATATAATCAGATATAGTTCAGCCATCTTAAAGGAATGTTGTATAATTAAACTCTAGAATCTTAATATCTTTATAAAATAACCAGTTGCTTCTATTCTATGTAAGGTGTTCTCTTTCTTGGTCTTTCTGGAGAAATCCACTCATCTGCTCAAGCTAAATGAAGGATGAAAAGGGGAATACTTCAAATATAAATGTCTGTGAAATCATGTCTTAGCTCAAAACCTAGTGGCTCATTGCAATCAGGGTTAAAAACAAAAACAAAAACCTTATTGTTATAAAGACCCACAAGGCCTTATGTAATTGGGACCCCTCCTTCCCCAACAACCACAACAAAATAACCCTTTGCCAGGCTGGGCGCAGTGGTTCACTACTGTAATCCCAGCACTCTGGGATACCGACATGGGTGGATCACTTGAGGTCAGGAGTTCGAGGCCAGCCTGGCCAACATTGTGAAACCGTGTCTCTACAAAAACTACAAAAATCTGCCGGGTGTGGTAGTGGGCACCTGTAATCCCAGCTGCTCAGGAGGCTGAGGCAGGAGAATTGCTTGAACCCAGAAGGCAGAGGTTGCTGTCAGCCAAGATTGCCCCACTGAACTCCAGCCTGGATGACAGAGTGAGACTCCATCTCAAAATAAATAAACAAACAAATAAATAAAAATAACCCTTTGCCCTCAACTTCTGTCTCTCTTCCCCATTACTCTTCTTTAAACATGTCAGGCGTGCTCCTGCCTCGGAATCTTTGTATTTGCCTTCCTGCTACCTAGAACAGTTATTTCCAATATACCCACAAAGTGCATTCTCTCTCACCTCCTTCTGGGGGGAACTTCTAGAGAAGATAATCTTCCACATGGTTTACATTTTTGTATCAGTTTCTGGGAGTGTCCATGTCTGACCTTGTGCCCTGATTCTGAAATCCCCTTTAAGTCCAGATTGACTCCATTTATTATTCAGGCACAAACTAGCATCCATTTAGAAAGCTTGCTGAATAAGCAGACTGGAGGAATGTAAATACATGCAGAATTATTCCATATCTCAGATCCAGAAAGGCCTATGGGCACGGATGGGTGCCTATGCTAAATAAGAGCTGGCATAAATCTTAACCTAGAATTGGAATTTAAAATGGAACTTTATTTGAGCTTCAAAATGGACTTTCTGGAACTCTCTCAAAGGAATAAATAAATAAATATAGAAACGGATTACATGCTATGGTGCATCTTGACATGTAGATTGGGAATATTTGCATTGATATTATAAGAGAGAATATTTGTAGCAGGTATCTGGATATCTCATAACAATTGTTAATCGAGGAGGGAAAGTAAATGAATCGTTGGACTTAGATTTCCACTAATTCAAGTGTGTAGTGGAATTGTGGTGGATCTCAGCTGAAAATAGGTGGCTGTAGATTTATGAGTTAGAATCAGACTTCACTATTTTACGGTACATAAGTGGGTACACAGTTGTAGTACATGGGTGTGTGTCTGTATGTATTTGTCTACATGAAACCAAAGTTCAGGAATGTGTCATTGCAAACATTTAACACTTGTCCGTCCCTTTCGCCTTCCTTTTCTCTCTTCCTGCTTCATTTATATAATCAATGATGCCTGCTCTAAAATCCCTTCCTGGCTCTCACCCCATCTCCACTGCTGCCATATCTGCTGGCACGTGAACTTTTCCCCATCTTCCCACTTATCCTACTTTATTAAAAAGGCTGATAATTTTCTCATTCTTATTAAATGTAAGTTTTATAAGATCAATGATCATGTCTAGCTTGTTTTCTATTATATTCTGAAATAATAATATAGTATTTGGCACATAATAGGTGCTTAATAATACTGACTTCGTGAATGGGTGAATTGATCTAGGGCTGACTAGATATGAAGTACTGTGCTAGATCCTGAAAGGCATTTATCAGAAATTGCTTTTGTTCCCCTGACACTTGAAATGTTGTTGAGATAAAACATACTCTCCTAGCATAGTCTAATGCAATAGATTATATGAAACAAAGTGATTGCTATTATCAGTTCTTGTTAGAAATCAGAGATAAGCCAAATCCTGTGGACTATGTCATGGGGAATGATGGAGTTCTAGAATTTGAATGGAAAGAAAGGGAAAATATGGTGGAACAGCATGAATTTGTGTGACTCAAAATTAGCGATGGGAGAATTTGGATTAGAAGGTAGACTTATTCTACGGAAAGTCCTAAGCGTAAGCTGAGCTGTAAGGCCCTCAACTCAGTAGCTATGTGGAAGCTTTGGTCATTTCTGAGCAAGAAAAGGATATAATGCAATCACCGTTTTAATAAGATTAATATGTGCAGCTGAGTGCAGCATGGATTATCTGTTAGTAAATAAAGCACATGTTTGTGTGAACCTGTGAATTGATATGATAGGTGAGTGCCGGTCTGATTAATTATAAACTCCCATGGGGTCAGATAAGCAGGTAAATGAAGGAGGCTAATCTTGAGGTTAGCACAATTTATGGAGGCTCAAGCTCAAGTGTTATACTTGAGAGAATTATTAGCACAGGAAGCTTCAGCATACACAACGTTAATTTTTCCAGCAGAAATAAACTTCTCAATCAATCCTATAGCTTGTATTTCTGAGTGAAGCTAATAGATTATAAAAGAGTATCGGGTTCTGGATTAGTTATTTTGTTGTGTGTTATTTCTGTTTTACCTATTTGGTGCAAGATGGGGCATGATTTTAACCCTTTCAGTATCCCAATAGTGTGATATTGAATTATCCAATTAGCAAGCAATTTTACCCAGTAAGAAATAATGTGGTCTCCATAGCCAGAAAGCCTTTGGATTTTAATTACAACACTGCCTTCACTAGTGATCTTGGGTAAGTTATAACTTGAGCCCATTTTGCTATAATTATGCTTCAAAGAATCATTAAAAGGATTGTAATTACATTTGTATATACAGAGTAATAGATCTTTTAATATGATAATAATAGCTAATATCTACCTACTATAGGCCAGACACTGTACTTAGAGCCCATGTTCATTATCTCAATTAATTGAGTAGACACTTTTGTAAAATCTTAGATCTACTCTGCCTTTCCAATGAGAAATGTACTCAATAATGCAAATTGTATGTGCTTTGCTTCATGCCATTTGCATACTTGTGCATGTGTATATATGAATGTGTGTGTGCATGTCCATGTGTGTTGTATGTAGGAGAGGGAATTGAAAGGTGGGAAAATGTTCCAAGGTAAGTTACAGGTTACGGTAACAAACAAGAGACTGTCTTTAAGGGAATCAAGTCATGGGCAGACTTGCATGTTGCAATAGGTTTTGCTTTTGTTCATCCCATTTACTTCCTTCCCTAGTCCAGAATGGTTCTGGCTGGTTTTCCTTTGCTGTTCACCTGGCTTGGGATAGGCTTGTCCAGTTGGATCATAAATGCTGTAGAATCAGTATATCTGTTCCCTGAGGTTTTGTTCCTGTGTGTCCCAGGTTTTCATTCTGTTTGTTTCATCCTTTTTTACCCCTTCGTAGTGTCTGCCCTAAGTAATTCCTAAGCCTTCTCTATTAAAGCCTGTGTGCATTTGCCTGTTCAATCCTTATCCACGAGAAGCAAAAAGCTCCTACTAGAAACACAAGAGTTTGTGCAATGTATTCTGAACCTCTTAGGTTAAAAGACACTCAAACAAATGTCTTTCTGGGAAAAATGCAGAATTCTTTAAGCTTTACGATTCCTATGGTTCAGGTAAGGTGTCTTTGACAGCCAGAATATACATTCACTTTTACTTTGGACACTATATAGATTATTACTGAAGTACTATATCGGGAATTCCATTTGTGGTGATTTTTGACAAATTGCCACACCTTATAAATACTTCATATTTTCACAGTCTAGCCCTGCTCTTTGCCTCTCAGACAAGTTCTAAGAAATTATGTATATATTTTTGGACATGCTAATCAAATCTTCTTTGCCCTCTGGAAGTCAAGGAAATCTTTTTTTTTTTTTGACAATCACCTTTTTATTTGCCATACAATTTTTTTATTTGCCATACAAATCTTTACATATTAGAATTTAAGGTGTTCTATATACATTTTAACCAAATAAAATGATTCTTGACAAAATACCCATGAAGAGGTGATTTTTTTTCATTTCCAAGATGAACAATTTCTCCCTTTTCCCCTCATTTCAATAAAGCAAAAATTTTACATGCCCTTCAGGGCACACTCTGACCCCACCTCTGCTACCCACATCCTTGCCCCTGACAAGAAATCTTAGAACAGTTTTTATTTCTTCTTTTCTCTCACCCCAATCTCAACCCCTACATTTTGCTTTTATTAATTTTAGATTTCCCTTAAATTCATAGCTTTCAGTTTCAAGAATCTAATTGGGTTCTTATTCCACACATTGCAGGCTGTTTATTCATATCCATTAGATTTAAAGACTTCCCCTCCCCACATTCTTGCCCCATTTGAGGTCACTATTTTTTTCCTCTAGTCTTTTCTAGTGTGTATACCTTAGACTGTATGATGTAAAGGAATCTTCACTGAATTCCTGTACAACAATATTTTCTCCTTATAGTCAGTGCCATGATCACTGGCTACAGGATTCCTGAGTTGCAGCCTTCCTTTTTTCTTTTTTCTTTCTTTTTTTTTTTCTTTGAGACGGAGTCTCACTCTGTCGCCCAGGCTGGAGTGCAGTGGCGCACTCTTGGCTCACTGCAAGCTCTGCCTCCCGGGTTCACGCAATTCTCCTACCTCAGCCTCCGGAGTAGCTGGGACTACAGGCTCCCGCCACCACACCCGGCTAATTGTTTGTTTTTTTTTAAGTAGAAACGGGGTTCCACCGTGTTAGCCAGGATGGTCTGGATCTCCTGACCTCGTGATCCGCCCACCTCGGCCTCCCAAAGTGCTGGGATTACAGGCGTAAGCCACCATGCCCGGCCGCAGTCGTCTTCTTTAATAATCTATAGATTTTTTGTTATTATACTTTAAGTTCTGGGATACATGTGCAGAACGTGCAGGTTTGTTACATAGGTATACATGTGCCGTGGTGGTTTGCTGCACCCATCAACCTGTCATCTACATTAGGTATTTCTCCTAATGCTATCCCTCCCTTTGCCCCCCACCCCCCGACAGGCCCCAGTGTGTGATGTTCCCCCCACTGTGCCCATATGTTCTCATTGCTCAGCTCCCACTTATGAGTGAGAACATGTGGTGTTTGGTTTTCTGTTCCTGTGTTAGTTTGCTGAGAATGATGGTTTCCAGCTTCATCCATGTCCCTGTAAAGGACATGAACTCTTTCTTCAGGAACTCTTGTAAGGCAGGCCTGGTGGTAATAAAATTCCTCAGCATTTGCTTGTCTGGAAAAGATTTTATTTCTCCTTCACTTATGAAGCTTAGTTTGGCTGGATGTGAAATTCTAGGTTGAAAATTCTTTTAAGAATGTTGAATATTGGCCCCCACTCTCTTCTGGTTTGTAGGGTTTCTGCAGAGAGATCTGCTGTTAGTCTGATGGGCTTCCCTTTGTGGATAACCTGATCTTCCCTCTGGCTTCCCTTAACATTTTTTCCTTCATTTCAACCGTAGAGAATCTGACAATTATGTGCCTTGGGGTTGCCATTCTCTAGGAGTATCTTTGTGGCGTTCTCTGTATTTCCTGAATTTGAATGTTGGCCTGTCTTGCTAGGTAGGGGAAGTGCTCCTGGATAATATCCTGAAGTGTGTTTTCCAACTTGGTTCCATTCTCCCTGTCACTTTCAGGTACACCAATCAAACATAGGTTTGGTCTTTTCACATAGTCCCATATTTCTTGGAGGCTTTGTTTGTTCCTTTGCATTCTTTTTTCTCTAATCTTGTCTTCATGCTTTATTTCATTAAGTTGATCTTCAATCTCGGATATCCTTTCTTCCACTTGATCGATTCAGCTATTGATACTTGTGTATGCTTCACAAAGGTCTCGTGCTGTGTTTTTCATCTCCATCAGGTCATTTATGTCATTCCCTAAACTGGTTATTCTAGTTAGCAGTTCCTGTAACCTCATATCAAGGTTCTTAGCTTCCCTGCATTGGGTTAGAACATGCTCCTTTAGCTTGGATGAGTTTGTTATTACCCACCTTCTGAAGCCTTCTTCTGTCAATTAGTCATACTCATTCTCCGCCCAGTTTTGTTCCCTTGCTGGCGAGGAGTCGTGATCCTTTGGAGGAGAAGAGGCATTCTGGTTTTTGGAATTTTCAGCCTTTTTGCACTGGTCTTTCCTCATATTTGTGAATTTATCTACCTTTGGTCTTTGATGTTGGTAAGCTTCGAATAGGGTTTTTGCATGGTCATCCTTTTTGTTGATGTTGATACTATTGCTTTCTGTTTGTTAGTTTTCCTTCTAACAGTCAGGCCCCTCTTCTGCAGGTCTGTTGGAGTTTGCTGGAGGTCCACTCCAGACCCTTTTGCCCTGGTATCACCAGCAGAGGCTGAAGAACAGCAAAGATTGCTGCCTGCTTCCTCCTCTGGAAGCTTCCTCCCAGAGGGGCACCCACCAGATGCCAGCCAGAGCTCTCCTGTATGAGGTGTCTATCGACCCCTGCTGGGAGGTGTCTCCCCATCAGGAGGCACAGGGGTCAGGAACCCACTTTAGGAGGCAGCCTGACCCTTAGCAGAGCTCGAGCACTGTGCTGGGAGATCCTCTGCTCTCTTCAGAGCCAGCATACGGGAACATTTAAGTCTGCTGAAGCTGCACCCACAGCTGCCCCTTCCCCCATGTGCTCCGTCCCAGGGAGATGGCAGTTTTATCTATAAGCCCCTGACTGGGGCTGCTGCCTTTCTTTCAGAGATTCCCTGCCCAGAGAGGAGAAATGTAGAGAGGCAGTCTGGCTACAGCGGCTTTGTGGCACTGTTATGGGCTCTGCCTAGTCCGAACTTCCCAGTGGCTTTGTTTACACTGTGAGGGGAGAACAGACTACTCAAGCCTCAGCAATGGTGGACGCCCCTCCCCCCACCAAGCTCAAGCTTCCTAGGTCAACTTCAGACTGCTGTGCTGGCAGCGAGAATTTCAAGCCAGTGGATCTTAGCTTGTTGGGCTCCATGGGAGTGGGATCCATTGAGCAAGACCATCTGGCTCCCTGGCTTCAGCCCACTTTCCAGGGTAGTGAATGGTTCTGTCTCGCTGGTGTTCCAGGTGCCACTGGGTATGAAAAAAAACTCCTGCAACTAGTTCAGTGTCTGCCCAAATGGCCACCCAGTTTTGTGCTTGAAACCCAGGGTCCTGGTGGTAAAGGCACCCAAGGGAATCTCCTGGTCTGCAGATTGCGAAGACCGTGAGATAAACATGGTATCTGGGCTAAATAGCACCGTCCCTCATGGCTGCCCTTGGCTAGGGGAGGGAGTTCCCCAACCCTTTGTGCTTCCTGGGTGAGGCGATGCCCAACCCTGCTTCTGCTCGCCCTCTGTGGGCTGCACCCACTATCTAACCCGTCCCAGTGGGATGAACCAGGTACCTCACTGGAAAAGCAGAAATCACCCACCTTCTGTGTTGTTCTCGCTGGGAGCTGCAGACCAGAGCTGTTCCTACTCCACCATCTTGCCCGGGAATCAAGGAAATCTTATGACTATTTTATTATCCTTGAAATACAATATAGCCAAATATTGATATGATATTTTGATATGATCAATCATATCAATGTCTAATCTTTCAGATTAGACATCAAGTGCCTATATAATGTTATCATAACTCATATTCAAATATGAACTAGTTCACATATATATATAACAATTATAGACTTTTATTTATTTATTTATTTGAGACAAGGTCTCACTCTGTCACCCAGGGTGGAGTGCAGTGGGGTGATCATGGATCACTGTAGCTTTGACCTCTTGGGCTCAAGCGATTCTTTTGCCTCAGCCTCCTGAGTAGCTGGGACTACAGGTGCATGCCACTATGGCTGGCTAATTTTTCATTTTTAGTAGAGATGAGGTCTCACTATGTTGCCCAGGCTGGTCTTAAACTCCTGGGCTCAGGTGATCCTTCTGCCTCAGCCTCCTGAAGTGCTGGGATGACAGGCAAGAGCCTCTGCGTATAGCCAGTTATGGAATTTTAGACCAAGAATTATTAAAAACTTTAGAGAATATGTAAACTCTGAATGACAAATGGGTTTCATCCTTAATGCCAACTCTGATTGATAAGATGTAATTATATGAGTTACAGTGAGGATTTTTGGCTGCATCCAAGTCACCTGGGAAGAACACTGCACTCAATTAGTAATGCTGGGACATGACAGGAATGGGAATTGCCACAATCATGCAAGAAATTTAACACATTTCCTTTAAAACAAAAACACTGAGGCACAAAGAAGTTATATTATTTGCATGTTTAGAGTGCAGGATAAATGTGTGCTTAGAGTGTGGACTGGAGAAGGTGAAACATCTACAGTATTTTGAAAGTAGAATACAATTTGAGAAAATGAAACAGGAAAGTAATTCCTTGGTGAAGTCATTCAAACCTGGGTCTTTTTTATTCTTAGTGTTGGTGGTGCTGTTTATGAGAGGTGGTCAAGCAGCTGGCCTTGGAGTCACATTAACCTAGGTTCAGATTTTGGTTCCCATCACATGGGGCCATTTTCCTGAGCTCCTGTTTCCTCATTTGTAAAATTAAATACTGGGTTGATTGATGTGTTGTGTGCGAGGTGCTCGGCATAATGCTAAGTAAGTACTCAAGTAATATATTCAATAGTAGTAGCAATAGTAGCTGCCTTTTCCCTGACTAGATCAAAAAACTAAATCAACACATTTTGACCAAATGAAAGACCTCTTGAATCTGCAAATATCCCAAGCTCCCTTTGCTGTAAGCTTTCCCCTCAGGGAAATTGAAGGTGGGAGGTGGGAGGTTCTTTTGAAAATGCGTTGAGAAAAATGATATAAAAATCCAATTTTCTATCATTGTCATCACTTTTTTTCTTATTCTGTAGCACCCAGATTCTCTGACTCAGGCTAGACACATGAGTATAACTATTTGCTTATTCAAGAAATCCTTACTTTCTAGATTGCATCCTCAGGTAAAATCATTTTATGTTTTAATGACTTCATTAAAATCCCCCCCAGCCCCATTTCTTCAGGAATTGTCACATATTAAAATTCGTGTTCAAAGCATATCTAAGCAAGACGGTGACTTTTCGAGTTCATGTTCTAATTGATGACACAAACTGCTAATTAAATGCATCTGTGTCCAATCAAAACATATCTAGAATTCAGCAGTGCAGCTGTGTGCCAGAGGAACCGCATGGTAGATTTGATTGGTGATGGCATGAGGACATAATTTGTCCTTCGGCCAGTGGTTCCCAAGTCTGGCAGAACCTGAGAATCTTCTGGAGGAGCTTTTAAAAATCCATCCAGTATTCTCTTTGCCCCACCTCCAACATTGGCACCCTAAGAATTTTATTTTATCTGTAACCTCCCAAAAAGATTTCTAATGATCAGCCAATGTTGCAAATTATAGTTCTATATCTAAAGTATTTGGATGGAGCAGAAAGAAGGCCTGGCTTGGTTCAGAGTTCTTAAATTCACTCGCCTCTAGATTCTCCCATTTTCATCAAAATCTCAGTTTAGTTCTTATTTTCTTATTGCATCTTCTCTGCCATCCTCATGGGGTTTTATAGCCTGCTGAAAACTGCAGCTTTTTTTCACTTTAACAGAAAAAGCAGGTGAGTCTTTGGCTTTGCTTCAATGTTGCTGGATATGAAGTTTCTGTTTATAATAGTCTGCTCTTTAGAAACCTCATTTGCTGTGATTCTGTGGGTGATTATGAAAAGTTTGTATTGAGTAACTATAGGCAGTTCCCAGGTAGAACAAAGGCTAGTTGTTATAAATAATATTGACAACATGGTGCATTTTAGATAGCATGTATGTTTAAAAAGTTAACCTACATTGCTCAATGTTATCCTTAAAAGTTGTATTTTCTTGTCAAAACTATTTCCGTCATGCTCATTCTCAGAGTCTTATCCTCCTCCAAAGATAACTGCCCTCAAATTGGCACATATATTCGAATGATCACATAGAGGCCTTATTTAAGTAAAATAAAACTTAAGTACTACATTCATCATCTCTTTTTATGTTATGGTTTGATCTTTTAGCCAGTGTCTCTTCTGGTTGTTATTTAAATCGACTTCAAGTCAAGTAGCTACTATGTGAAGTGCCAAGCCCGTTGCTAATTATGTTTCTATCACCTCACTTCTTTTTATAGAAGGGTTCGAAGAAGGGATCATGATGCTGCTTTTCTACAGTTGAAGAAACTGAGGCCCACGGAATAGCTGTATGAACCCAGGTCTTCCTAACTATAAAACCAAAGCAAATAGGTTATATTTTTTTGTCCTAGGGAATCTATGTAAGGCCAAAACACAACACAATGGTTTACCCTAGGAGGTAAAGAACCAGGATTTATAGAACGAGGTTGTTTAAAATCCAATTTGTAATAACAATTTTAAAAAGAATGATTGAGAAACAGCTTTTAAAAAACATTAAAAAGAACCTAGCAGATTCTATTAAAAGGGGAAATAAAGGAAAAGAAACAAAGAAATCTCATTTTTAAAATATTTACTAGATCACAGCAGAAACAGAAAGAAATAAGACCATGACGTTAAATTAGAGTTTCAGGTGGGTGACCTAAATCTTAGAGCCCAAGCGTATGAATAAAGGCCTGGCCCAGATCCAAAAGGCAAACAGCAGACAGACTGGTTTTGTTGACACACAATCGTGTTTGCCCATTACATAATAAATTTTCCCTAATGCTAGAACACTTAAGAGATTGAATGAAAGCCTCCATGACTGTTTGAGGTAATTTAATGCCAAAATTTATTCCTTAAAGAAGTTATTAATCAATAGAATATCAAAGACTTGCATAGGTGTGCACAAAGAAAGCTTTTATGTCAACTGTTTCTGCATCCTTTTCATTTCATGTCATCAAGGTCTACTTTAAAGCCTCTTTCCAGGAATCAGGACCATAATTTGTATTTGGCATTGGATGTAGATGTATGTGTGTGTGCATGTGTGTGTGTGTTTGTATAATATTTTCCCCCTATTCGGAGTTAGTAGCCCCCTGGTTTATAGAGCATGAGAAAGGAACCTTGCTGCCTTCTGCACCAGTTTTGAACAGAGCAAACCCTGCTCTGATATAAATCTTTTTGTTCAAACCTTTTGAAACCATAAAAATGATAACAATGAAAGTATGCATGAGTAGAAACATGCAAGGTAGAAAAATGATGCAAACTCAATACAGTAAAATACCTTTAAACTCAATAATAACAGTTTGCATTTCTTTTTGTATTTTTGATAATAGGAGCTCTGTGAACAAACATTCATCCTGATTTTTACTAAAAATTTCATTACTTGATGCCAAATATATTGTGTTCACATGAGTCCTCTGTAGTCATATGTTTAAGGAAATTCACTGAAATGTGAGAGATGAATAGAATAAATATTTTGCAAACACAATTTAAGGTTGTAGGACCAAAAAGGAAGTCAGAATTTCACTTTGCTCTTGGCACCAAGACCTTTGCATTTAGAAAAATAATTCAAGGTTCAGTTGAAGAAACAATATCATTTGATTTCGGCTGGTAGTTCACCTTCATTATTTTGCTACTGATAAAACTGTCTTCTTAATGCTTCAGGTGAGAGTTTTTCTATCTTCCTTCAGTATTCTTCACTTTAAAATAGTCATCTAATTAGTTATTTTATACTGGGCCTTAAACAGTAGATCTTTAAACATAATTCCCTTAAATTAATATCCCTGAATATTCTCTGTCCTTCCGCTAACCCCCTTTTACTTCTGGCTGGCTAGCAGAGGATCTCTCTCCTTCTCTTTCCCCGACCCCCACACACCTTTCTCTTTTCCTCCTTCCATGCATTTTTCTCCTCTAACGGCTGATTTCTGGAGTGAGAGTGTCTGTTGCATCTGTTCTCTACAGGGTATTGATTGTAAAAGCTCCTCATCTATGAAAGTCATTTGGAATCCTCTACCCAACCTAGTGATGGAGGAACTGATTTTACTCCAGAAAGGAGGCAGTGTATTGCTGGGAGGGCAAAGGAAGTTGAAAAATGATCAGAACATCTAACTTGCCAGAGTCCCTTTCCTTCTCTTTGCCCTTGCGTGTATACCACAGATGGCTGGGCTGGTTAATCTTCAGGGTCTTTCTCAGTGGTGCCAATATCGTGTGGTGCTTGAAACTGGGCTGCTCCTTTTCAAGAGAAGATCAGAGGCACCTCTGTGGGCAGAGAAGGGGAGGTAGACAGCGTTCCCATTTTCCCTATCTGATAAGGAATTGCAACAGGCCTTCTGAGAGCTGTCAATCCAAACATTTACACACAGAGCAAAGCCAATAGAAATGCAGCAATCCAAAATTTTTATGAAAAACACTGATTCAGCAGCTCAAAAAAAAAAAAAAGAAAGAAAATTTTCTCCCGAAAGGCATTTCACCTTGAAGTATTCTCATCTTCAGCTGAGTGTGCCTCTGCTGCTCCCGAGCAGTGTTAAGAGTTCAGATGTAATTTTGCATTTGGCATGAAGCCAGCTATCAAAGCAAAGAGAGAAGTCAGGGTTCAGGCTTCCTTAGGCTTCCCCCACCACCCCCACTGCTGAGTGGTTGAAATTTATTCTATTTTATTTTTTCCCAGGCAGGGAGAGATGATCCGATTTGAGCCCCAGGCAGTCGCCGCGGCTCCTTTGTTGGTTCTCCTGCTTGGCAGAGGCCTGCTATGGCCTGACTGAAATGTGTCAGTGGCAGCAGTTGCTGCCATCCCCCAGCACAGCCCTGCCACTCTCAAGCCACCGAGGGCATCCTGCACAAAATGCTTCCTGACAGAGGGGCCCCAGCCACACAGAGAGATCAAGTGGTAGGGTGCACAGGGGTGAGAGGATTTGCTTAAAGGGGGAAACCAAATCCATCCATCAGCATCTCTTCCTTATTGAGCCGGTAACTGCAGAAATGTCAGAGAGAGGCAGGCTTTCAGGAAGCCTACCTTCCCCTGGCAGTGATGTGCTTTTATTGTGCAGACTCGAAGAGATCTAGTGTAAACTTATGCTGAGCCCGACAGCCTAGTGTCATTGTGCTACTGGCCGAGCAAAGATTGCGTAATCTATGGCTTTGAAGAGGAAGACATAAAGGTGATGTAGACTCATAGACTAGGCGTCATACATCCGTGTGACCATGCAGAACAGGCTTTCCAGTTTCTAAGCCCTCCAGCTGCACTAGAGACTGTAAGAAAAAGCTTTGTGCTTTGTTTTTCACAGCCCCAACAATATCCAATTCAGAGAGATTTGGTCTGGGAAGGAGAGAGGAGGAGGAATGAAGAACATCTTAGTCATGTCCTATTTTTTGCCCATCCAGGGTATCTGTCTCGGTCTTCTTCCTGGCATCCTTGCTGGGAAAAATAAAAAGCTTAAATTTGGGAGACAGGAGAGTCAGGAGAAATTCCCAGACACTCAGAAAAATGGGAAAAGCATTAACTAAAATTATGATACAGGGTAAGTCAGTCCTACCACATTGTAGACTCCCTGTTTTGTGCCTTTGATAGTTTATTTATTCATGTATTCATTCCCCCATTAAATCACTCAATAGATTATTGCTGAGCATCTCCTGTAGGTAGAACCAGAGTCTAGAATAGTGAACAAGAAACAATCAAGGTGCCGTCTTCCTAGAAGCTCTCTTATAAACAAATAAGCAAGCAAAATACAGATTGCAGGAAGTACTAAGGAGAGGTAAATTGGATTCTATGGTAATTGGAGACAACAGGGGAAAGTGATACTGCTTGGCATTGGGAGGATGGAGAAGGCTCCTGTGAGGACAATAAGGAACTGAAAGAAGACAATGAGCAACCACGGGAAGGGGGAGGGACAGGGGAAGAACATTCCAGGGTCCTGGACGTTGCATCTTTCTGAGACGTCCAGGGACTCAGTGCTTCTCCTGCTGTTCCTCCTCCCATCCTCATGCAAGACCTCAGGTATCCAACTTAATCTCCATTACTTTATAACTATGTTACCTTGAGCAAGTTTCTTCACCCCTCTCGTGCTCTTTCTTTGTCTGAAAAATGGGGATTATAGAAACTATAGGCCACATATTGATGATTATTTTAATATAAAATATTTAAAAATTCTAGCACAGTGCCTGGCACTTTGGAGGCGCTTGACAAAGCTTAGTTCCCATTCTCATGCTTCTCATGCTTCTCACTAAATTTCCTTCATTACACCTTTTCAGATGCCTAACTAAATTATAAGTGGCAACTCCTCCTAGAGATAGTAGCATGTTAGGAAGGGCCAAATGGTGCAGCGTCAGTCCCTGTATGGGAAAGGTTGTGGTTGGGGGTGGGGTGGTAATGGAGGAGTTTCTTGGGCTCTTGAATCAAGGCTTGTTGACAGCTGCCTACAATTTCTATTAAGCCCTGGAGGCTGAAAATCCTGGTTTTCAGCCCTGTAATTCTGTCTTTGGGGTAGGTACGGTCAAGGTGGCCCATGCTTGCTTGAGAAAAGGGTGATGTTGAAGAAGAGTTATTATAAATGAATACACACAAGCACATGTATATACACAATAGGTAAAATGGAAACATCCCAAAAGCTAAGTGCAGTTAGCTTAACCATTTCAACATATCACTCTGCCCCTCCTAAAAGTGTTCACACTGTGTCCCATTGCTGTACTCAGCTGGCTGTCAACCAAGGTGTTAGCTGATAACAGATTCTTACTGATGGTTTCCCTTGTAAGGTTTTACACCTGTCATGAAACTTGTTTAAAACTCACTTTGCACACCTTATTTAAATGTTATCGTGTGAAACAATCTCTCCTGGGATAAATAGGGATTTGTAGCAGGAAGCGCAGCAGAAAGGAGGCAGCCTGTGAGCACAAGCTGTCCTAAGAGGTGGAAAATGGGGATAATTGACTCTTTCTTAAAAAGAAGGTGGACAGTCTCTTTATTCTAATTCAAGATTCTTGGGTGTGAGATTGCATTCCCTCCCTCCAGAGATGCAGTTATCTGCCATTCTCACCTCTCTTCTTTCGAGATAGTGAAGAAATGGGTGTAAGTGACGCATGTGGATTTTTTAGTGAAATTCTGACAGCAGCCGAGATTGACTTCTTTCTTAACACTGAGATTTGATTTCATAGACTTCGCCACTCGGAGTACTGTTAGAAATTCAATGACCTCCCCAAGACTGCCACAGATGCTTGTGAAGTTTTCATTTCTACAAGTCTCCTGGCTCCATATTTCTAACTTGTTGGTATTTCCTTATTCTTGCCTGGTTTCTCTGTGATTATTCCCTTGTTTTCTTCTATTATCAATCCAAATATTGACCACAAACCCTTTTTTATTCTATTTTCATCCCTCTAATCCGCTCAAAAGAGACAATTTGTGGTAAGGATTTTACTGGCCCCCTGTATTAGAAGGAGACTTATTTGAAATCTCAATATTTAATATTATTCTTCCTAAAGATCCCCTCAGTCATTTCCACTAACATGGGCTTCAGCTTCCCTCTTGATCCCATGAGCCAATTTGAATACTCTACATACACATATCAGCAATTTCTGCTGTGCCCATGTAATTCCTCTTTCAATTCAGAACACCTTTGAGTGGACAACAGTCATAAACCAGAACTGTCCCAGGGAAATTGAGATGTACCGTCACTCAAATAGCACAAACATAGCTAAGCAACCAGCTTAACATCTGATTTTTGCTGCTGCTTCTCCTTACTTTTTACTGATGTGCTCTAGCTGTGATTCAGTTTCAGTTCTATTCTTAACTCTAAGCTCTGTCTTCTGTTAATGATTTATATTATTGTCTTTTTCAGGACCCTCTGACACTCAACTCTTGACCCCTCTCAAGGACCTTGACTTGTACTGCTAATATCCTCAATTCAGCCTCCCTTTAGAGTACTAGCCAACCTCTAGCATAACCACAAGGCCTAAGATCTAGCCCCAGGCTAGGGATAGTAAGGCAGAGGGTAAGGACTGAGGAGGTATACCATGTAAAGTTGGCCTTTACTGAGATTCACGTTTTCAAAATGCAAGCACTTCAAACAGCATGTTTCTTTTTCCTCTTGTTAGCTCAACCTTTTCAATGAACAAAAAAAGCTGCACAGAGTTTCTGATTGGTTTTATAATGAGATCATTATCCTAGCTTGATCATGTTATAGAAGCCACTTTCCAGTCCATAAACTGCAATGTAGAACTGAAAGTCTTGAAAGAACACACCGGAACAGTGGTCAGCCTCCTGATGATTGATTCTAGTCTTCTCACCTCTTTGGCAGCAGGTTCTGTGAGGTGACTGTTACAGGAAGAGCATTGCAATCTGTAAGCTCAGCTATTTGGTCTGTTTCTAGAGATGTGAAAAAAGAAAACAACAACAAACGTTTGAGTTATTTTTTCCCCCAAACAGGGACTCTGTGGTAATTTCATTATTGGTAGTTGCAAAGGAAAAAGCACTCAAATGAAAGAAATTAATGTCCAATTTGCCTTTCAGTGGCCCGAAGCTTATCTGATAGCCATTGCAATCGAATGAATGGATGACTTTTAAAGAGAAAAAAAAATGCCTTGATTAAATTCATTCTTCCCTCACTACAGTATGTGCATTCTTACATTTTCCTGGATGTTACCAAATTTGCAAGGTACATTTTTTTAAAAAATCTCTTTATTTTTTGGTAATTATAAAGCTACATTCTTATAGGCAGTAGCATATGTAGTGGTTAATAGCTCAGGTAATGAAGCCAAACCAGCTGGATTCACATATCTGCTGTGCCATCTACTAGCTTAGCAAGCTTCCTAACCTCACTATGCCCCATTTTTTTAAACCATAAAATGAGAGTGATAATAGTACTTAACTCTTCCCGTTATTATGAAAACTAAATTAGTTAACACGTGTAATGATCTTAAAATAATGCATGATAAGAGTTCAGTATATGTTTGCTACAAATACAATTGGAGGAAACTGAAAATACAAAGACAGATAAAGCTGAAAAACACATAAATGAACAAATTACCTGTCAACCTAGAGCTCCATGCATTTGACATTTGGGATGTTTTCATTGTGAGAATTGTGTATTTGTAGGTTTTTGTGTGTATTCATGTGTGCATTTCTGTATCTGTATCATATTGTAAATGTGGCTGTGTATCTTTTTTCTTTAAATATTGCCGTTGAACATTTAGCATGCAATTAGAATTATTTTTATACTTTTTGGGAGCTGCATACAATTCTAAAATAAGAAGTTTTTGGAAAATTACTTATTCTGTGGCATTTAGTTCATAAAATAATTAAGTAAGGCACTAAGCC
Organism: Homo sapiens; assembly: GCF_000001405.40. Classification (NCBI taxonomy): domain Eukaryota; kingdom Metazoa; phylum Chordata; class Mammalia; order Primates; family Hominidae; genus Homo; species Homo sapiens. The sequence continues at coordinate 40,182,460 of NC_000011.10, read as the reverse complement.
TTATGCTGAGATAATAAAGAGATGCAGAAATTTTATACAGTAACTCTTTTTTTATGTTTATGTGTACCCTGAAGAATCCAGAAGTTATACTTGTTTGTTTCCTTTGGTGCTAAGCAAGGGTGGTATGTGAGGTTTATATCTGGGAGTTTAGGCCAGGATGGTTGAGGCAGTGGGGAGGAGAGAAAGACACAGTGAGGGAAGGTGGATGTAATACACATCTCATAATAGTGTTATAAGGATAAAATTAAATAAGACTGGGCATGTAATGTGCTTAGCAGAAAGTGTTTAATAAACTTTAATTATTATTGTTGTTATTAATACTTTTTACTTATTACTTTACAAAGTATATTTTAAGTGCTTTCAAATTAATAGGCAGAAATACATTTGAACATTTGGGTTTACCTCATTCTGAATCAGTTAGCTTTCTTAATAAGAGAGAGAGGGAGAGCATCAAGGAATGAAATTTCCTGATAATTACATTTCCTCACATTAATAAATATTTGAATCACTCTCATTTTGTGTCCACCACTTGGAGATGTGAGAGGGAAGGGGATTGGCCATAGGAGGCCACCCAAAGGGAAGAGCAGACTCTGAGTCCCGGGGTAAGCTGTGCTTGGGTGACCAGCTCTGGCCCTGATGGGCAAAGCTTCATTTCCCTTGTCTCTCTTTTCTATTGTTCATTTAAGTGCCACCCTGGCTTTCTCATCTAACTCCCTATTAAGCTCTCTCCTCATGGTTGGGTAAGAATGGACCAGAAATGGATTTGCTAACTATTCAATTACCCACATTATCTTGCTCTGTTGCTGTCAAACGAAGCTGAACTAGCTCAGTTCTCAGACAGTGTGTACCAAAATAGCAAGTCCTGTTTTACATAGCTCTCTAGGACTTTCATGATTGCCATCTATATGAAAAGTCCATCACAGAGCACATTGCCTATATTGAATGTGAATGCTACACTGACCTTGTTTTCCTAATTTGTAGTGTACCCCATGTGCCTGAGGGGTAGAGGTGAGTCCAGAAAAGGCTAAATCACAGAATTATTTGCAGTATGCCTTATCTTTGAGTGAAGTGTATGTAAAATACAGTTTTAACTTCATACTCACTGGAGACAAAGGAGGAAAAAAACCTCAGTCTCTTTTTTTCTTCCCTTTCTTTATTTGTTCCCACATCTTCTTTCTTGTAACAAATATATGTGGTGTTATGCATGGTACTCAAATGGGAGAGGAAGAAGAGAAAGGAGGGAGACATGGAGAGATGGAGGAAGGAGGATGGGAGGGAGGAAGGGAAGAAAGATCTTATTTTCATCCTTCCTGGAGAGAATTGTGGTGATGGGAATGAAGCGTCTTAGTTTGAGGCACAGAGAGAATGTTTTGCAGGCTGACCATTACGACAAAACATCTTAAACTATTACTCAAAGGGTATTACCTTCCAGATTGTGCCTACCTTGGTGACAGAACAAGACTACTGTCTCTATTAGATGCCATCACTGGACTTTCTATGCTGTTTGTGGTGATTATCAGAGAAAAATGCTGCCTATCTCTGATCCAGTTCAACTCTTCAGCTGTTAAAGCTATAAAATTCAAGCCTGTGGGGACTTTATGATAAATACAAAACAAAAAATATAGCATATCATTTTCTCCAAAGGTGTACATGACTATTTACTTATATGCTATAGCGAATGCATACACACATGCACACACACATGCATGCAAACATCTCCTTACACTCAGGAAATTCTGTAGGAAAAACCACTGCTGCCAAGTGTCCACTTGTTGGGAAGCAAAGGTGCAGTAACAGACACAAAAGAAGAGCTGTTCTAAGTAAGAGTAAAGAGGAAACCAACAGAGAGATGTGATAAAATTGGGGGCTAGCCATATTCCAACAAAAAAATCATCCCAGAAATGTGCTCTTTTATGTAGTCCCTCAGTGCTATTGATTTGGTTCATGTCACGTAGAACATACTTCTGGTAATGCTGCCAGGATCCCTCCCACTCAACGTCTGCCCCTTCTTACTACAGACCAGGGGATCTCAAGAGGAAGAGGATAGGGTAGGAGGGGTTTTGCAAAATATGCATGTCTGCTTCTAAACTAAAGGTATAAATTGCTGAACTCATCACCATAGTAAATTATTCATCATCTTATTTTCAAATTAAAAAGCTTTCTTTCCTTTTTCACATATGTGCAGATGTGAATAGCTTTGTGTTACGATACATGAGTTCTAGTTGTAAAAACATTCTTTAAGAAATGATTTCTTAGCTGATTTGATAATTATGTTATTTGGACCATAAATAAAAAGCCTGGTTTTAAATATTGAGTTTTAAAATGCAAATGATCTTTTTACTTTAATCTAATTACTTCTGTAGTAGTTTTATTTCAGATTTTAGGTAATTGACAAGGTATTGGTGTAATTATCTATTTATTTAGTTACAGTTCATTTCCAAGGTGTCATTCCTGAGGAAAATGTGTCAAATAACAACTGACAGAGAAAGTGTGATACATCTATCTATTCATTTTTCTACCTATCTATCACATATGTTTGGACACACACACACGTACATGGGGAGAGACAGAAAGGAGACAGATTCTCAACATTGTTACTAACCAGATGCGACTAAAAAGACCAAAGTAGTCTTTTCCATTCAGCTCCTATATCTAATTATAACATGTTCATCTTCAAATTATGAGGTTGTATGCTTTAGTTTTACCCAATGATGTCTGGTTTTGGAGTCCTGTCTTTTCTCCGCTGCTGGTGCCTCTTATTCTCTCAGTGATCATTTAACTGACATTTCCAAGGCACGTGCTGGATGCGGGGGTCCTGATCTCTGTGCCTATGGCCCTGCCCTTGAGAAGCACTCAGTCTCCGGGGAGAAGAAGACAAAGTAAGCAGGTGCTTACTGTGCACTGTGATGTTATAAGCAAAGGAGGCCAAGAAACTCATTGTTTGAATGCTTTCTTCTAGGTCAGCTACTTTGCACAAGAGATGTTCAATTTAATGGTCGCTGTGGCCTCCGGTGGTGGACATTATTATTTTTACTTTCCTGATGTGAAAACTAAGCCTCAAAGAATTTCTGTGTTTCAGTGAGGACTCAACAAGAAACTTAACATCTAGCACACACAAATTAGTATAATTTAAATAAGGTTTAAGAAAGGGATGACCAGCTGGGTGTGGTGGCTTGCACCTATAATCCCAGCAATTTGAGAAGTTGAGATGGGAGGATCCTTGAGCTCAGGAGTTGGAGATCAGTCTAGGCACCATAGAGAGACCCTGTCTCTAGAATAGTTTTAAAAAAAATCCAATCATGGTGGCACACACCCGCAGTTCTAGCTACTTGGGAGGACGAGGCAAGAAGGTCCCTGGAGCCCAGGAGCTCAAGGTTGCAGTGAACCGAGATTGCCCCACTGCAATCCAGCCTGTACAACTGAGCAAGACCGTATCTAAAAAAAAAAAAAGAAAGAAAGTTAAGAAAAAAAAATAAGGGATAGCTTTTCAAGTGTGAGTGGTTTGGTGAACCACAAGAGTCAAAACAGTAAGTAACCTGGGGCTAGGAAGAGAAGAGCTAGCTATCACTAGTCCTAGGCCTGAAGAGACAGAGGAAGGGAAAGGCTACTGGTAGCCAGGAGAGAGTAACACAGAGAAGGTCACTTTAAGAGCAATGATATTTCTTTGAAGATCAGAGAGAGCCCAACCAACCCCACAGCGAGGAAACCAGAGGAATATACGGCCTGCCTGTCCACATCTCCCTCCCTCTAGTCTCCTGCCAGTGTCTGCCATGGGATGAAGCTGATCTATATCTAGAGAGCAAAGGAACCCATTGATTTTGTAGTACAAGCCCTTGTCTTAACAGGGTGGAGAAGGGAGAGAGTGGATATAGGGGGACAAATGTAAAACACATGGGACATTTTGATATTTCAGAAGGCCATAAAGCAGTTTAAGAATGAAATAATTAATCCCAGATGTATTCCCTAACTTTCTAGCTTACCCTAAGCTTAAGCAGCAAATGGATAGGTCTGCTCCTGCTGGATCCCAGCAGCTGCAGTTTCACTACATTAACTGGGGTTGTATACAGTTGTTTGTTTCTAGTCTTTCTTTTAGGCTGCCTCCCTGTTGCCTCTTCACTTCTGCTCATCACTTCAGAACTGCTCGTTCATTTACCTTCTATAAATACCCAGTTTAGGTAGGCAGAATTGCCATGACCTATCTATTTGCTCAAATATGTTTACCAAGTGAACGGATATGCCTTTCCAGACTCTTTGGAAGCTCGCTTTATTTCTCTTTGTTCCCTTCTTGCCATCGGGTAGTACAGCCTCCAGATGGCAATAAGATGTCGTGGCGGCCTATTTGACTCATGCTATTGACATCAGTAATAAAATACTAACATAAAAGCTGATAGAGCCCTATACTCTTGTCAGGATCTGTGCATTGATTATAGCATTCATTTCTAACAACTACTTTGCATGCTAAGCAAGCCATATGCACCTCCTACTGTTTGATGTTAGTCAAAACCAAAGTCTTTATGAAAATTGATGCCACTCAATGCAATTTAGCAATCATCTATAAAGCAACTACTATGTGCCAGGCTCAATTCTAGCCATAAACACTCGGGGTACATCAGTGGGGAAAAAATACAGACAAAGATCTGTTCTTGTTAAGTGAGGGAAAATAGAAAAGAAGCAATAACCAGAAAATGCAAGGAAATTATAAAATATGGTTCAATGAGACAAGTGCTGTATAATAACAACAACGGAAAAATGGAACTGCATAAGAGAAAAATGGCAATGGAGAAAGATAAAGTATAAAATTTTGAACGAATTGCTCAGGGAAGGTTTTATGGGAAAGTGACATTTGAGCAAAGGTCAGAAAGAGACGAGACTGTGAGCCCTATAGCTATCTGGGGGAAGATGCTTCCAAGCAAAGAGAATAGGTGGGAGCATGCCTGGTTCATTCATGGAATGCCAAGGAGTACAGTGTGACTGGAAGGTATATAGTGAGGGAGAGAAGTCGGAGCTAAAGATAAAGAAGGTAGGAGACCTAGAGATAATGGGCAATGATATAAGCTCTTCAGGCCATGAGAAGGACTAGAATGGTACAGCTAGATGTATTCATGCTTTTACCTTAAGTAAGTGGTGGGTTTTGACCAGAGATGGTTGTGATTTAAATTATATTTCTAGTAAGTATCCTCATCATTTTGTTGAAAAAAGACTCTGGCAGCCCGGGCACGGTGGCTCATGCCTGTAATCCCAGCACTTTGGGAGGCCGAGGTGGGCAGATTACGAAGTCAGGAGATCAAGACCATCCTGGCTAACACAATGAAACCCCGTCTCCTCTAAAGAAACAAAAAATTAGCTGGACATGGTGGCGGGCGCCTGTAGTCCCCGCTACTTGGGAGGCTGAGGCAGGAGAATGGTGTTGGGAGGCTGAGGCAGGAGAATGGTGTGAACCTGGGAGGCGGAGCTTGCAGAGATCACACCACTGCACTCCAGCCTGGGCGACAGAGCGAGACTCCATCTCAAAAAAAAAAAAAAAAAAAAAGACTCTGGCAGAACAAAAGTAGAAACTGGGAGATTTACATTAAATAATAAATTATAAGTTATAAAAAGAGCAATTTTAAAAGTGGAAGAGGACCAGGTGTATTGGCTCACACCTATAATCTCAGCAATTTGGGAGGCTGAGACAGGAGGATCACTTGAGGCCAGAAGTTCAAGACCAGCCTGGGCAATATAACAAAATCCAATTTCTACAAAAAGTAAAATAATTAGCTGAGTGTGGTCATGTGCACCTGCAGTACCAGCTACTGAAGAGGCTGAGGCTGGAGGATTGCTTGAGGCAAGGACTTCAAGTCTGCAACGAGCTATGTTTGTACCAACTGCACTGATGCCTGGGCAACAGAGTGAGACCCTGTCTCTTAAAAAAAAAAAAAAAAGAGTGGAAAAAAAAGAATCCATAAAGTTGTCTTTTAAAACACCAATCTAATTATTTTATCCCTTGCTTTAATATCATGCATGGCTCCCTTTATCTCTTAATCTCATTCATTTCGTTATTTTTTAAATGTTTACTTAATTGCCACCATGTGACAGACACTGTTCTTGATGCTGAGAATAAACAGTGAACAAAACACATCATCCCTGCACTCAATAAGCTTACATTATAGCAAGAAGGACAATGCAAAAGTATTCAGGTCCCTTTGCCACATAATGCCGCGTTCTATCTTCATTCTTTATGCGCAGTCTTATTATACCACTTGACATACTCAAAACATGCCAAACCTCTTTGAAACTAGGTGAATTTGGTCATATTCTCCTTACTGAAATAACCTTGTATCACCCCCATCCTCCTCCACCAGAGAATATTATATCAATTATTATGTCATCTCATTCTCCCTAAACTCTCTAAATAATATATTTATATTGCTGGAATAGCTCTTGTATCATCTTGATGTGAGCTATAAATGGGAGTATCTCCATTATGAACTTGGGAGACTCTGAAAGGCAAGGCTTCTTACTCAGCCTCTATATAGCTCCAGAATTTAGTTCAGGGCATGGGACACAGTAGCTGAAATCCCGTTTATAGTGGTGGCAGGGTGAAGTGTTAAGGAAGTTAAAAAAAAGAATTAAATGACTTAGGAATATGTTCAGGAAACAAGATGGGAACATGTCAAACCATTGGAGAGCAGAAGACGGTATATAATCAAGGGCTGAAATGCTGCAGACTGTGGATCAATAGGGAAGAATTCTTGTGTTCTGGAGGCTTTAAGGGAGGCTGTGGTGCTTTGGAATTATTTAATTTCCTGGTACTCATCAAGGACAAGCCAGCCTTTGCATATAGTGTGTCTGAAGCTACATTAAAGGCTCAAAATCTTTGTGTCCAGATCATGAGGAACTGCCATCACTCTGCAGAGGAAGAGGTTGGTTTCAAGTCTGAGTCTGCCTTGATGAGACAGTCTCCAGCATTCTTTGAAAGATGAGGTTCTGATCTTGAATTTTTTCTCTTTGTGGGCTGTCACTCTGGATATGGGCAGTGTTTTGTTTGAGTAGAAGAATTCAGCTGTTGACTAAGCGGAGGATTTCCCAGAGACAAGCCGGTCTGGTTTTCCTTGTTCACTGGGAAGCCTGGATGTTGAGTTAAGGCAGCAAAGCAAATGCTCACGCATTTTTACCAGTTTTGCTACAAATTTTGAAATTATTTAGGTTATCTATACAACTTTGTGAATTCTCTTTTAGTGATGAATTTAGTCAGTGACATTAAGTCCTTTCTTTTATGAGCCAACAGCATCAGGTAAGGTTAACACAATCAAATCTATTATGCAACCACTGCTTCGTGATGTTAGTACTCAACATAGACAAGATGCAATGTTTTGAAAGCTGATAAGCTGATATTATCTTACATGGTAATGGTAGAGCTAGATGTATTCATGTAGTCTCTCTTTCTAACTATATTCTAGATCATCAATCTGTTTCTCGCTTTTTACATAATTACTGCTGCAAGTTATAATGGAAGGAAAGGAGATTTGTAGTTGAAATTTGTGGGTTTAGCACCATTTCTATCACAGAATAGCTCTGTGACTTTAATCAAAGCATGTGACCGCAGTTCCCTCCACTTCAAAATAGAAATATTACTTATAACTATTTGACCTGTCCCCTGGGAGAAGCAAGTGAAATAATTAGTAGGAAAATACTGTATCAACCATAATGCAATAAAAAATCCATTGGTTATTGTTACTACTATTGCACTTTTTTCTTTGTCTTCATGAACTGTATTGTCTTGTGGTCAAACTCCACACTGCTGCTATGGTTATAGTGTAGGAAACAAATGTTAAAAAACCAAACAAACATAAAAGCACAAATGGGACTGTTTCTATGGCTACTTCAGAAATATGGTTCGATGCAGAAAAATAATAACGCACACATATGCACAGGTGCACACACGGTACTGAGACAATACTGCCTTTAGAGTCATGATCAATGGTAGATGTTCATAGCCTTCTAACAGTCTTGAGTGATAATTTTAAGAAGGAATCTCTTATGTTCCTTTAGGATTCTAATCAGTTATATAGGGATTGATAACAGCTGTGGGGATTTGGCTTCTACTTGTTAAAGTTACTCCTGATCTTCAATTTAATTTAAATCAGTGAAGACTAGTTCAGTGGTCAAGGCCAGCAGAAGTAAAAATAGGTTTACTTTGTGTGTGAGTCAAATAATTGATTTGAGATGTGTATTCTTCGCATAACACAAGGCATCAGTCTTGTCCATCAATTCTGTGACCAGCAGACTCTTCCAATAATAAATACGATATTATCTAGCATGTATTTCATTTTTAATGTGGTTCATGCAGCGTGCTAACACCATGCATGCATTATCTCTTAATTTTCTCATCAACATTTTAGTGTGTATACCGTTGTTCCTCAATTAGGTGGGGCTTTTGAAAAAGCTGGAGCTTAGAAAAGAAGGTAACTTATACAAGGTTGGTTCAAGTTTGCACATTGGTAAGTTAAACGGGCCTGAACTTTAGGGGTCTCTGCCTCCAGAACCTATACTTTTTTAACTACAATACCTTGTTGCTTCCCAACTTAGAGGTAACACAGTTTACCAACATAAGTATTCATTGAATACCTTGGTTTAGAAATACCTGCAATCAAGTTTCTCATCATCTATAACTGACTCAAATCATGACACCTGTATAGAGCCAGAGACAGAAACTATGTACTATTTTTACTATGTTTCTTATTCAAAGAATCCTTTGCTTCCCCCTTCTTCCTAGGGGATGGCACTGACGTTTTACAGGTATGATCATCTAGGCACTAAGTAAGATCCACTGAGATTTTGTTTCCATAATAATGTATAGACCTTTATAGGTAGTCTCAGATTGAATTGTACTCTTCAGAAGGATTGGGCTTAAAGGATGCATAGACAAGTACAAGCAATGAAGTAAACCAACAAAACAAAGGGCAATAGTTGGAGGTATTTGTGTTCATTATCTTTTAAGCTTCATGAATGCTCCCATTCAATTCTATCATTCATTCATTTATTGTATATATTTTGAGCATCAATTTCTCTGTCTAGCATTCTCCCAAATCCAGGTCACATGGCATACAACCAGACATGCAGGTCTTTGCCTCTTGGGGAGTTTGCATTCTAGTGTGGAAAGTGATCTATAGCAGTAAACCAAAGAAGTGGTTGCAGCTGTGACAAGTGCTGCAACAAAAATGAAAACATAGCATTAATTTCTTAGGGCTGTCATTGCCAAGTGCCACAAACTAGGTGAGTTTAAACAACAAAAATGTATTGCCTCACAGTTCTGGAGGGTACAAATTCAAAGTCAAGGTGCCATCAGAGCCGTGTACTCTCTGACCACTCTAGTGAAGAATTCTTCCTTGTTTTCTTCTAGCTTCTGGCATTTGATGGCAGTCCTTGGCCAATTATCTTGGCTTGTAGATGTACTGCTTCAGTCTCATGACTGCCGTCTCTTTACTTGTCTTCACTTGATCTTCCTCTGTGCATGTCTGTCTTTGTGTACATATTTCCACTTGTTGTAAGGAGATCAGTCATTTTTGATTACAGCCTACCCTAATAACCAAATTTTAACCTGATTACTTCTATAAAAATTCTATTACAGTAAGGCTAAATTTGGAGGCCCTGGGACTTAAGGCTTTAATACATCTTTTTGAGGGCACACATTTCAACCTATAACACAGAGCATTATGAATCGAGAGTGATGGTGCCATTAAATGAGGTGACACAGTCATGGATAGAAGGTCCCTCTGCCCCTTTACTTCAGAAACTGTTGCACCTAAGACTTGAATAACTAGGAGACAGGTATATGTCAGTTGAAGGAAAGGGAGTTTCAAGCAGAAGGAACAATGACAGACAGCAAATGCCATGAAACAGAAACAAACTGAGGAGCATGGGAAGAATGGGAGGGTAAAAAGGGAGCATAAAAATTATAATCTTAAAAAAAAAAGAATTTGGATTTATTTCATAAATCCACTTAGGAAGTGGAATAGGAAATGCTAGAGGGAGTTAATCGAGGGAATGATAGTGATCTGATTGACTTTTCAAAAACCATTCTGGCTGTTCTGTGGGGACAGGATAGTGAAGGGAGAGGAATGGTGTAGGATTAGTCAGTAGGAATACTGCTAAAGTCATCTAGGAGAGTGATTTAGACTAGAATAGTAATAGTGTATGTCTTAGTCCATTTGTGCTACTATAACAAAATAACCTAAGACTGGGTGATTTATAAATAACAGAATGTTCTCACAGTTCTGGAGACTGGGAATTCCAAGATCAAGTTGTGTCTGGTGAGGACTATTCCTGATAGATGGCAATAGATGGTGCCATCTAGGTTTTCTCAAACGACAGAAGAGCAAAAAAGTGAAGAAACATTATGTCCTCACATGGCTAAAAAGCAGAAGAAAGCAAACGGACTCCTTTCAGTCCTTTTTTTTGTTTGGAGACGGAGTCTAACTCTGTTGCCCAGGCCGGAGTGCAGTGGTGCAATCTCAGCTTACGGCAACCTCCACCTCCTGAGTTCAATTCTCCTGCTTCAGCCTCCCAAGTCGCTTTTATAAAGCACTAATATATTCATAAGAGGAATGATCATGTGGGGAAACAGACTTTCAGGCCAACGTTTTGCTGCATGGTGGTACGGAAAGATAATTTTGACAAAGTCTGTGTAGGACCACTGGTAACCTTGGCTAAATTATACTATAACGAATAGCAACCTACTTCAGCTGATTAGATTAAATTAGATCGGTTGGGGGGGTCGGATTAAATTAGATTAAGCACAAGCTCCTTCTGCCGCATATAGTGTATGAATCAGCCTAGGAGATTACCTGTTAGTTTCCTCTCTTTATTTCTAGGAGATCATTTCTATGCTTATAAAGACCCCTTTTTTATGTGGTATATGACATAAGAATATCAATAACACATGAAAATTTTTACTAATATTGGGTGTTGATTGGGTGCCAAACACAATGTAAACCATTTTAATACATTGCCTCATTTAATTAGTATATTTAGCAAACAATCCTGCCCTATCTACAGGGGTTTCTAGATGGTTCCAGTTATTGCTAGGGTTTTTGTTCATAAATTTTTGCCTCCTTTTCCACATTCTAATATCTTAATCTTGTAAAGCCAAGTTTAATGCTGAAGCGTGATTTTATTTTATGCATTCAGTAAAAGATAACCACATGCAGAAAGAACAAATATCAAGACTGTAGAAATAAGTTTCTTACCAAGTTTGATTGTTAAAATCATTATGAAACTACCAAACAATAAAAAATTCCTAAAGCAATCCTTGAAATACCTTTTTTTATGAGTTTTTCATTTTTTTCCATTTTTTAGCTTGTATAATGGTCTGTTCTTTTTAATATAAGGTATTGTTACGTTTCTTAACTGAAAAGTCTAATTCAGCCTTTTCCAAAATTGGTTTTAGGAAGCATAATTTCCCTCACTGTAAATGCTCTGGATAAAGGGAGCCTTGATCTACTTCCTCGCTACATATTATATGCCTTCCCATCTTAAACACTGGTAGAATTTATTAGCGTGTAAAAGGCTCTGAGAAGTGCTACTTTAACGTGTAGTCTCCCAAAAGTTTGTAATCACAGGCATTCTCTTTGGATTAGATCTAATGCATTGTAAAGAGAAATATTCTCACTTTATTTCTTGCTCATGTGTTGGAAGGATGAGGTAAGCCTGAGATTTCTAAAGGCAGAAGTGTAAATTCACAGGTAAACTCTCACCTGATGAAGTTAGAATGTCTCCTTTCTCCTACCTTGGATTCCTAATGTTTTGGCTACAAAAAGATTTTACAATCCTTGGATTTCTCAAGATTTGAGCAAGACATTAGCATTCTTTTTGTTGTACCCTAGAGATATTTGTGAATGTCTTCCATTCTCCATCTCACTCTCTTTTATTATCTTTTTCTTCCCTCTCTGGTTATTTCTAGATTTTTTTTTTCTCTCTTTCTCTCTTAATGTAGCGTCACTGTGAGGCACATGCCCCTTCATTCACTGTGCAGTGAGTATCTTACTTTCACCAAAGATGTAATTTGGAGGCCTTGATTTAAAATAGGCACTGCAGATGTTTTCACCGAGTGAGCCCTTTACAGGACCTCCTTGGATGCACAAGGTTCTCTGCCTTTTTGTTTACCACGGGAGCATAGTTAGCATCCAAGTTAATGTGCAACTCTGACTACACTAGAACAAAGCAGGGAGTGGGTGATGAGTCATTAGGTAAAATGCTTTTATGTTCTTTTAACCATTCATATGTGTGTATTGGGTTATAGAAAAATATACACAAATATTCATATGCAGAATCCCACTCACATGCACACTCCCTTTTTGTAACATTCTAGTACTATTATCACCCACAGTTAAAATAGAACTCTGTGTTTTAATAACATCACAGATTTGTGCTTTATCTGGGATCACTATATATTATTGTAAAGCCAAGCTAGTACTACCATTGTTCCCTTTACTCAAAAGAAATTAAACCTGTCTCGTAACTAAAAGCCTAGCTTTATCTTGTGTTTGCAAAAGGAAGACCAATTGAAAACTTCCCAAATTAGCATTCTAGTAATACAGCAATAATTAATGTTAGGGGTTGGCTTCAGACAAAATGACCTACCCTTATATATAATTAGTGCTAATAAGAAATCGTGTGAATTGTGAATTGTAAAAGTGATGTTGCATTTTCTATCTCTCTTTTTTTAAGTGGAATACTAGACTTGGTACGAGGGTTATGGAGTAAGATCTAGAATAGATCATAGCTTACAACCCTTTACAATGAAAATGGAAATGAAATCTCAACTGACAGGCATGTGCCTTGTCTTTCCCAACAATAAACATAGCATTTTGAGCAGGTGTTATGAAATCAAAGTATTATATTGCAAATCTGTGCATATATATAGTTGTACTATACTCATATTTATATACCTACTAAAATATAAAATGTGTTATGGTGAAAACTTGCTAAGTAATTACATAAATTTGTCTCAAGTTATCTTGATACCCTGAGATTGACTCACTCTCTACCCCAAAAATATTTATACCTCAAAAATTTCACATGCTATAAGAATTGAACCCCTGGGCTGAGTTTTAAAATAATATATACACATGTATGAGTGTCTTGCATCCTTCCCTGGTCCAGAATTTCACCCTGATAGAATAATGTTGAAATTATTTTCTATAGAAAGAATTGTCCACACTGTGACTGGCAAATGAACTAGTTAACAGGATCCATGAACTCCTTCAGAATACTAGGTTCCTATTTAAAGCTTACCGTATCCCAGAAAAATAAGTCTCAATAATATATATTCTTAGAACCTCATATACATGCATGTATGTTTATGAATTTATATGTCAATGAGAGTGCATACTCATTCGTTTTTAAAGCAATCATGAGTTAAAATGCTCCGTTGCAAAGTTATTTTATAAAACTCAAGGGTTAGAATTGCTTATGCAATAATTAGAAGGAAAAAAAAACTAAAGTAAAGACTGGGACATGGGGTGACTCTAGTCTATTCCCTTATAAGAGGAAACATGAAGGCGATGGCTTTTCATTAAAATGGAACCAGTGTGTTGGGGCAGCACTGATTTGATTTTTGCCTACCTGCCCTACTCAGAAATTATAGATTTAAAAGATATGATTAACAGAAAATGAAAGATTCTCCTTGATTCTTAGTTATGTAAAGGATTTCCTGTTACTTTCCTCTGCCAGCCCAGATTTCTCAGCTGGTGTGGAGCCTTTTAAGTTGTGTTTTCACACCACATGAGTCAGTGGCATTAATTAGCAAAGCAGGACTGTGATCATTAACTCTGATGTGAGGTTTCTCTTCCCCATCTGACCCTTCATAAAGCAGGACCATGTGGCTGAGATAAAGGCAGGGAGCCTTTGTGCTCTGTGCTGCTAGCTTCAGTCAGCTCAAAGGAAGCCTCTTGCATACTGTGGAGATTTTTCAGGTTTCTTTTCTTCTATTTAATGTGACCAATCCACACAGATGTGAAGTGGATTCATTGACTTGAAGCATCAGGAGGTTTGGACGCAAACTAGAGCAAATCTGAACGAACCCTTCTTTACTCAGCTCAAAACCATGTCTACTATTTTGGTCAGTGTGCAACCCTACCCAGAACCCCTTTTCTTTATGTGCTTTGCCACCTGAATCCAATCTAAATGGCTTCTCAAAAATGTTAGTCTTATAATAAACCTGAACATTTTGTCCCTCTGAACAGACCTTCTTCCACCATCTTTTGGTCCCCATTTGATTTTGCCAAGATCCTCAGAATAACCTCTGCCCCTTAGTTAAACAGTTTTATCTCCAATTATGTTCCCTCTTTGGTTTCCTTATTTCACATCTCCTTTCCTACTAGCAGTGGGATAGTTTTTTTGTTTTGTTTTGTTTTTTTGTTTTTTGTTTGTTTGTTTGAGACAGAGTTTTGCTCTGTTGCCAGGCTGGAGTGCAGTGGCGCCATCTAGGCTCACTGCAACCTCCGCCTCCCAGGTTCAAGCAATTCTCCTGCCTCAGCCTCCCCGGTAGCTGGGATTACAGGCTTGTGCCACCACGACTGGCTAATTTTGTATTTTTAGTAGAGGCAGGGTTTCTCCATGTTGGTCAGGCTGGTCTTGAACTCATGACCTCAGGTGATCCACCTGCCTCGGCCTCCCAAAGTGCTGGGATGACTCTAGTCTATTCCCTTATAAGGGTGAGTAGGTTTGAAGTGAAATGGCCCTACCACAAGAGACTTCCTTTTTCTACCCTGCCTTAATCTCAATATCAAAAGAGCTCTAGGCTTAAGCCTCACCCTACCCTTTGCTCACCCCTGTATTTATTCTATACCACTCTTCTCTCCACCCTCCAGAGAACTTTCTGTCATAGAATAGCATCACTAGTGATTTCTATGGATAAAAAATCCCAAAGTGGAAAACTGAGAACTACCGAGGCCTGCCTTCTGCTGGTGGCTTTTTAATTTTTTTCTTGCTGCCTTGTATTAGTGACTAATGTTCACGTTGACACATTTACCCAAACATAAAATCACATGATTACAAACATCTTAGCTGGAGTTAATTAAATCAAGGGGTATAAATATAGCTATTAATTACTATCTTCATCCCATTATTTTGAGACTATGCAAATGAACAATATTTTCCATTCTGCATCTTCACTGGTACACAGAGCTACCACTCACTACATCTGCTACAAGGTTACCAAGAAAAGTGGTCGAAACAGAGGCTATGTATTTTCAAGAAACTCCAATTTTGGACAACCTAAGCTTTTTGTATGGTGGAAGCAATTTGCAGAATTCTAGGCTACACAGTGTGGAAAGTCCTAGGTCTTCTGGCAAATGTCCAGGAGTGATAAGGCCAACGGTCAGGATTACTCATAATATACATTGGAAGTGCTTTAATTGTACTCCGGGATTCCCTTATTAAAATGCCTTTCACTTAACTAATGTAGAATCAATGCTGGTCATAATCTAGACACGGGGAGTCATAATTTAGACACAGGCTTTATGAACTTATATCATGGGCCCCTTAAAGCAATAATTTTGACTCCTTTTAACTGTGACTCAGAATAAAATGTACATGTTACATCTCTACCCATATAAACATATATATGGATGTTTATATCACAAAACAGTATACAGTATATAATGCACTCCAATATTTTCTGTTCTAGTCTTTTTCATTTTATTTAATACAGGTTACAATCTATAAATTGATTACATGACCAACTAGTAGTCATTACCCAGAGTTTGACAACTATTTTTTTTTAAAGAGCTGCAGTGATGAGCTTGTTTAAATCATGTCTAAATGCATTCTCCTATTCGATCATCATAGTTGCCTGATACTATGTGAGGCTTTAAAAAATTATATTTATGTGAAATATTCTAATAAAAAATCACACATATCAGAAGCATATGTGTTCATGACATTTCACAAATTGAACACAGTTAACCAGCACACACAGTAGGAAACTGACAATGCCTCTTCTCCTTAGACTCTCTTCCAGTAACTGCCCGCTCCTCAAGGATAACTACTATCCTGACATCAAAGAGTGTAGATTAAGATCATGTTTGCTGGTTCATATACTATATATAAATTATATGAGATTTCTTTGTATCAAGCTTCTTTTGTCTATATTTGTGAAATTCATTCGTATTTTTGTAAGGCTACAGAATGCTCATTCTCCAGCTATATGGTATTCCATTGGTGCAAATACCACAGTGTATCTGTTCATTGAATGGGGATTGGGACACTTCTAGTTTTAGGCTAGTTCTCATTTCAGTTTAGTCTGTTAGGACTACATAGTGCTGCTATAAACATTCTAATGTACATTTGGAACATATGTACACATTTGTACTGGTTATAGATACCTACGACAGCAATTGCTGGGTCATATGGCATGAATATGATCAACTTTATTAAAGAGAGCCAAACAGTTTTCTAAAATGGTTGTACCAGTTTACACTTCTACTAGCAGTGAGATAGTTTTCTTTTTGTTTTTTGTTTGTTTGTTTTTTTGAGACAGAGTTTCGCTCTCCTTGCCCGGGCTGGAGTGCAATGGCACCATCTTGGCTCACTGCAACCTCCGCCTCCCAGTTTCAAGCAATTCTCCTGCCTCAGCCTCCCCAGTAGCTGGGATTACAAGCATGCACCACCACGCCCGGCTAATTTTGTATTTTTAGTAGAGACAGGGTTCCTCCATGTTGGTCAGGCTGGTCTTGAACTCCCGACCTCAGGTGATCCACCCACCTTGGCCTCCCAAAGAGCTGGGATTACAGGCGTGAGCCACCATGCCCGGTATGTTCTTAAGATCTAATTCATTTTATATAGGGAAAATTAAGACTCAGAACTGAAGCAGGTTACCAAAGTCACAGAACTAACATATCACAGAATTAGAACTAAAACCAGATTGCAGAGTCCAAAATCAGTGGATTTTTTGTCGTTGTTTTTCTGTATTGTGTTTTTCTCTCTACTCCTCACTAATTTTTATAAAAGCCTTTGAAGAGGATAATTTGTGTTTTCTTCATCTCCTTCAAGCCTTTTGTACACACAGACAAACAGACGCATAAACATAGACACATACACACACTCTGCCACTCATATAGATGCACACACAAACTCCCACAACACACATACACATATAAAAACAAATACAAAGGCACACACACAAATTCTCAGATACACAGAGACATAGAAACGGATACATATAGATACAGACATGCGAATATATATACATATATGTGTATACACACTTATAAAAATAGAGACACGTGCAGACATATGCAAACACAAAGCAAGATAAATACACACAAATACAATTATACACCTAGTTGTATGTCATATTTGTTTCATATGCTATCATGCTTTTGTCAAGATAATTAAGTTCCTTGAGGATATATTCATATGACCCATGGTTCTTCAATAAATACCAATCTGTATAATTATCCTGAGATTTTATTTTTACATTTTTAAGATTCCTGGATAAAAGCAATTATACTTCAATTTGGTAACATGTCCTGAGCTTAGTTACCAGATGGATGTCAATTTTAAACTTCTGTTTAAATAAACTCTATTGATACATAATAATTGTACCAATTTATGGGGTGCATATGATATATTGATACATGCATACATGGTGTAATGATCAAATCAGGGTATTTAGGATTTCCATCACCTCAAACATTTTTCACTTATTTGTATTGGGAACATTTCACATCTTCTCTTTTAGCTATTTTGAAATATAGAATCGTCCCCGACCCCCTTCCCTGCCTCTGGTATCTATCATTCTACTCTCTACCTCCATGAGATTAACTTTCTTATCTCTTACATATTAGAAAGAACATGGAATATTTGTCTTTCTAGTGCTGTCTAAGTGTTAGTCACAGTGATATCCAGTTCCATTTATGTTGCTGCAAATGACAGGATTTGGCTGGGCACGGTGGCTCACACCTGTAATCCCTGCACATTGGGAGGCTGAGGTGGGCAGATCACCTGAGGTCAGGAGACCAGCCTGGCCAACATAGTGAAGCCCCATCTCTACTAAAAATACAAAAAATTAGCCGGGCATAGTGGTGCATGCCTGTAATCCCAGCTATTCTTGGAAGCTGAGGCAGGAGAATCACTTGAACCCGTGAGGTGGAGGTTGCAGTGAGCCGATATTCTCTTTTATGGCTGGATAATATTCCATTGTGTATGTTTCCCACATTTAAAAAATTCATTCATCCATTGATGAGCTTCTTAACAGCATCTACTGGACATTCTTGTGTTAAGCTTAAGTAATTATTGGCAGAATTCAGTTCCTGATGGCTTAAGACTGAGGTCCTAGCTTTTTTGCTGGCTGTCAGGCCACATACTCAGCTCTTAGAGGATACTCAGAGTTCTTTGACACATGACCCTCTCACAACCACATGGAAGCTAAGTTTTTCAAAGCCAGCAGGAGAATCTCTTGCTACAATGTGCTAACATAGTCTTATATAAAAATTATTTTATCATATGTGCAACTTCCCATCATCTTTGCTGTGTAATGCAACCCAATCAAGGGAGTTTATATTTGTTTATGTTATAGAAACAAATTATAATCCCACCACTTTTGCAATTTTTTGCAAAAGCAAAAAAAAGCAAGTTATAAATCCTTATAACTTGCTTTTGCAAAAGCAAGTTATAAATCCTATTCATACTCAGTGGGAGGATTATATAAGGGTGTGGCTCAGGGTCATCTTAGAATTCTGCCTACTGTACTTAGCTTGGGAATTCTCTTTCGTGTGGTATTTCTAACCAGGTACCATACTTGCTATTATGTTATTATAATCAATTTCTATTCATAGGATAGACTGACTCTAGAAGCAGCTTATAGTCCAATTCATACATAACAATATATTGCAATTCAGAATATATACATACTCATACATATACACAAATATATATAAATAATTATTTTTAGTTTCACATTCCATCATAAAATTAAAATCAGCCATGGTTCCATTTACACACTTGATACCTTGCCAGCAAATGTCTTCATAGTCTAGATATTTTGCAACCCGGTGATTCCTGTAAGGGAGAGTTTTATTACCTTACTGTCATTCAGACATTGAAGGAGGTGGTGACTTCTTTTGAAATGCAGCATACTTTGTTCTAAACCCTCTGAAAGACAGGCAATCTTTACTAAGATCAAACCTTCAAGATAATGTGAAACTATCTTTCTCTCTGGGCTGTATTAAAAATTTGATTGAAAATTTATCAGAAACTTTTAATGGATATTAATGTTCTTACACACGGTATGGTGGATAGGGTATGGATAGGATGCACTGTGCTTTCTGGGAAACGTTCCAAGCAATGGCTTAAGGGGACCACTATGAGGAATTTTCTTGCTTGGCTCTGTGACAAATGGCATGCCTGCTTAATCAAGACTAGGTGCAATATGGTTGCTGCCCTTTAACAAAACTATAATAGAAGATAAGAGACAAAAGAGATATGTAGTAGAGGTGGTTAGAGGGATAATGAAGCTTATAGATGAGGTGAGATGGCAAATGAGAACATTCCATCCAGAAAGGCTGAGAGTTGAGAGTTAAATCCTATCTCATGAAAATGATCACTAAACAGGTGCTTAGAAGTACAAGTTAAAGTGCCTCATTGTTGTATTTGGACAGCCTGAATAAGAAACTTGGCTTTGCTACTTATCAACTATGCTAACTTTGACTGAGTTATTAAACCTTATTAAGTTACCATTTCCTTAGCATCTGGGAGGATACAAATCACATACCTTACGTAAAGTTTGTTATAGTACTTGGCCCTAATAAACACAACAACAAAACAAGGAAACAAGCGGATGAACACTGAGCTACAAAGCGACGAAACATTTGCAGATTTCTTTATGTACCTTACCATCTAACGGGGAGGTGGAGAGTACTATACAAGTGAAAGAAAAGTTGCAGAGTGATCTCCCAAATTCCAGAGTCATGGCAGAAATCTCAGTCATCAAGAGAGGTGCTTTCTTCTTCTCTCACCCTGGGTGAGAGGCAAACAGGTGCTTGCTTGTTCTCTTACCCAGGGTCTAGAGGAAGCAATTTATTTATTTATCTGTTTCATCTATATCTCTTTCTCTAATTCTGTGTCAAAATTATTAAAATCCATTTTTATTTAACCTTTGCACCAAAGAAAAATGCCAAAATGTTTGAGCGTTTGCAGCTGTGATGCCTATGAGCTAATGAAGGTCAAGCAGACTAAGTCCCTGTGGAGAGACAACAAAGCTGGCACCGGAAATGATGTCTGGCTTGTTATAACGGTCAGTCTTTTTTTTTTTTTCTTCTGGAACCAGTTTTCCAGACAATGAAAAGATGATGATAATGAGTAAGAAGTTGAATCGTTGGAACTATGAATACAACCCACTGCCTGCTTGTACTTATTCATGAATATTTAAAGAGACTGGGCCCTCACTAGACACTGAACTTGCTGGTAACTTGATCTTTGACTTCTCAGCCTCCAGGACTGTGAGAAATAAATTTTATTATTTATGCATTACCCAGACTCAGGAATTGTGTTATAGCAGCACAAATGGACTAAGACGTTACCCCTTCTCAACTACACACACAGACACAACCACTGTGTTTCATTCTCCTAGATTCTGTAAATTGTTCAGCACAGATTTATACACTTTCCTAGATTATATGACAGAACTTATTGCCTCTAATTTTCTTTTTAATTTTTTTCGGAGAAGGAGTCTCGCTCTGTTGCCCAGGCTGAAGTGCAGTGGCGCGATCTCGGCTCACTGTGCAACCTCCACCTCCCGGGTTCAAGCAATTCTCCTGCCCTAGCCTCCCGAGTAGTTAGGACTACAGGCACAACACTGCCATGCCAGGCTAAGTTTTTGTATTTTAGTAGAGACGGGGTCTTACCGTGTTGCCCAGGCTGGTCTTGAACTCCTGAGCTCAGGCAGTCTGCCCGCCTCGGCCTCCCAAAGTGCTAGGATCACAGGCATGAGCGACCGTGCCCGGCCTCCTCTAATTTTCAAATAACTCCTAAATGTATTTTTCTTTCATGAGCTATTTTAGAAATACCAGATACTTTAAAAATATTTACACATTGAGAATTATTTGTTGCTGATTTAAAAAATAATTTGTGTATACATTTGGGAGGCCTAGTCTCAAGTAAACATTTTATTTAACTGCCTCCTCATTATCAATCATTAACAAAATGTAAAGCATGGCCAGAGAGAAATAAGGTTAATATTTGAGAGGGGTTCTTACCTGCAATTAAAAACTCTGTAAAATTATTTTAGTCGTGATATTGAACTTGGCAAATTCTGGGATGTAATTGTAAAGAGATTTCATTTTTTTCTCCTACTAAAACTTATTCATAAACCAAGTTTTACTTCTGTTCCTAGATGAAAACTTTCTGGAAATATTTAGGTAACATGAAGCCCCATGGTCAATAATTTAAATAATCTGGTTATAGGATATTCAAGACTTTTAACTGATATTAAGATTCCTGCCTTTCCCAACACAGGCTCAATTTTGGGTGGGAAGCCTGAAGTCGCAGACTGAGGCATGGACGTGGCTGGTTTCTTCTCTATGTTGTCACATAGTCTTCTATTCCTCCTCTTCTTCTATCTGCCTACCCCTAGTTCTGACTCTCCTTTGCTGCATCATGGTTAGGGAAAATAGGTGAGAAGTAAGGAGAATAGCTTGCACTTGATAGTTACCATCTTCAGTTGACAACATAATCTTTGGATCTGGCAGACATTTGAAACTGACTTTTTAATGATGATTTTAATGTGTTCTTTCATGACCCACCCCTGCCCTTTCGCTCGTCTATAAATTTGCCTTGATGAGAGTGATGGCATATTGCTGACACATCACTTACTCCTTTTTCAGTTCCTAAGCATTTGGAAATACTTTCAGATTCCCTCTAGTAAGCTGTTGACTTCTGCAGGCAATGCTCTTGTACAGGATCTTATATATCTTCATGGCTTTCTTGTTGACACCTTTGTATATATGATCAACATCTGTTCTCATGCCCTCGAAATTTTTCAGATGAAATTTAGACACCAGCCTTCTGAGTCCCTTATATTTAACCATCTTTAGTCTTGTGATGAGGTACCGGATCCTTCTGCAATTCTCCTTCCCCTTGGAGTTGAAGATAGTAAGTCACAACCCACTGACAGTTGCTCAAAAATCTAATAATCATCTTGAAGCTACTCTCTACAAAATTGAGAGTCAGGATGTAATACCACCCACAACTTCACTTAAAAGTGGGACTCATAGTAAAACTCTGTCCAAAAAAAAAAAAATCTTCGCAACTCTTCTCTGGTCCATTTTTGCCTTTGTTGTGTTAAGAGGTTATGAACAACCACGGATGACCACCTCCATTGTAAATGCATACCACCTTTCCAGTGTACTATCCACTGTGTCTTGGTTCCCTGGCCAAAACTTTCATTTCAACATTCTGTTATTCATGTAATAACACGTAGAGGTGTAGTCTCAACAATGATTTTATGAAAATTAAACAGGGTTCTTTATTCTTTTATTCAATAAATGTTTTAGAAACTTACATGCCAAATATTATTCTAGGCTTGAGAAATGAGATAATGAACAAGTTATATAGTATCCTTCCACCCATGAAGCTTCCATTATTTTGATAGCAGGCATATAGTTTTAAAAGGAAACAAATAAACATATAATGTAATTTCAGGGAAAGGAGGTAAAAGTGACAGTCTGCAGTTGAGTAGGAGGACTTTTTAGGGAAATTTGTGAAGAAAGATGTGTGAGAAAGTAGTATTTGTACGGAAGTGATTCAAATTAATTTAGAATGATTAAAACTACATTATGGAATAAAAGTATATGTATTTTAATATGCATAAGCACATCTGGAGAACTATGAATACTATGCAATGGGATTTTCATATATTTCTAGCTCGTCCTCCCTTAGTAAGTGGGAAGAATCTCTCACCTTTTCTAAGGAAGATTTCTTAATCTGGTATAATCAGTTTCCTCATGTTTCTCTTCAGTGGGTCCCACACAGCTGGCCTGCACTGGGATGTTTGTGACCTTGTATAAGGGCTCTTATTGCATTTTTAGACTATTCTTAGTCTCTGCTAATGAGATCGCTGAGAGTTCGCTTTGAGTATCACATCTTAATCACTTGATTTCTGCAGACGTTTCCTTTCTCCAAATAAACCCTTCAAAATGCCTGCTGCTCTGTGCTCATTAACCTGGGAATGGCT
This sequence comes from Homo sapiens, assembly GCF_000001405.40. NCBI lineage: Eukaryota > Metazoa > Chordata > Mammalia > Primates > Hominidae > Homo > Homo sapiens. Next base: position 40,159,245 of record NC_000011.10, on the reverse strand, counting down.
TCTCTAACTCCAATTTGAAAATTATCTTCGCCATCTGAAACTTCTGTCCTGATAAGGATTCTCCAAGCAGTTAACAATGGGAGAAATATTTTAGACTCTTTGGAGTACAAAAAAAACAACGACCAAATTTTCATCTGCAAGAGGATTTTCCCTATACGTAGAAATGTGCACTTTGCTTTTTCGCAGTGTAGTATAATTACAATCCATCCCCAACTCCACTATCTGTCCAATTCCCACTTAATCCTATCATGCTCAATAAGATTTAGATTATTTTAAGATAAGAAAAAAATCATGAGTGAATAAAGAAATGAATTTTAATCAACCAGGAAGTTTCATTTCATTTTGTTTTGTTTTTCTGATACTCTTTTCCTACTATTAATCCACAATTGATTTGATATGAGTTTCATGATGAAGACAGTAGCATTCATTTAAACAAACCCAACATAAGACTAGAATCAAATGTCAGTTTAAACATCTGAAACATGTTTTCATTTGCTAATGGATATTAGGTTGGATACCTGTATTCCTAAAGAGTGGGCACTTTGATGGATCACATTAAAAATCTTTCTGATGTACAAATGTTCTAATCCAGAGCCAGAGAGCAACAGCCCCTCTCTTCATCCTTGCCAAATTTCACATGCCAGGGAATCTATTTTTTTTTTTTTTGATAAGTATGTTTTAAGCTCTAATAATGCTATTTTAAAATAAACTTTTGGTTTTAGAATATCAAATCCTAAAATTTGTTTTGTTCTTAGGGACTAAAGACCCAATTGCATACCATAATTATTAAACTGAAACTATAGTCACAGATAAATGTAATTTTTAAAATTTTTTCCTTAAGTTATTGGGGTACAGGTTGTATTTGGTTACATGAGTAAATTTTTTAGTGGTATTTGTGAGATTTTGCTGCACCCATCACTTGAGCAGTATACACTGCACCATATTTGTAGTCTTTTATCCTTCATCCCCGCTTCCACTCTTCCCCCCAAGTCCCCAAAGTCCACTGTATCATTTTTATGCCTTTGTGTCCTCATAGCTTAGCTCCCACATATCAGTGAGAACATACGATGTATGGTTTCACATTCCTGAGTTACTTCACTTAGAATAATAGTCTCCAATCTCATCCAGGTCACTGCAAATACTGTTAATTCATTCCTTTTTATGGCTGCATAGTATTCCCTCATAGATCTATACCACAGTTTCTTTATCCACTCATTGATTGATGGGCATTTGGGTTGGTTTCATGATTTTGCAATTGTGAATTGTGCTGCTGTAAACATGTGTGTGCAAGTATCTTTTTCAAATAATGACTTCTTTTCCTCTGGGTAATCCTACCCAGTAGTGGAATTGCTGGAACAAATGGTAGTTTCTTACCTTTAGTTTTTTTAAGGAATCTCCACACTGTTTTCCATAGTGGCTGTACTAGTTCACGTTCCCTCCAGCAGTGTAGAAGTGTTCCCTGTTCACCGCATCCATGCCAGCATCTACTGTTTTTTGACTTTTTGATTATGGCCATTCTTGCAGGAGAAAGGTGCTTTTGCATTATGGTTTTGATTTGCATTTCCCTGATCATTAATGATGTTGAGCATTTTTTCATATATTTACTGGCCATTTGTGTGTCTTCTTTTGAGAATTGCCTATTCATGTCCTTAGCCCACTTTTGATGGGATTGTTTGTTTTTTCTTACTGATTTGTATGAGTTTGTGGTAGATTCTGGATATTAGTCCTTTGTCAGATGTATAGATTGCGAAGATTTTCTCCCACTCTGTGGGTTGTCTGGTTACTTTGCTGACTGTTCCTTTTGCTGTACAAAAGCTCTTTAGTTTAATTAGGTCCCAGCTATGTATCTTTGTTTTTATTGCATTTTTGGGGGGTTCTTGGTTATGAAATCCTTGCCTAAGCCAATGTCTAGAAGGGTTTTTCCAATGTTGTCTTCTAGAATTTTTATAGTTTCAGGTCTTAGGTTTAAGTCTTTAATCCAACTTGTGTTGATTTTTGTATAAGGTGAGAGATGAGGATCCAGTTTCATTCTCCTACATGTGACTAGCCAATTACCCCAGCACCATTTGTTGAAGGGGTGTCCTTTCCACACTTTATGTTTTTGTCGGCTTTGTCAGAGATCAGTTGGCTGTATCTGGGTTTATTTCTGGGTTCTCTATTCTGCTGCATTCGTCTATGTGCCTATTTTCATACCAGTACCACTCTGTTTTGGTGACTATGGCCTTATAGTGAAGTTTGAAATCAGGTAGTGTGATGCCTCCAGATTTGTTCTTTTTGCTTAGTCTTGCTTTGGCTATACGGGCTCTTTTTTGATTCCATATGAATTTTAGAATTGTTTTTTCTAATTCTGTAAAAAATTGTGTGGTATTTTGATGGAAATTGTGTTGAATTTGTAGATTGCTCTTGGCAGTATACTCATTTTCACAATATTCATTCTACCCTTCCATGAGCATGGGATGTGTTTCCATTTGTTTGTGTCATCTATGATTTTTTTCAGCAGTGTTTTGTAGTTTTCCTTGTAGAGGTCTTTTGACTCCTTGGTTAGGTATATTCTAAGTGTTGTTGTTGTTGGGTTTTTTTGTTTGTTTGGTTGCTTGGGTTTTTGTTTTTGTTTCTGTTTTTTGTTTTTTGTGGTTTTTTTGCAGCCATTGTAAAAGAGGTTGAGTTCTTGATTTGATTCTCTGCTTGGTTTCTGTTGGTGTATAGAAGAGCTACTGATTTATGTACATTAATCTTGTATCCAGAAACTTTGCTGAATTCTTTTATCAGTTCTAGGAGCTTTCTGGATGAGTCTTAGTGTTTTCAAGGTAAATGATCATATCTTCAGCAAACAGTGACAGTTTGACTTCTTCTTTACTGACTTGGATGCCCTTTATTTCTTTCTCTTGTCTTATTGCTCTGGCTAGGACTTCTAGTACTATGTTGAAGAGGAGTGGTGACAGTGGGCATCCTTGTCTTGTTCATTCAGAGGGAATGCTTTCAACTTTTCCCCATTCGGTATTATGTTGGCTGTGGGTTTGTCATAGATGGCTTTTATTACATTCAGGTATGTCTCTTGTATGCTGATTTTGCTGAAAGTTTTAATCATAGAGCAATGCTAGATTTTGTCAAATGCTTTTTCTGCATGTATTGAGATGATCATGTGATTTTTGTGTTTAATCCTGTTTATGTGGTGTATTACATTTATTGACGTGCGTATGTTAAACCATCCCTGCATCTATGGTATGAGACACACTTGATCATGGTGGATTATCTTTTTGATACGTTGCTGGATTCGGTTAGCTAGTATTTTGTTAAGGATTTTAGCATCTATATTCATGAAAGATATCAGTCTGTAGTTTTCTTTTTTGGTTGTGTCCTTTCCTGGTTTTGGTATTAGGGTGATGCTGGCTTCATAGAATGAGTTAGGGAAGGTTCTTTCTTTATCTTGTGGAATAATGTCAAAAGGATTGGTATCAATTCTTCTTTGAACATCTGGTAGAATTCTGCTGTGAATCCGTCTGGTCTTGGACTTTTTTTTGTTGGTAATATTTTAGTTATCATTTCAATCTCACTGCTTGTTATTGGTCTGTTCAGGGTATCTGATTCTTCCTCATTTAAGCTAGGAGGGTTGTCTTTTTCCAGGAATTTATCCATCTCTTCTGGGTTTTCTAATTTATGTGCATAAAGGTATTCATGGTAGCCTTGAATGATCTTTTGTATTTCAGTGGTGTCAGTTGTAATATCTCCTGTTTTGTTTCTTAGTGAGGTTATATGGATTTTCTCTCTTCTTTTCTTGGTTAAGCTTGATAATGGTCTATCAATTTTATGTATCTTTTCAAAGAACCAGGTTTTGTTTCATTTATCTTTTGTATTTTTTTAATTTCAATTTCATTTAGTTCTGCTCTCATCTTGGTTTTTCCTTCCTTCTGTTGGGTTTGGGTTTTGTTTGTTCTTCTTTTTCTAGTTTCTTGAGGTGTGACCTTAGATTGTCTCTTTGTACTCTTTCAGAGTTTTTGATGTGGGCATTTAGGGCCATAAACTTTCCTCTTACCAACGCCTTTGCTGTATCCCAGAGTTTTGATAGGTTGTGACATTATTGTCATTCAGTTTGAAGAATTTTTTAATTTTCATCTTGATTTCATTTTTGACACAGTGCCCATTCAGGAGCAGGTTATTTAATTTCCATGTATTTATTTCCACCTATTTTAAAGGTTCTTTTTGGAGTTGATTTCCAGTTTTATTCCACTGTGGTCTGAGAGAGTGCTTGATATAATTTCAATTTTCTTCAATTTATTGAGGCTCATTTTATGGCCTATCATATGGTCTACCTTGGAGAAAGATCCACGTGCTGTTAAATAGAATGTGTATCCTGTGGTTGTTGGATGAAATATTCTGTATATTCGTTTAAGTCCATTTGTTCCAAGGTATAGTTTAAATCCATTGTTTGTTTGTTGACTTTCTGTCTTAAGAACCTGACTAGTGCTGTCAGTGGTGTATTGAAGTCTCCTACTATTATTGTGTTGCTGTCTATCTCATTTCTTAGGTTTATTCATAATTGTTGTATAAATTTGGGAGTTCCAGTGTTAGGTGCATATATGTTTAGGATTGTGATATTTTCCTGTGGGACAAGGCCTTTTACCATTACATAATGTCCCTCTTTGCCTCTTTTAACCACTGTTGCTTTAAAGTTTGTTTTGTCTGCTATAGGAATAACTACCCTGGCTCACTTTTGGTGTTCATTTGCTTTTTCCACCCCTTTACTTTAAGTTTATTTGAGTCTTTATGTGTTAGGTGAGTCTCCTGAAGGTAGCAGATAGTTGGTTGGTGAGTTCTTATCCATTCTGCAGTTCTGTATCTTTTAAGTGGAGCATTTAGGCCATTTACATTTAATGTTAGTATTGAAATGTGAGGTACTGTTGCATTAATTGTGTTCTTTGTTGCCTGTGTACTTTGCTTTTTGTTTTTTTTTTTTTTTTGCTTTTTAGCTTGTATTTTTGTTTTATAGGCAAATGGTAATGGCGAATTCATTCAGCATTTGTTTGTCTGAAAACAACTGTATCTTTCCTTCATATGTGATGCTTAGTTTTGCTGGATACAAAATTCTTGGCTGATAATTGTTTTGTTTGAGAAGGGTGAAGATAGGGCCCCAATCCCGTCTAGCTTGCAGGGTTTATGCTGAGAAATCTGCTGTTCATCTGATAGATTTTCCTTTATAGGTTACCTGGTGCCTCTGTGTCACAGCTCTTAAGATTCTTTCCTTCATCTCAACTTTGGGTAATCTGATGACAGTGTGCCTAGGCAAACATCTTTTTGTAATAAATTTCCCAAGTGTTCTTTGTGCTTCTTGTATTTGGATGTCTAGTTCTCTAGCTAGGCCAGGGAAGTTTTCCCCAAATATGTTTTCTGAGCTTTTAGAATTCTCTTCTTCCTCAGGAACACTGATTATTCTTAGGTTTTTTTCATTTAACATACTCCCAGTCTTCTTGGAAGTTTTATTCATATTTTCTTATTCTTTTTTCTTTATCTTTGTTGGATTGGGTTAATTCGAAGACATTGTCTTCAAGCTCTGAATTTCTTTCTTCTACTTGTTCAATTCTATTGCTGAGACTTTCCAGAGCATTTTTCATTTCTAAAAGTGTGTCCAAAGATTCCTGAATTTTTTATTGTTTTTTTTTTTAAGCTATCTATTTCATTGAATATTTCTCCCTTCACTTCTTAATATCATTTTTTGTATTTCCTTGCATTGGGCTTCACCTTTCTCTGGTCCCTCCCTGATTAGCTTAATAACTAACCTCCTGAATTCCTTTTCAGGTAAATCAGGGATTTTTACTGGTTTGGATCCATTGCTGGTGAACTAGTGTGATTTTCAGGGGGTGTTGAAGAGCCTTGTTTTGTCATATTACCAGGGTTGGTTTTCTGGCTCCTTCTCATTTGGATAGGCTCTGTCAAAGGGAAGGTCTAAGGCTGAAGGCTGTTGTTCAGATTCTTTTGTCCCATGGGGTGTTCCCTTGATATAGTACTCCCCACTTTTCCTATGGACATGGCTTCCTGTGAGCCAAACTGCAGTGATTGTTGTCTTTCTTCTGGGTCTAGCCACCCAGCAAGTCTGCTCGGCTCCAGGCTGGTACTGGGGCTTGTCTGCACAAAGTCCTGTGATGTGAACTGTCTATGGGTCTCTCAGTCATGAATATCAGCACCTGTTCTGTTGGAAGTAGCAGAGGGTTCAATGGACTCTGTGAGGGTCCTTAGCTTTGGTGGTTTAATGCTCTATTTTTGTGCTCATTGGCCTCCTGCCAGGAGGTGGTGCTTTCCAGAAAGCAGCAGCTGTGGTAGTGTGGAGAGGGACAGGTAGTGGACAGGGCCCTGCAACTCCCAATATAATATGCCCTTTGTCATCTGCTATGAGGGTGGATAGGGAAGGACCATCAGGTAGAGGTGGGACCAGGCGTGTCTGAGCTCAGACGCTCCTTGGGCATGTCTTGCTGTGGCTGCTGTGGGGGATGGGGGTGAGATTCCCAGGTCACTGGAGTTGTGTACCTAGGAGGATTATGGCTGCCTCTGCTGAGTCATGCAGGTTGTCAGCTAAGTGGGGGAAAGCTGGCAATCACAGGCCTCACCCAGCTCCCACACAAACTGAAGGGCCGGTCTCACTCCCACTGTGCCCCACAACAGCCCGGAGTCTGTTTCCAGGCAGAGGGCGAGAGGGACTTGAAAACTTGCTGGAGGCTATCTGCCTCCCAGGTGCAAAAGAAAATGGCTTTAGTTCTTCCCCTGCCTGTGAAGTCTGCATGCCGAATTTGTGCCCTCCCTTGAGTTCTGGCCAAGAGGCTTCTCGCCCCCTTCAAATAGTAACAAAGTTCATCTAGGGAATTCCTTCTCCCTGTGGAGTTTTACCCCCTGCCACCCTCCCAGTGGATCCCCGTGGTGCCAGGCAGGAATGGGCTGCTTGGGGACCCAGCGAACTCCCAAGGCCTTTCTGCTATTTCTTCTGCCCCTATATTTTACTTGGCTCTCTAACTTGACTGAGCTCCAGGTAAAGTTAGAAACTTCTCCCGCAAACAGACCTTCAGCTTCTCCAGCGGGGGTGTGCGTTTGGAGAGGAGGGTCTCCCCTTCCTACTTCCACAGATGGGGCACTCACAGTATTTGGGGTGTCTCTCGAGTCCTGCAGGAGCAGTCCATTTCCTTCAGAGGGTCTGTGGTTCCTCTTGGGATTGCCGGTTTGTTCTTGCAGGCCATCTGGAGCTAAAATTCACAGTGCAAGCCTCTGGATGCTGCTCTGTCTGAGCTGCAATCTAGTCCTGCATCCCACCATGATCCCTTCCATCACGATAAATGTAAATTTTGAAGCTGAAATTATTCTGAAAAATTTAGTTTACTTTAAAATAAGCTTGGCAGGCACTTACCAGAATTAAATAGTTGTAGAATTTCTGGAGTATCTTCTGGGAACAACTCACAGAGGAATAGCCTAATGTCACAGAATAATGACAGAGATCTCATGTTGCCTTGTTTCTTCCCCAGAATCCAAAAGTATAGGCTTCCAGCTATATTTTATTATAATGGTTTACTCAATATGAAAATTTGGCCTTCATCAAGGGGGCTTCACTTTATAAACTTTAGCACAACTGTAGCATATTTCCATTTTTTGTCTCTACCTTCCGCGAACTACTTCAGAACAATTTAAGGCTGAGTTCTTAATCAGAATTTCGTACTAGCAAGGGAGAAACATTATACTTGACTTGAAATTATAATTTCTTGAAAAGATATAACTATGAGAATTGATATTATTTTGATGATACAAATTTTTTTGTGTATCTGACCTAGAAAAACAGTCTAGAAACTCTAGTTCCATAGAGGCTTACGTACTGGGTGTATGCATGCCACTGGGATAAGAATTGCTGTATAATTGGGCTCTGAATCTTTGTTACTTGTGTTTTCAAAGAGTTTTCAATCACCTCGATCTAAATAAAATGGAAAAAATCCCTGACATTTCAGAGTCTGTTGTCTGGTTGTGGTTTGGATGCCTCAGGAAACTGCATTGGAGTGGGAATTAGAATAGCCTTGTTTTAAAGCAAAATTTGTCACTGGACAGGGCAAACTCTTGGGGAAAAGTTAGAGAAGGCACAGAATGCCACAAAAACTAGAAAGAGAACTAGACTAACAGAGAAGATAATATTTTCAAAGGCCTAAGAATAGCTAGGGAGGTGGAGGTGATCCCTTGACACAAATACTCTTGCAGGCATATGGAGCATGGCAGTGGGGAGTTCAGAAGCAGATGACATTTAGGTAGTTGCACTGGTAGTTGGCAGATGGCATTTTTTTTTATTTCTCTCACCACCACCCCCATATGTAATCCCTAAGCAAATCTTAACTCTCTCTACCTCCATAACAAATTCTTAATCTTCTACTTCTATTTCTACTGCTACCAAAGATCAAACCATCTCTCTCATGTATCACTGATCTACTTCTCCCTTCAATTAGTTCTCATACATGGTCAGAATGGTAGATTGAAAGTCTAAATCAGGCTGGGCACGGTGGCTCATGCCTGAACTAGCACATTGGGAGGCTGAGGCAAGAGGATTTCTTGAGCCTCAGGGGTTTGAGAACAGCCTGGACAAGATGGTGAGACCAGGTATCTACGAAAATTAAAAATTAAAAAAATTAGCCAGGCATGGTGGTGTGTGCCTGTTATCCCAACTACTCAAGAGGCTGAGGCCAGGAGTTTGAGGCTGTAGTAAGCTATGATCATGCTACCGCAATGTAGCTTGGGCAACAGAGCAAGACCATGTCTCTTTTAAAGAAACAAGTCTAAGTCAAACTATATTATTTTCTAATGTAAAATTCTCTATGAGTTTTTCATTGCATATAGAATACAAAGAAATTGCTTTACCTGGCCTGCAAGGCCTAGCTCTCTGAAGTATGTTGGATGGTTTTACACAAAAAATCTACATACTAGCCCCCAGAAGCCAGATGTGACCTTATTTGGAAAAAACAGTCTTTGTGTACATAATTAAGTTGAGGATCTTGAGATTAGATCATCCTGGATTATCCAGGTGGACCCCAAATACAATGACAAATGTCCTCATAGAGACACATAGAGGAGAGACACAGGGAGAAGAGAAGAAGGGCCATATGGGGGTAAAGAAAGAGAATGGAGTCATGTAGCCACAAGCCAAGGAAGACCTAGAGCCACCAAAGTTGGAAAAAGCAAGGAAGAATTCTCCCCTAGGGCTTTTGAAAGGAGTACAGCCCTGGCAGCATCTCAGTTTCAGACTTCCAGCTTCCAGAACTGCAGAAGGATACATTTCTGTTGTTTTATATCATCAAGTTTGTGGTAATTTGGTGTGGCAACCACAGGAAACTAATACTTTCACCACCCACATCTCTGACTCTTTTGCCTGCCCCTGTTATGTCTACTAGACTGGCCTATTTCTTCCCCATATTATTCTTTAAGTACAACATTCTCCTTAAAAATTGAAGACTTTATGTTAGCTATTCTCTCTTCCTGGAATATTTTTCTCCCAGATGTTTTTATATCTAAGTTCTTTCTTATCATTCTTGAATTTACACATCTCTTTTTCAGAGGGGCCTTACCAGACCATCAATTTAATGTTTTCTCTCAAACTCTCCCTGCTTGCAGACAACATGATCCTGTATCTGGAAAGCCCCATAGTCTTAGCCCCAAAGCTCCTTAAGTTAATAAATAACTTCAGCAAAGTCTCAGGATACAAAATTAATATATAAAAATCACTAGCATTCCTATACACCAACAACAGTCAAGCCAAGAGCCAAATCAGGAACATAATCCCATTCACAATTACCACAAAAAGAATAAAATACCAGGAATACAGCTAACCAGGGAGGTGAAAGATCTCAACAATGAGAACTACAAAACACTCCTCAAGGAAATCAGAGATGACATAAACAAATGGGAAAACATCCCATGCTCATGAACAGGAAGAATCATTATTGTTAAAATGGCTATACTGCCCAAGGCAATTTATAGATTAACTGATATTCCTATTAAATAGCCAATGACATTCTTCACAGAACTAGAAAAGATTATTTTAAAATTCATATGGAACCCCTGTTCCCTTAACACCCACAAAAAGCCCAAGTAGCCAAGGCATTTAAAGAACAAAGCTGGATACATCACACTACCCAACTTCAAACTATAGTACAGGGCTTCAGTAATCAAAACAGCATGGTACTGGTACAAAAACAGACACATTAATGGAACAGAATAGAGAGGCCAGAAGTAATGCTGCACTCCTACAACTATCTGATCTTTGACAAAGCTGACAAAAACAAGCAATGTGGAAAGGACTCCATATTCAATTAATAGTGCTGGGGTAACTGGCTAGCCATATGCAAAAGATTCAAACTGGACCCCTTCCTTACACCATATACAAAAATTAACTCAAGATGGATTAAAGACTTAAATGTAAAACACAAAACCATAAAAACTCTGGAAGACAATCTAAGCAATACCATTCTGGCCATAGGAACAGGCAAGAATTTAATGATGAAGACACCAAAAGCAGTTGCAACAAAGCAAAGATTGACAAATAGGATCTAATTAAACTAAGGATCTTCTGCACAGCAAAAGAAACTACCAACAGAATAAACAGACAACCCCCAGAATGGAAGAAAATATTTACAAACTATGCATCTGACAAAGGTCTAATATCCAGCATCTATAAGGAACTTAAACTAATTTACAAGAAAATAACAAATAACTCCGTTAAAAGAGGGCAAAGGACATGAACAGACACTTTTTTAAAAAAGACATACATGTGGCCACAAGCATATGACAAAAAGCTCAACATCACTGATCATTAGAGAAATGAAAAACAAAACCACAGTGAGATATCATCTCACACCAGTCAGAATGGCTATTATAAAAAGTCAAAAAATGACAGATGTCAGTGAGGTTGTGGAGAATAAGGAATGCTTATGCATTGTTGGTAGGAGTGTACATTAGCTCAACCATTGTGGAAAACAGTGCGGCAATTCTTCAGAGACCTAAAGTCAGAAACACCATTTGATCCAAATCATTCTACCACAAAGACACATGCACTTATATGTTCATTGCAGCACTGTTCACAACAGCAAAGACATGGAATCAACCTAAATGCCTATCAATGGTAGATTGGATAAAGAAAATGTGGTACATATATACCATAGAATACTATGCAGCCATAGTATGGACATGGATGAAGCTGGAGGCCGTTATTCTTAGCAAAGTAGCACAGGAACAGAAAACCAAATATTGCATGTTCTTACTTATAAGTGGGAGCTAAATGATGAGAACACATGGACACACAGAGGGGAACAACACACACTGGGGCCTATCAGGGTGAGGGTGGGAGGAGGGAGAGGATCAAGAAAAATAACTAATGAATACTAGGCTAAATACCTGGGTGATGAAATAATCTGTACAACAACCCCCATGACACAAGTTTACCTATATTACAAACTTGCACATGTACCCCTGAACTTAAAACAAAAGTTACATAAAAAGAAAAAGAAAAAATAAAGTTTCCTCTCAATTATTCTGTTTTTTAATTATTTTCTTTTCATCTCGACAATTATGTCTACCTCATCTTTTTTTTTAATTATTTATTATCTGTCTAACCTACAAAAAGTAAGCCCCATGAAGTGAGAGGTCTTCACTGTCTGATTCATTGCAGAATCCCCAGTGTCTAGAACAGTCTCTGCTCTTAAGATATTAATTAATGTTGAATGAGAAAAAAATGCAGAAGAAAGGCTATCAGTGCTGGAGGAAGTTAGGGTGATAAGGTTGGAATCTAGAAATTTGAGCAGCAAGCCAGGTTCTTAGTTTTGAGGCTCTGGGAGATTGGATAGTTATAATAAAAAGAACTAGATTTATGCAGCAGGACAGGGATCCTGTAAGAGATCTGAAATAAATATGGAGGTGTGGTCTTGGAACCAAACTGGAAAAATTTCCCAAAGTCGTATAGGGTACAGAGTAGAACTTTTGAAGCCTAAGATTAGTAATGATGTCATGAGGCTGTGTGAGAGTTAGGCCTAACAAGATGGCCAGGATTTGTTCTACCTGCAAGTGGCGGTCAGTGCCCACTATTAAATTGAGAGAAGGGCTAATGAAGTTGGGAAAAAGTCAGGCACTTGCAACATGAGGCAGCAGCTATAATTCCCAACTGCTTTGGTAAAGAGAACACTTGGCTTTCTGATAATCTAGACATAACCATTTTCTAGTGGATTAAATCTAGGAGACTAGGTCCTTCCCAAAAGGGCCCACTTTGAGTAAAGTTTAAGTTTGAAAGCAATGACTTAATTTGATCCTGTGTGCTCTCAATGGTGCTATACCAATGCAACCTAGAAAGCGCTATACCCAATGTCAGGCTGACACAGAGTTCCCACAGTATCTAGATACCAGTGTTGAGCAGGAAGTCCATCCCTCATGGTGTCATTATTCAACTTTTTGTGCCTTGTCTACCTTATTGTCAGTTTAAGAAGCTTAATGAGGATGTCCTAGTCCAATTCAGAAATTAAGGAAAACATATCATCTGAGGATAAGGAATATTGTTTCAGAATAATGTAAACCAGGAGGACTATTTGTAGATGACTGGAAGGTCTTAGAAGCCATTCCGTCAGGAACACCATCTTTGTGATTTTCTACAGGTTGGAGAGTGTCCTTATGCAGCATCCTTGGGGGCTCTTTGTGACTATTTTCTAAGTTAGCTTAATGACAACAGTCAGAGACATGTGGAAATTGTATTTTAAGGCTTATAGCCATTTTAGAGTTCCTATAGATAGGGTCTGTTGAGGCATCCCCTCAGCGGGTATAACTTGTCTCATAGAAGGTATTTCAGCATTTTTCACTCTCTCTGACTTTCCCCTAGGTTTGCTATTGTTATTGTTAGGTGTATATTTTGAAAATGACAAACAATCAGGTTGAGGAAAAGGTCTATAGTGTGTTTGTGTCTGTGGGCACAAATGTGGAATAAATATATATAATGCACAGTGGCTGATATTTTGTGTCATTTATCTTCACTTGTGAAAAAAGATGGGATAAGTCACTGATGACTGTTCCAGTCCTGATCCATCCTTCATCACTACACTCATGAAGATAAATGCCACATTTAAGGAGAGCACAGCTATCATGTGTCCTTTCAGACTGGAGAGTCAGATCAGTTAGAGCAAGAGGTCAATCAGGTGCTGTTACTTAAAAATCAAGGACATTTTATATATACCATCTTCTACCCCATATACCTTGCTCTCTCCTATTAAACTAGGGTACTTCTAGCAGCCAGAGGATGATTTGGTAGCATTTATAATTTCATCTATGTCTACAGATATGCATTTAATTTAAACAATTCATTTCCTGGTATATGCCCAGCATAGAGCTTTGCAGTGACAACGCACTGATTAAAAGAATATTGTCCTGGTCCTTATACTGATAAATATTATAATGAAGCAAACACTATAGAAAAAAATAATAAAGTGGTTAATTTTTTCTGTGAGCAAGTTAAGTGAGAAAGGAGTAAGTGAGAACTGTTGAGAAGTGGTAATATTTAAACTGCTATATTAGAGAAAACAGTATGGACACTTTATCTTTCTGTAATGTACAAATGGCAGCATGACTGGATTTTAAGCTATGGTAAGGCAAATGGATGACTTCTCTGCTCTAGCTTGTAGATCCTGGTATAGGTAATCAATAGATAAGGTCCCTTTATAACTCTGTAACTGAATGAACTATTCCGGTTTTAATTTTAATTACCCTTTCACAAATTGAATATTTGAGGTTACATTGAAATAAAAGTATTGGCTTTTTTTCCCATTGGTTGAGACATAAAAGTTTATGTAACTAGACCTAAGCTGAAAAGGATTTCCATAGATCCTAGAAATTTGATTGGCCAACTGGGCACTTCTAAAATCATTATTTCTCTTTGGAAACTATTGTTTTGAACAATATAAAACTGTTGATAGTCACCAGTTTTTGACCTAGGAGGTGACAATTTGATGAGATTCTCTGTAATCATGCTAATTGATTATATAGTTTAAATTTTGGGATATGCTTTAGTTGCTTTTTTCTATATATAAGTTTATTTCACCAAATAAGCTATTTCATTATCTTATTCAAGAAACATTTATTGAACACATATTACACAGCAGTTACTGGGGTGTATGCATGCCCATGGAATGGAATATGTTGGCTGTCCCAGGGGGCATGCAGTCTAATGAGGCAGAAAGACACATAAGCAAGCAAGTACGAGTTGGAAAACTAGCACACTGGTTGATAGTTGCCCAACAAATGTTCTTTCCCTTCTTCTCACATTGGACATAGAAGTGCAATGTGTTAAAGGAACACAGAAGAGTGAGTCTCTATAAATGTAAACAACCTGGAAGGATTCATTGCAGAAAATACCTCCTGTTTACCTTGTGTTAAAAGACCATGTAATAGGGAGATCACTAGCCTACGGCTTCAAATATTTGATTTCTTCTATTAACTCATCACATATTAGGGCTTTTATTAAACCTTAATCACATTATTTAACTTTCTTATACTTTAACTTTCTTAACTGCAAAATGAAAAATTATAATCTCATTCGCCTTCCTCCTATATTTGTTGAGGGTCAGATAGGGTAATACACATGAAACAATTTTTCAAATTATAATTTATAGTATTAACAAAAGATACAATCTTCATCATCATCTTTCTTATTGCCAGTCTTGTTTTCAACAAGACCTTTCAACAAAGTGCTATGTAAAAGATCAAGGAGGATTATCACCTTGTTTTATATTTTCCCAAGTCCAGGCTTAATAATACATCTGGGGACAAGTACCACATTTGGCCTTAAATCATCATTTTAGAAAAGTAGATGAGTTGTTTAGCCATTTGTAAGTGTTTCGAACAGTGCTCAATAAACAATGAATGAAGGGTCTGCTGGTAGCAGATGGATAGTTATGTTCAGCATTTTTTTAATGAAGGAGAATTTAGAAAAATACATATAATTCAAAGAAATTAACTCTCAGATAATTATCGTTTCCATTATTAGAGAATGTATGACATGCCAGGCTTGTTGGTTTATGGGTATCATCTCATTTCAAGTTTAGAACAACCTTTTGAAGTTGACTCTATTATTATCACCTTAATTTTACAGATGAGGAAATTGAAACCTAAAAAAATTATATAACTTCCCACAAGCCACAAAATGACTATCTCTGATGATAGAATTTATGAACTTAACTGCTATACCTTTTACAGCTCTGATCTAGCTATCGTTACCACCCCCATGTTTATTCTCTCCTTCCTACTTAGTAATCTCCATTTTCTCCAGAAAAGCCCTCAAGGAAGGCACTGATCTCTCTGAGCTTTAGTTTCCTCACCTATAAAATGGGGCTACTTTTGGAGATTCATCAATAAACAAATCATATAAACTCCATATCCTGGGAACTCATATTCTAGTTGGAGGAGACAGAAAACAAATATGTACATGTTATCTCTAGTTTTGAGATGTTTTATCAAGCGAAATAAAACAGAATAAGGGGACAGAGAATTATGAGAACAAGGATGGTTATGTTTTAAGCAACATAACCAGGGAAGACCTCTCTGAGCAGGTTTAGCAGAGCCCTGAAGGAAGTAAAGAAGCAAAGTATACAGGTATTTGCATGAAAGGTGGCACTGTTGTCATGGAGTGCAGGTGTAGGTATAGGTCTGTCTGGGTGAAGGGCATTCCAGGCAGAGGAACAGCATGTGCAAGGCCCCTGAGAAAGCACTATGTTTGGTGTGCAGGAGAAACAATAAGGAGCCAGTGTGGTAGTCAGAGCAGAGTGAATATGAACGATTGTTGTAGGAAAATGAGATCAAAGAAGCGGGAGAGATGCAGGAAAAAAAAATTATGACTGGCCATTAGGACTTTAATATTACTCTGAGTGTTGCGAGAAGCCATTGAGCATTGAGAAGGAACATGATCTGACTTTAATTCAAATAGGATCCCTCCACTATGTGGAGAAATTAGAAGCAGGAAAACCAGATATTGGACCAGGCTATGGAATACTCCAATTATCCAGATAGAAATTGGACCAAGACATAGCAATAGATGTGTTTGGAGAAAAAAACAGAATACTGATACACAGAATTTCCAATGCATGGGTGATAGGATATAAAGGTGATAAGATGTAGAGGTGATACAATCCAAAAAGAGAGGGTATGAGACCAAAAAAACGTTTCAAGGTAGATTTTGGCCTGAGCACTAGAAAAATCATTCCTGAAATGGTGCTTGGCACACAGTAAGAGCTTAAAATATATAGTTGTATGAATGAATGAATGCAACTGCCATTAGAAAAAGTCTTTGTCGGGTTAAATCAAAATGAAGAGTTTGACTGTAGACAGGTTGATTTTTGAAGCCTCCAAGTGGAGGTCTTGAAAAAGCAGTAGTATATACAAGTCTGCAAGCCTGCTGGAGATTTAAGTTTGGCAGTCTTCAGTTTATAGATGGTGTTTAAAAGCATTATACGACCACCTAGAGAGTGAGTATAGATAAATAAGAGGTCCACTGATTTGAGACCTGGGGCACTCCAAGGTTCATTGGCCTGTGAGACAAGACACAACCAGCAATGGATGTTGAGTAGAGTTATCACTGAGGCAAGAGGAGAAGCAAGGGAGTCGTTTTGTAGGAGCCAAGTGCAAAAGGTGTTTCATAAAGGACAGAGTGATCATTATGTCAAACATTAATAATTTTTGCCTAATATGAAAATTGAGAACCGGCTATTTGATTTAGCAATAAACATGTTTTCACCTCCCACCTTTTCTTTGCCTCTCTACACACACTAATTGTTACCTACAGCCTTGCTCTAAAGTTATAAATCCCAAGCACATTAAATTCCGATTCATATTTCATATATCCTACTGAAGGGTAGTTAATACTTCTTGAAACCATGAGATTTGGGAAAACATTTTATAAAATCGAGGTTTTTTTTTTTTTTTTTTTTTTTTTTTGAGACAGAATCTCACTGTGTCACCCGACTGGAGTGCAGTGGCATGATCTTGGCTCACTGCCACCTCTACCTACCAAGTCCAAGCAATTCTGCCTCAGCCTCCCAAGTAGCTGGGACTACAGGCGTGCACCACCATGCTGGCTAATTTTTGTATTTTTAGTGGAGACAGGGTTTCGCCATGTTTGCCAGGCTGGTCTTGAACTCCTGACATCAGGTGATCCACCCACCTCGGCCTCCGAGAGTGCTGGGATTACAGGTGTGAGCCACTCCGCCTGGCTGAGTTATCCATTTATTTAAACCTATGGACAGAAAATCCACAGATCATCTTTAAAATACATTTTGATCATATTCAGTTTTACTTGCATAATAATAACATTCATTAGTGATATATTGCTATGACATTTGAAAAGCACTTTTATTTACATTGTCTGTTCCAGACAAAATCATCTAATACAGTAAAATGCCCATCTGTGAAGCTTACACCATCAGATTATACCACCTGCTAACAACTTCTTGTTGGAGTCAGCCATAGCCCTGTGCTTCACTCCTCCTTGTCCCTTGAAGATTTTAACATCTGCCTCCCTGTTGTTCTCTCCATACTTACTCTTGATAGGCTTCTTGGTGATTTTAATATCCATGTCAGTCCCTTGATCTTGATTACTAATTGTGAGGGATCTTTCTATCTGCAGTTCCTCTGGGTTTCCTCTTTGTACAGTCTGTACCAACTATATTTCCAAGGTTGGAAGACCTGTATTTGTTGGAATTACAGCAAGTTTCTTTTACTTCATTATACTTTGTAAAATGTGAGCTCTCTCTCTTAGGATCTCTTTGCTTTAAGTACTGTACATGGCCCTCAGTCTCAGATTATGATTTTTATTCTGTCAGTGCCACAGGAGTAGTGGGGTGAGATGAGAGATGTGTAGAGAGAGGAAAGATTTTATATCTTTCTTGTTTGGGGATGTGGTGTTGGTGGTGGGCAATCCCAAATAGAATTTGCAGCAGATGCCTATGTCAGATTCTTAACATCCCATTTGACTTTAATAATTGAGTTTTCTATTTAACCCTTTCCTATCCATCATTATAATGCATTATCCAATTTAATCTTATGATGTGGTTCTGATCAGGACACTAGATCACAGAGAAAATGTGACTTACTTAAGGTCATGTATCTAATAAGACTACATTTCTTGTAAGTCCAAATGCATTTTTATTGGCATTAAAAAATGCATTGTTCAAAATGGCCAGTAGTTAAGAGAGTTGCTTTGGCTTTCTGCCCAGGATAGTGTTAAAATACAGTGGCAATTCAATAAATGTCATCAGTGGTGTCTGTGGTTGGTGGTTGTGGTGGTGGCAGATCAAGAATTGTCCTGAATTATTCTAATGGATGCTTTTTTTTCTTTTCTTTTCTTTTTTTTTTTTTTTTAGATTGGCAAACGCACTGCCTACTTACAGCATAGAGACCCCCAGTGGAGAGCTAGGTGGGTGATGATTCATACTAAATCTTTCCCACAGTATGCTGAACACTACAACTGCAGCTAATGTGAAGTGACTCGTTATACACTGTCAAACCTGATAACGGCAATGACTGGTTTTGCTAGCACGAGCAATTTGTGGGAAGTCCAGCTACTGAAAACCACTACTGAATTTCAAAAAATAAGCCGCAATATAGTAGAAAAGACATATCCACTGAGTCATATTTGCAAATTTCTTGTGTTTCTCTTTGCCAGTTTAGAAACAGCCTCATGTTCCCTGCTTGACTCGAGAGATGACTTACCTTGGGATTCACTTATCTTGTGAGTGCCTCCTCATTCAGTCATATTTTATGGGCTAAATATTTTATAAGAGTATTGGTGGCTCATGGACAGAACTGGAAATGTGGTTCTCCCATGGCAATATTTCTGAAGCTCCCTCTTTACACCACCATCCACCAGCAAACCATCGCATACACATAAACGTATTTACCTTCTGTAGCACTGTTTCCATGAGTGGTAGTTCTACCTGCAGAGAGAAAAGATGAGGAGGCAGCAGGAGGCAGGAACACTGACTCTTTGCTCTATGATTTATTGTATCATCATTAAATTGTAATCTCCTTGAAGGCAGGATTCTAATCTTACCTACTTGGCACCTATGAGCTGTAGTTGGCCCTTTATAAATAATTGACAAAATTAATGCACTTCCTTCCAAAAACTTTATTATTAAGGCAGGAACTGGGGTTTAACCTTCTTCTCTCCCTTGTCCCTGGTACAGTGCCTGACACACAGTAGGTGGAAAACTACATGTTTGTCTAGTGAAAGAACAAAGGTATAAATGAGCCCATCAATTAGACGGTTTCCTGCAGCCAAATTAATACCCAAGCAAGTGATTTTCAACCATCAGAGACAGAACAGTGATGGCTTCACATCATGTTTCTTCGGACCCCCAGGGGTAATGCCCTAAAAGTAGTTGTTTATTTTGGAAGGCAAAAGCTAATCTGAAGCTATTTTCTTTGTTTTTATATTCAAATGCCTATAAAACAGAAAAGCACCAGAGACCTATTCATTGCTCACAAATGATCTATGGGGCAATAATGTGCTTGTTTTTCCAGCTGTGCTGCACTTTGGTGCTGTCTTGGGTTTAATTGAAAATATGCTGTGACCTTGGTTTTGTTCACTGGGCATGTGGGGGTATAATTGGCATGAGGCCTCTGAAGAAGTCCCTTTTAATGAATGTCATTTGACTAATTTGGGGTTCGCCTGAAGGAAATAATGTGTGAAGTCCCATAAAATAAACAAACAAAAAAAAGATGCATTTTATTCACATGCAATGCACATGAAGTTAATGATTTAAAAAAGAAATCAACTTTTTATTTTGCCATACCTATTTGTTGAATCCTAAATGCTATCAGTATGATGATAGTATTGTCCCTAACAGTCTCATGTTTCATCATAATTAAATAAACAGCTTGTGAATTGCAGTCCAAAAAATGTCTGTGTTCCACTCCTAACTTAAGGGGTTTCCATAGAAACTGTGAGCAGCAAGTTTAACTGACATTTATTGGACTTGAGGCTATATGCAGCATTGATAGCTCACTGTTTTTCTCTCTAGCACTCTGTGTATGTGTCTTCTTTTCTTCCTTTAACCCTCCGAAACTCTTTTCCCCTCAGTTCTCGCCGCCTCCTCTTCTTCCTCCCTCTCTTTCTCTTGTTAGCAATGAGGAAGTAATTTGGACTTAGTTAGATTTAACAAATGCAATAATACTCAAATGGGCTCTAATACTTAAGTGTAATTGTGTTATTAGCTGGAAATGTTTTTCTTCAAAAATGAAAGAATTGGGAGTGAAATTTACTAAGATAGCACATGTTGGTAAGAAGGAACTCTTGGCTGTCACTTGAAAGTTTGTATTCTGTGTATCATAATCCACATTCATATCCAGCTGTGGCTTGCTCTTTATTTATTCAACCCAGAATGATATTTCTCCTGAGTCCTTATTTTCCTCCCAGAGAATAAAAACACTGTGCTGATCCCATTCCAAGAGAAAGTAAGAATTTCCTTAGGAAAGATAAAATATACTATATATTGAGTACCTACTGTGCAACATATATTTTGCTATTACTTTTACTTATGTTTTCTAGTTAACCCTACAAAATTCACTGCCAGATAGCATGTGGAAGGAAAATGAATCCGGAGCTGGCAGTTCAAGTTCAGGCCCCACCACAGAGTGGCTGTAAAGCCTTAAACATGGTACTTAAATGCTTTGTCTTGGTTGCTCAAAGACAAAATTGATAGGAGCACTTCTAAGCCATGAGGTTTGGTTAGGATTAGATGTGATACTACAGCTAGTACATCATAGTAGTAGTGTTAGTCTTCATCCCTTTAGAAATGAGGAAAACAAGTTGTCAAGAGAATATCTCATTCAGCCTGGACAACATAGCAAGACCCCATCTCTATAAAAAATTTTAAAAGCAGCCATGTGTGGTAGCATGCACCTATAGTCCAGCTACTCTGAAGGGAGGCTGAGGTAGAAGGTTTACTTGAGCCCAGAAGTTCAAGGTTACAGTGAGCTATGATTGCACCATTGCACTCTAGCCTGAGTGGCAGAGCAAGACTCCATCTCTAAAAAAAAAAAAAAGAAAAAATGTCACATCCAAATTTACGTAGCTAGCAGAAGATATGTCTACACAGTACAGTGGCTAAAAGGAGGTGGATTTGGACAGTACTAATTGTGTGATTTGGGTTAAGTGACAAACTTACAGAGCATCTGGATCCTAATGTTCTTCATGGGGTTGTTGTGAGAATTAAATAAAACTGCGTATGTAAGTTAGTGCCTGTCATGGAAAGCATACCGTGTTTTTTGGTCTCTTGGTCTCCTTTCCTCCCCTCACTTTTCTGATTTGTTTTGGTTTTGTATGAATTCAAAGTTTAAAAATTATTGATCCCCAAAGTCTATCTAATACTTATAGTTTAAAATGATCTTACAATTCATAAACTATCCCAAGTTATCCTGATAACAATGAGAAAGGAAAGACAGATGCTACCACACACATTTTATAGGTTAGGAAAAAGGAGAGATCTTTAATATAGTGAATGAGGAAGCTGAGGTTTTACCTAATTCCCCAGGGTCCTTTTTATAATTAAAATTTCCAATTCCATTGTTCTTAATTTGGATCCTATATTCATAGCTTTTAAGGCAAAAACCCAATAGATATTAACTCCTCTTTCTAATGAATGTGAGAGGAAGACACTTTTGGTCAAGAAGAAGGAAAGGAGGCAAGGAGAGGGTAGTGGGTAGTCTCTTGCAATCCTGTTTCCAGGTCATTCTTCTTGGATCTGAAGGGACATGTGGAAATGTAATTCTCAATTTCAGGGATAAATGAGGCAATGACTTTGTGCAGCAATATGCCTAGTGTTGCTGGCTGGAGAAAAGGGGTGAGGTGAAGAGAAAAAGCAAAAAAATAAAAATAAAAATCCAGGTATCAATCAGAGATGTTGATTGACACGTGGTGAATTCATTACTAGGTTACTAGGAAGAGAAAGTGTGAGAGTGCAGCTAGGACAAGAGTCTGATAGGACAAGATTACTGGTAAAAGTGATAGTTCCTATT
Source organism: Homo sapiens (assembly GCF_000001405.40). Classification (NCBI taxonomy): domain Eukaryota; kingdom Metazoa; phylum Chordata; class Mammalia; order Primates; family Hominidae; genus Homo; species Homo sapiens. Next base: position 40,137,198 of record NC_000011.10, on the reverse strand, counting down.
CTCACATACACACACACACACACACACACACACACGTGCCCACGTGCATACATAGGTGTACAGGTTTAATCAAAATAAACTTCTTTAAGTGATAATTTTGTTGTTTCAAAGAGCTCATATTGGAGATAAAAATGATAGCTCTAACTTTTTTTGTTGTTATATGCTTATACTTGCCTTATTATTAGAATACTGAGTCTCAGCAAAAGCAAAATCAAAAACAAAACAAAAAGAATATTGATTCCATGTTATCTTTGGAAGAATCTTAAGCTACTGTGTCCATTTTGTGAGTGCTAATTCAGTTAAAACTAAGTAATATAATCTCTAAAGCCAATTATCCCACCACACAGAAATAGCAATATGTCACAGTGTACTGAAAGTGTGATCAAGTAATGGTGCTACAGGCAAGCCCTCTGTTCTGGAACTCCCACTTTTCCCCAGGATTCCTCCATAAGTTATATGATGCATGGCAACATTGCAAAATTAGTGAAACTGAATTTCTTTACTTGTTCTTAGAATAAAGTTAATTACAAATAGAAGTTTTAGTATTTTTCTTCCATGCCTTCACAGGTCATCTTGGTAGCCTTGGGATTGAAGCGAGTAGGTAAGAAAAGTCTCTCTGGATGGGCCGGGCGTGGTGGCTCACACCTGTAATCCCAGCACTTTGGGAGGCCGAGGTGGGCGGGTCACGAGGTCAGGAGATCGAGACCCTCCTGGCTAACATGGTGAAACCTGGTCTCTACTAAAAATACAAAAAAAAAAAAAAAAGTAGCCGGGCATGGTGGCAGGTGCCTGTAGTCCCAGCTACTCGGGAGGCTGAGGCAGGAGAATGGCGTGAACCCAGGAGGCAGAGCTTGCAGTGAGCCGAGATCGCGCCACTGCACTCCAGCCTGGGCGACAGAGCGAAGACTCCATATCAAAAAGAAAAAGAAAAAAGAAAAGTCTCTGGATGGATGCTGTAGTAGCCTTTTTTTTTTTTAGGAGACCAGGTGGTAAATATTTTAGGCTTTGCAAGCCATACAGTTTATCACAACCACTCAGTTCTGCCCTTCAGTGTAAAAGCAGCCACAGACAACGCTTACATGCATGGGTGTGGAAGTCTACTAACAAAACTTTACTTACAAAAACTGGCGTGGTGAGCCCGATTTTGCCTATGGGCAGTAATTTCCAAACCATTCATCTTAGAGTTTTGCTTACATCTCCAGCCCTCTTCTAGTTCTGCTCACATGTCAGGTGCAGCTTAAAAAATGGGATTGAGGAATGCAGGAATGACACCTATATCATAATTTAACCTAATTTTGTGGATTGTACTTTGTACACACTGATTTCTTATTAAAGTTTATTTTTGCGGTATGCCTTTGGCATAGAAAGAACATTCTGTCCTCACTTTACAGATGGGTATGGAAAGTTTAAGTAACTTGCATTATTATCACCCAACGTCTCTAATATCCATATTAGAATCGGACTGTCAGCCCCGTGCTTTTTCAGATTATTCTTTTAAAAATGCATCCTTTCAAGAATAAAGACATGGTGGGAAAAGTAACTAAAAAGTAATTTTAACCATCCAAATCAAGGAAACATAGTTAATAATGGTTTAAATAGGAGCATGCACAGGCTTCCCTACTTTCTTATCCCATTATGATACCATAAGGACCCAGCTCCTTATTGCTTTTCATGTACAGCTCTATTTTTTCCCATGAAATATTTTTGCAAATGATGCATTGCAGGCAAAGTGAATACAGAAAAATACAGGGAGTTTTTACTTTCCATGGGACTGTGTTAACTGAAGCTCATTCATTTTGGAATTGAATCCTAGTTTTGCAAGATTCCATGGTAACTAAGAGCAAATATAGGAATTGTGCAAAAAAGAAAACTTGGTTCCAATATTCACAACCTATGGTTAACACAGCATGGAGCAAAATGAGGACTGCCTTAAGTAAATAAATAACTGTGAATCTAATTTTCAAATGTCTGCATTTGCTGAATAATTCCCTATTTTGCAGTCATTAGGAAGAAACAAAAAAATCACTGATTCCAGTCATTTCCATTATCTGACATGTCATCACCAAGGTTTCCTCATTATACAATGTTAACAGTGTTGAGGTTACTTTAAACCAGTTTCTATTTCCAATTAGGAGGCCATCCCTGCTATCTGCATTCTGATTAAATGACGTTGCCTGGAAATCACAGAAAGAGTCTACTCTGTTTCCTCCCCTTGCTCAGATCTCATAAACACAGACTCAATTAAAGAGAGTTTCCTTATCAGGTTTTTGTGGGTCATTTTGGTGAATTTATTAAACTCTTAAGTCATGCTGAAAACTGGAAAGCAGTGGGTCTGAGATATTCAGTGGGAGCCACTAGATTTGCAGGACTTACTCCAAAGTTGTAGGGACTAAAAAATATACAGAAATCAGAGGAAGCAATGACAGGTCAGGAATCATGGGATCTGGTAAATATATATTAAGAGTATCACATATTAAGGATTCCAGAGCAGAGATAGATAAATCATAATGTTACTTCAGCTTATATTTTAGGTAAAAGTCAGAGCCTAACCCAGGCCATCATTATTTTATAGCTTGATTATTGAAATAATCTATTTCACTCTGTCCTATTCATATTCCATACCACTGCAGACTTGCTTTTCCTTAAATACTCTTCCCACTGTCCTTTTCCCTTCCAGTTTTGCCTGTGGACAGTAGTTTCCAAACCATTCATCTTAGAGTTTTGCTTATATCTCCATTACCTTTCTATTTCTGATCACATGTCAGAAAGAAAAATCAAGTCCCTACAATCTATCCATGAGTTAATATCAAATCTAAATTCCTTGTCTATTTTGTATATTCTGGTGTTATTTCATTTATTCTACTTACTACTCCACTGCCTATGTCATGTTTACTTTCATATATTCCCTACCCAACTTGTGCCTGTTTTCAAATAAACTCTTTCTCTTTTCTTGATGATGATGATTATTGTTTAGAGATAGTGTCTTGCTATGTTGCACAGGCTGGGCTCAGATTCCTGGGCTCAAGTGAACCTTCTGCTTCAGCCTCCCAAGTAGCTGGGACTACAGGCATGTGCCACCACGCCTGGTTCTTTCCGTTTTTTCTCTCTTTCTGCTCTGTTAGTGTATGTTCCTTATTGTGTGCTGCTATAATACCTCATTCTAAAGAATAGAGAATAGAATTTCTCTAGGATTTTCTGCTGCATTATAATTCCTGGCTTACTCACCTGTGAATCATACTGCACTGTGAGATTCTTGATGAGATACACTTGGCCCTAAGTGTCAAGAAATGAGCATTGTGCTTGAAATTTGGTAGGCACTCAAAAAATATTATTGAAGGAAAGTGCCTGTTTTTTTTTCTCTCTTAAAATGCTAGACCTTTTGCTTATTCAAATCTACATATCCCCTAGATCCACTGTCCACATACCTTTCACTGATTGCTCAAGCCTCACTGGTTCTCTCTGAACACCCAGACTACTTACAAGGATCTACGCAATCATACACACTCCCTCAGTGGAGCATGTTGGCAATGGTTTATGACTATTGTTTATACTGGGCTTGTCTCAGTACCCTGTTACAAATGATCAATGATGGCAAGTTACTGAATTGGAGTTCCCTGGTAGGTATAGCGTTAGAGAATATACTTAGAATCATATATTATTATAGCTGAAATGACTTTAGAGATTATCTTTCCCCGCACTCTACTATAAAATAAATCCCAGACATCTTTAGTGCTTCGCCTGGGGTTATAAATATGTTTTTGGTTACTCTCTAGGAAATTAGGGTTTTGTACTATTTAATAATGAACAAGGAAGTAAGTACTTGGTAAAACGTTGGGAGGTGATTTTAAAATCTGAATGACTCTATATACATGATATTTGTTCTCTTCGGATTGCCTTGCATGGTAATTTAAATTGCATTGCTCATTATAAAAATCCATACACCTTCTGGGTATATTGTTGGTTTGTTTGTTTTCAACCTATAAAGGCATTGGTGACCTTAGCACAGAGCATTTTCGAAGGATTAATGAGAAGTTGGGGGTTAATGACTATCAACTCCTCCCAGCCAGTCATCAATCCAAAGGAAGCCTGGGAAGCAAGGCTATTAACCGCATTACCAACTTACTGAAATCACATCCTTCTCTGACTGCCTTGCCAAGGACTTACGTTTCAGATAGTCTTCTTAGATCTTTTTTCAAAAGCACTTCTTTAGTTACTTGCTTTGTCATTAACCTAGATGAAAACAAAATATATATGGAAAATAATTTTCTACATATTTTGATTAAACATAATTTGAAATACTCAGCCCTTTTTATACGCTTTTCTCTCCCCTATATTTTTCAAACTGAAAGCCTAGAGCAAATCAGCCTATTGTGCATCCCGAGAAGCTAAAACATATGACCAGTTTCTGCAGTTTACCCTCTCTCCAACACTAGATTTGTTTATTGAGGGAGGATCCTTATTGGGGTTTTGGTTATGTTTGTTTTAATAGAATATTATTTTTTATTTATTTCTTTTATATGGTTGTTTTTCCACTAATATTCATAAGTACAGTGTTTTCTCCTTTCGCATCAGGCATGGTCACCCAAAACACCCTAAGAGATAAACATCAATGCATTAGTTAATGCATTACTACATTTTCCTTTGAGGAATAAACTATAGCAAAATGAAAGAAAATTCTGGAACAGAGAAGGTCCCATTTCTGCTCTATTGAGGGAGCACAGGACCTTATTTTATCATTCTGCATCCTGATTCATACATTGCCACAAATTCCTTAAAGAAATGACGTGGAGTGACAAAATGTCACCAGTGTACTGGTGTTTAAGTTGTTTGGCAAAGATTGCTGTTACCAGGGTAGACTACCTCCCAAGACCCTTCCCAACGGGCATTTGTTTTGAGGAATTTACTCAAGACCTGGGTTTTCACTCTCAGAAATTTGATTTTGGTAGCTCATTATGAGAAGGTTGTAAATGTACTTGCTAAACACGTAAGAAATTGATATATAGAGCAGAATGTCAATTCGCTAATTTATAGCTAGAACTCTAACAGACCTTTCAAGCACTTCAGTCTATCAATTATTTTGTATGGAACTTAAACTTTTTTGCAGCCATAAATCTCTTTGAGAGTATGATGTTAAGACTAATGAATAATCTTTCTATAAAAATATATAATCACATTTAAACAAAAATTGGCGTATACTTTCAGGAGGTTCATAAATGATTTGAAACCCATTAATAAACTTCTTAGGAACCCATGATGGTACTGTACAATTTCATGGAAAAGGAAATAATAATCAAATACGGATATTGATGAAAAATAAAACTAAGAGAACTTAATTGTATGATTCAAATTGTTTTAGTGTTATATTATTATAGTTGACGCATCAACCATTCTCCATATACGGACTTTAACTGTCATCAGTGCTAGACGAATAATGGAAACAATGAAGACAATAACAAATATTCCTACAGTATTGATTATGTACAAGACACTGTTCTAAAGCTTTCTATATTAACTCATTTATCCTCACAATAATAGAGTCCAAAATCACAACACTCAATCCCCAGGCAGTTTCACGGAAGGGTACTACAAAAATTTGTGTCTCTGATTTTTAAGTCTCTATGTACTATTAGTGTCTGCTTAGTTGTGTAAGCAGCTAGAAATCTGCAACAATCAACCTTTTCTTGAGGCCACATATTTATTCCTATATTGAGCATACATAATATACAAGATACTCTGGATGTAATATTTAGGATACAGGTTACTGCTGCTAAGGATAGATTTTTACCCTAAACCGTCATTTTCAATCCCCTATTTACATGCTGATTTTTGGTAATTTACTTCTTCACAATCTTAATATATAAATTTTCATTTGTTTATATGGAGGGTGACAAGGAGTAATTATTGAGCCCTCTCTTTGCCATTTAAACTAAGTTTTATACCTTTTCTATCTTTTTGGTTCACATATAAGTCTTAGCAATGGACTTCAATACATTATGTTTTTATAAAATTAGTTTATCAATTTGGCTGCTGACTATGAATTAAAATATGTGACACATTTCCGTAATTCAATTCAGCTAATATTTATTGAATGCCTAAATATCAACCAGTTTCTGTCTTTGAGAAAACTTATGAAGAAATAGGTTGAACACATTCCCAAACATTTACATGCAAACGTGGATTTGGTAAGTGTTATAGTCTTGGCTTTACGGACAATTTAGGGAAAGGATGGATTTATACTGATCAATAAGGCTGATGACAGCCTAGTAGAAAGAGCCATTGTAAAATTGGCTCTGACTGGGTACAATTTTGATTTAAAAAAAAATCAGAGTAGGTAATTTCAATCTAAAGTAAGAAGGAGCAAGTCCCCAAAGAGGAAAAGTAGAGGGAGTATTTTTAGAGTCGGAACACACTGCAGCCTAGACTGTATTAAGAACAGTGGGAGATACAACTGGGAAAGCAGAATGGCACAGCACTATGGAGGGGCTTACATGTCACACAAAGGCAGTGGTTTTCAAAGAGGACAGTTTTGCCCCCCAGGGGACATTTGGCAGTGTCTGGAGACACTGTAGATTGTCACAACTGAGGTTGCTACTGGCATCTAGTGGGTAGAGGCAGTAAGGGATTTAGGCTTAATTCTGTAGGCACTGGGGAACTATTGATGGGCTATGCTTTCTTGCACTGTGATTGTCTAGGCTCCCATGTGTTGTTACACTAAGTCTGCAAAATGTTGCTTTGAAAATCTCCTATGGGAAAAATATGAAAAGAAAAGACCACTTGTGGAGATAAGGAATAACATGTATTAATCATTAAATGGCCCTTGAACTTGAAGAAAAAAGAAAAAAAACAGGAAGAAAAAAAGAAGCAACAGTTTCATGCATTGTGGGGCTCCAGACTTAAAATATTAGCACAAAGGAGAATGTAGGCATTGTTACAAACAGGCATATTTCTAATCATTGGAGCATTCTGATTTCATTACCTGGAGAGTGAAATATCTAGCAGTACATGGAGCTCGAGATTTTAAATATTTTTCTCTGGTTATACATTTCACTAAAGCAAATTGCTGTCAAAAACATAAACATACCCCCAAACACCTCAAATTCCACCCTATAATTTGAGAAACAAGTTGGTCATCTATATTTTACATTTTCTTAAATAATTAATATCAAAAAGTGAATAAGATCGAAAGGATTCATAAACAGCCAGAAACCTCATGCCAGGTACACTTATCTCTCCAGCATCATGAGAGTGTAAACAGGCAGGAAAAAAAACAAATTATTTTTATTTTTAGCCCTGCCAAGCTGTGACTCTATCCCTGGGTCGGATTTTTTAGCATGAAGTAGATTTGACTTTTTGTTGCTAAGACAAGGTTTGGAGCCGCCATAGCCTTCCCCAGTCCCTTGCCTATTCTATCTTGTTGCTTTAGATTGTGATAGTAGAATTAGAAGATCTTTTCCACCCATGGATTTTTAAATAAATGGTTCAAATGAGTCTCTGTAGCAGGCATGTGGTGGTCAAGAAGCCCCTCCATTTTAAAGTCATTTGCTGACTCTAGGAATTCTCTTCTCTGTTATAAAGTGTTCTGATCCAATGCAGTGACCTGAAAGCTAATCCAGTCCTCCCTAGTTCTGGAGTACATGTAGGTGGGAAGAAGCAAATCATGAAAACAACTAGGCATCCTCTTAGGCAGAAATTTTCAAGGCAATCATGTTATTTTAGGCACATACAGCAGAGGGCATTGTTTGGTCAAACATAAAACAGGGCTGCTACTGATAATAATAGACAGAGAAAAAGAAATAGGGAAATCTCCCCGACTTTATCACCTACCCCATCCCCCTCAAAAAAACATGCAAAGAGACAGTGAGATGATCTTTAAATCACTGTTCTTCTCAGCTCTTTGTAGGAGAAACTTCTATGAAAATAACTACAAACTGGAAAACATTATTCCAAAAATCAATGAAATTCCTGCTATGTGAATGGGGTTCTACTAGGTGTTAGGGATCAATAAGTGAGTATGACATCCTATGGGTCCTTAGTGCGTTTACAGCCTTGACTTAATGAGTTTTCAACCTGCTTCTGTCTGCGTGGGGCACTCATTCATTCATTCATGCATTTAACAAACACTCCATGAGTACTGTTCTAGGTGAATACTGCTGAATAAGGAAGACAAGTCTCTACTCCATGGAAATTAACCTTCCACTGAGGTGAGACAGGCAGTAAGAAAATATGCACCTGAGCGTATGAGAAAAAATAACAAATAGTGATATGTGCTATGAGGAAAATTGAATATAGGTAACTTATTAAATATGACAAAAGGGATACTTTTTGCCAGGTAATCAAAAAGAACTTTCTGAGAAGGTAAAATTTAAAGTGAGCCCAGAATTAAAAGGAAAACCAACCACGCAAAAATCAAAGGATACACATTGCAGGCAGAGGGAATCCTAGTACAAAGGTCCTGAGGCGGGAACAAGGCTGAATCTTTTGAGAAACCACGAAAGGCCAATGGGGTGGAACCGAGAAGGTGGAGTAAGAAAAAGTTGAGAAGTGGGAGAAGCAGACAGAGGTCAGGCTGAGTCTTGGAGACCAAAGCAGTTTGCATTTTGTTCTAAAAAGGTATGGAGCTAATAGGGGTGTTTCAACTAAAAGAATAGCATGAACATATTTTTAATTTAAAAATTCAATCTAAATACTCTAAAAAGAATGAATTGTCATAATGCAGTTAACCAAAGTAGGGAAATTGATGGCAGTGTGTTTAAGAGGTTCAAGTTGGAAATGAAGATAACATATAATCTAGAAAGAGACAATGAGGAAAAGTAGACAGACCCACATTATGTTTTAAGGTTGAATCAGAATAGTGCTGGGCTGCAGGTGAATACAGAAAAAGAAAAGTCAAAGAAGAGTTTAACAATTTTGCCTTGTGCAACTGGTCACATGGTAGCGGCTTTTATGGAGGTTCAGGGGCAAGTTTGGGGATTCGCTTTCAGTGTACACTATGCCATTTAATTCGTGTAATCCTCACAATGTCTATTTATTGTATTGTTATCATCATTCCTACTTAGGAAGGTGCAGCTCGGAGAAGGCCAATTTACCAAAGATCAAACAGTCAGGAATACCAAACCAACCCTCCGGGGCATTTTACTCTAAAGCTGGTTTTTGTTTTGCTGGGTCTTACTATTGTAGATTGGGCATTCTTTTTGTGCTTCAGCATTGTTTCAAATTAGAAAGAGGACTAAAACTAAATGTGTGTTTAGTAGTCCTTTGTGTGCAATCTGCAGCATGGACATGAGCCACTCTAGATATCAAAGATGCCTCTTTTCCTGACTTGCAGATCAGAGATTCCAAAATGATACACTGCTCTTTTTGTGTACCCTGATATTTTCTAACGTGACCATATGCAGAAGCTAATTTTCTCTTCATTGGTATTTCATGCTCAACAGGATTTTAACTGGGGCGTATTAATTTGAACTATACACATCTCAGTAGTCAGATAATCAGATTGGAGATCGGTTCCATTCATTCTAAAGCAATACTAGGGACGTCGATTATTAAAGTCATTTACTTTCTCATCAAAGTCTTCTCTGCAATTTCCTTTAGGGACAAGAGCAGAAACTTTCCAAAACAATATTCTCATCATTCCCTCTCCTGCTTAAAAGCCTCAAGTTTCTAAGTTTTTTTTTATTAAAATACATTCAAACTTTTTTGTTAGGCTTGCAGTGCCCCTCAATTGGGCTAGTTTAACTAACTTCTATAGTGTAAGTCCTTTACTTCCATTAAGACAGTTTTCTTATTATTTTGTGCTCCTACTCCTCTGCTTTCATAAGTAAGCTCCTACCTCCTCCAACACTGCCCCGCCTCCATGCCAATCTATATTCCTTTAAAGACCTGCATAAAATTCCAAATCTCTATATTTTTTTTTTTGCTTTTTTTGAGATGGAGTCTAGTTCTGTTGCCCAGCTTGAGTGCAGTGGCACAATCTTGGCTGACTGTAACCTCCGCCTCCCGGTTCAAGCGATTTTCCTGCCTCAGCCTCCGGAGTAGCTGGGATTACAGGTGCCCACCACCATGCCCAGCTACTTTTTGTATTTTTAGTAGAGACGGGGTTTCACCATGTTCACCAGGATGGTCTCGATCTCTTAACCTCATGATCTGCCCACCTTGGCTTCCAAAGTGCTGGGATTATAGGCGTGAGCCACTACACCTGGCCCCAAATTCTCTTCTTCTTTTTATTTATTTTTTTTTTTTGAGACAAAGTTTCGCTCTGTCACCCAGGCTGGAGTGCAATGGTGCCATCTCAGCTCACTGCAACCTCCACCTCCTGGGTTCAAGCTATTCTCCTGCCTCAGCCTCCCGAGTAGCTGGGATTACAGGGATGCATCAACACACCTGGTTAATTTTGTATTTTTAGTAGAGATGGGGTTCCTCCATGTTGGTCAGGCTGGTCTTGAACTCCCCACCTCAGGTGATTTGCCCACCCTGACCTCCCAAAGTGCTGGGATTACAGATGTGAGCCACCACGCCCGTCCCCAAATTCTCTTCTTAAAGCATTCTCTGATTAGCTATGCCTACATTAATCTCTGGTAATTCTTTATGGCATGTAAATATTGAATGTATTGATTTACACTAGTACCTATATGCATATATGTACATTTTTAAATTTTTGATATATGTCTATAATTTGTTTTATACCTCCAAGATTGGAAAGTTCTTGAAGACATAGGTAATTTACCTCTCTTACAATCCTTATTATACACTCCAGCACATGACCCCATGTTGGTGGCAGCCACATTGTTGTTGTTGTTTTACTTTTCTAGTACATAGTTCTCTGTAGTCAGAACATCTCACCTAATGATATGGTAATGTTATCACTAGTAACATATAGTCACAACACTAGTGACAACATTATAATATCATTAGGTGAGACGTCCTGACTACAGAGAAACATAAACCCTAAGAATATATTATACATTCTTCCACTGTAAGCCAAATAAGTCTTCTAGAAGAATGAAAATGCAGAGTCAGGTGGGTTTTTTTTTTTTTCGTAAATCTCAACTTCTGAAATTTTAGCATTTTCTAGAAACATTGCAGAGTCAGTGTGTTTAGCCAAACAGCTGCTTGTTAACTTGACAGGTTGATTCACTGGGTTATAGCCATTTAAATGTTGTAGCATTTCCATTACATTTACCTACTGATTCAGCCCTGGGCATATTTACAAAAAAAATTCTTTTCCCTGAAAATCTACAGAACTACATACTCCTGCATAAGGGGTGGAGAAAGCTCAAGATTTGCAAGATTGGGTTAAAAATGGGAAAATAAATGATCTATATTAGGAAATATTTATGAAATAAACTTGAAGAAGTGTGTTACCTTTGGTAATGGTGTTATTTAATTCGTTGCTTTGTTTTTTCTCCTGTGTATTCTAGCATTCTTTAAAACCCAGAGATGTCCAGATAAATGATTTTGCAGTAGAAATCCTTCTTAGCATGATGTGGGATGAGCTTCAGACCTTTCTTATAAGGATATCATGTTGCTTTACCTTAACTTGTTTCCTTTGAAAGGTCTCATATTTATAAAGGTATAGGAAAATAAAATAATAAAATGTTCCCCTCTTCTTTGCTATTGGCTGAGGAAATAAGGAGAGAGAGAGAGAGAGAAGAAATGAACATAAACGTGTGAGGATAGGTTTGGCTGCATGTAACCAGAAAAATAATAACTGTTTATACTGTAATATATTATTTTACATAATAAGAAGTCCAGAGGAAAAACAGTTACAGGGTTCATTAATTCAGCTGCTTATCACAAATATCAAAGATATAAGTTCTTTCCATTTTTTCATTTTTTCTTTCTTATCAGCTTTGTCCTCAGGCTGCCTCCCCTCTTGGCCACAAGATGGCTGCAGCAGCTCTAGGCATCTTTTACCCTCAACGATATCTAGAAACAGAACAAAGAATTATTTCTTCCCCATGTTTTTCTTCTTATTAGTGGGAGAAAAAAATTCCTGAAATCCCTCAGCTGACTTCCCCTCACATCTTATTAGCCAAATTGTGTCACATGTTCAGACCTCATTAGTCTCTGAAAGCAGGAATGGTACTATCAATCTTTGCTTAGACATGAGCTTAGCTAACTATAATCTGCAAGACAACCTGCTACTTTTTTGTGTGTGCCCTGTGAGCTAAGAATGTTTGTGAATTTTTAAATGGTTAGGAAATAGAATTTATTTATATATATATATATTCTTTTTTTAAAAAGTTTAATTATTGTGGGTACATAGTAGGTGTATATATTTATGGGATACATAAGATACTTTGATACAGGCATACAATGCGTAATAATCACATTAGGATAAATGGGGCACCCATGACCTCAAGCATTTATCCTTTGTGTTACAACAATTTTACTATTTTAGTTATTTTAAAATGTACAGTAAATTATTGTTGACTGTAGTCATCCTATTGTGCTATCAAATAGATCATATTAATTGTGTCTAACCATATTTTTATACCCACTAACCATCCCTCCTTTGCCTCCCCACATCCAACTATGCTTCCCAGTCTCTGATAACCATCATTCTGCTCTCTATCTCCATTAGTCAATTGTTTTACTTTTTAGCTCTCACAGATAAGTGAGAACATATGAAATTTGTCTTTCTGTGCTTGGCTTGTTTCACTTAACAGAATGACCTCCAGCTCCATCCATGTTGTTGCAAGTGATAGTTTCTCATTCTTTTTTACAGCTGAATAGAACTTCATTGTATATATGTACCACATTTTAAAAATTCATTTATCTGTTGATGGACACTTAGGTTGCTTCCAAATCTTTGATATTATGAATAGTGCTGCAATAAACATGGGAGTGCAGATATTTCTTCCATATATTGATTTCCTTTTTTAGGGAATATATGCCTAGCAGTGGAACTGCTGGATTATATTATAGTTATATTTTTAGTTTTTTGAAGAACTTCCAAAGTGTATTCCATAGTGGTTATACTAATTTACATTTTGAGAGTTCCCTTTTTCCCACATCCTCACCAGCATTTGTTACTGTTTTTGGATAAAAGCCCTTTTAACTTGAGTGAGATGATATCTCATTACAATGTCTATTTAAGTCTTTAATCCATTTTGATTTTTTTACACGACCAGAGATAGAGGTCTAGTTTTCTTCTTCTGCATATAGACATACAGTTTTCTCAGCACCATTTATTAAAGAGACTGTCCTTTCTCCAGTGTATGTTCTTGGCACCTTTGTCAAAAATGAGTTCACTGTAGATGTATGGATTTGTTTCTGGATTCTCTATTATGTTCCATTGGTGTATGTGTCTGCTTTTATGCCAGTACCATGCTGTTTTGGTTACTATAGCTCTGTAGTATAATTTGAAGTTAGGTAATGAGATTCCTCCAGTTTTGTTCTTTTTGTTCAGGATAGCTTTGGCTATTCTGGGTCTTTTGTGGTCTCATATACATTTTAAGATTTTTTTTTCTATTTCTGTGAAGAATGTCTTTGGTATTTTGACAGGGATTGCATTGAATCTGTAGATTGCTTAGTGTAATATGGACATTTTAATCCTATTGTTTCTTCTAATCCATGAGCATGGAATATCTTTCCATTTTTTGCGTGTCTGATCCAATTTCTTCTTTCATTAATGTTCTATAGTTTTCACTGTAGAGATCTTTCAGTTATTTAATTCCTAAGTATTTTATTGTATTTATAGCTATAGTAAATGGGATTAATTTCTTGATTTCTTTTTTCAGATTGTTTGCGATTGGTATTTAGAAATGCTACTTATTTTTGTATGTTGATTTTGTATTCTGCAACTTTACTGAATTTATCAGTTCTAACAGTTTTTTGGTAGAGTCCTTAGGGTTTTCCAAATATAAGATCATATCATCTGCAAACAAAGATAATTTGACCTCTTCTTTTCCAAGATGTCCTTTATTTGTCATGTCTGATTGCTCTAGCTACAATTTCCAAAAATATCATTTTATACTATAAATAGTATTATTGGAGCACAGCCATGCCCATTTATATACCTTTTGTCTATGGCTGCTACAGTGGCATAACTGAGTAGTTGCAACAAGAGATCATATGGCTCATAAAGCCTGAAATAATTACTATCTGGCCCTTTACAGAAAAAGTTTGCCTACTTCTAGCTTAAATGAAACTCTATTCACCCTTAAGTACTGGGGTCAGTCTCTCCCAAAACAGATAAAATAGTATATATGTGTGTGTGTGTGTGTGTGTGTGTGTGTGTGTGTATAAATATATATATACACATACACTTTTTATATAGATATAAAAAAGTATATAGACCTATATCTATCTATATATATATATTTGTTTTGTTTTGTTTTTGCATGGGAGTAAATGTTTTATATAAAATTTTCTTAGAAAAGAGTAAGGGAGTAGGATGTTTGGGTAGGCAACAAATTTGTGTTTGTTGGGTGGGGGGAGGGTGAAGATATTGTTTGAGATTCAATCACATTTTAAATGAGTATTACACCTTGTGTATTGTAAAAAGGTAATTCCTGAAATATCATCAATATAACCTGTTGATAAAGCAGAGCTGACTTTATTGATTATGATGGTAAGGAAAAGAACCACCTCACAAAGTTTGGCACTGTCTGTGAGTGGAGCTGTGAAGATTAGGTCAGAATTTATTAAGAATTCGAAGTTTGACTGACATAGGAACAGAAAACCAAATACTGCCTGTTCTGTCTTATAAGTGGGAGCTGAACAATGAGAACACGTGGACACAGGGAGGAGAACAACACACACTGGGGCCTGTTTGGGATGTGGGGGAAGGGAGAGCATCAGAAAGAAATAGCTAATGCATGCGGGGCTTAATACGTAGGTGATGGGTTGATAGGTGTAGCAAACCACTATGGCACACGTTTAACCTATGTAACAAACCTGCACGTCCTGCACATGTATCCAGGAACTTAAAATTTAATTTAATTTAAAAAAAAGAATTGGAAGTATGAGTCTAGGAAGGTTTTTCAATGTAGAAACTTGTTTAGGATTATACAAGAATTATGACACAACAATTCAGGATTGAAGAAAACAGCAAGGTGAGTCAAAAGAGTCAGTAAATCTGAGCACAGATGTCTGTTGAATTTTCCATGAAAGACTGGATAGAACTTTGGGGGAAGTTCCTATAAGGATCAGTGAAGCCATTTGCTTTGGTGGAAGAGCCCCAGAAGAGGAAAGAGGTGCTAAGACAGACAGTGGAACAGCAAAGTCATGTTGATGTAGATGGTAAGGTGTGGTTTGGAATCTTAGGGTCCAGGGGTAAGCAGTTTTGGTTCTCCTGTTTAGGGAGGTTTGTTAAGGATAATGTGAGAAGGGAAAGAAGAGGTACAGTTGTGGTTAACTGAATTCATCTTTCTCCCTCCTTGCTTACAAACTAGTTCTAACGTTTAGACAAAGCCTATGATGACTTAGCAATGATACTGTGCTAAGAAAGCATCTCCGTTAGCTAACTCTTTCACATATACTTGCTTCTGTGTCTCTCACTGCAGCTCTCAGTGCACTAAAGCATGGGTAGTAAAGGAAGAAAGTCTGTTGACAAAGTCAAGATATCCTCTGGGACAAGGCTAAAAGTATCATAGTTTAATTCAAAACTCACACAAATGCATATGTAAATAAATGCTGTCAGATGACATTGTAATGGGTAGTGCATACTTTTAAATTAATTTTCATTTGATGTGATAAAAACATCATGAAAGAGATGTTGAAGACTGGCTTTTGATATAAAGTAACATAATTTAGATATTAAAGTAAAAAACCTTTTGTTGATAGTAGTTGATTTAATTCAGTGCATGTACCAAGCATTATTCACTGTAGGTTATAAATTAGCTTTGAACCAGCTATAATTCTTAAAGTATTACTTATGACTGATTTATAGAAAATCTCATTAATTGCAATAGCACAAAGACCTTGAAGTAAGCAAGAAGTAGAAAATAAAACTCAGCCCGGAGAGTAAGAAAGAATAGATGCATATACCTTTTAAGTAATAGCAATATATCATTGTTGCGTGTGTTTTACTGATAGTATGTTCCCGATTATATCAAGAAATCCTTACCACAAATTTGAATAAGCGATATTATTGCTGCTCCTGTCTTAAAAAATAGGAAGAAACTGAGTGTCTCATCACTTTATTTTTAATATGCATTAAATATTTATTATATATTGCTTCTTATGAGTCAGTAACTTTACATAACACAGTATTATGTGACAGTCCTAACCAAAGTCTTTTGACTAGGTAACAGTGTTCTTTCACAGATGGGGAAAGTAAGGTATAGAGAGGTGAAGTAACTTTCTCAATTTTAAGGTCACTGAGGTTCAAACAGGGATATGATCTCAAGAAGTCTCACATTGGACCCTTTTCTCTTGACCACTGAGCATGGCTGCCTTTACTGCCTCACATTTTAAAAAGAAAAAGGTAGCAAACGGCAGAGTAAGAACTTATCTTCTTTACTCTTGTGCTATTTCCAGTCAACCAGTTATTTCTACCTGTTTTGCCTGAGACCCTAGGATTCTGAGAAGGGCTATGGGGTAGGGAATGGGAGAAAGAATGGAGGAACAGGACCCTGGGACCCCAACCCTAAAAATATTAATTTGCTTATGTATCAGGGATTTTGCATGCTATGTTATTTTATGCCCAATAACCTTAATAACATAGGCCCTCTCCCCCTGAAACCTATGTCTGTTTCAGGGAGAGAGGGCATATGTAAAACTACACTAAATCACTCAAATGATAAATTTTCGATGGTCATGATTACTGGAAATTTAGATAGCTTTCTGTTGATAATGGAAATATAAAAGAGTTATTTAAGGCCATATTTAAATTTACAAGGAGGATAACTCTATCTGACTTAGGTTGTGAAACCTACCAACCACATTGTTGTCATGATATAAATGGGGCAGGGGTGTAGTCCTATAAAACCTGTTAACAGGACTGACATGATGAGCCAGGCCTTTTTGTTTAGTAATTGTTTTAGAATGCAGGTTTTATTATTATTTAGCTATAGTGAAGCAACAGATCAGGAGATGGCTGCTGTTTAAAAAGTGATGTTTTTCTCACAGCTCCCAGGAGGCAGGGCATGGCACAGCATGTGGAGGCCACACTGGGAAGCAGCAGGATCAGCCAGTAGGGAGCAGCCAGTAGAAAATGTGGGCAAGAGCCTTTATTGTGGTTTTATGGGAAGGCAGGGTAAATGGTCTTATGATTGGGTAATTTGAACAATTTTGGCAGGCTCTGGGACATAGGGGCTGTCCCTTGTTGTCTGGTAAGTGGTAAGTGGACGTGGGGTGATTAGGGCAGGGGAATGGTGGTGTGAGTGTTAAGAGTCCTGGGAGAACCTGATAAAGAAGGTGACTGGGGTTTGACCTTTGGATTGGCTGGTTTGCATATGAAAGTCATGCTTATAGGCAAGTCCTTGACTATTTCTAGGAATTTGCTAGCCCTGAAAGGGTAGCCTCTCTAGGATCAGCAAGGCCTCAAATGTTAGAACATCAGAAAACACAAAAAATAAAAAGGCATGATTAATACATAAGAACATGTGACTACATATATGCAAAGGGCTGTGATTAGATATTTGCTTTGTCATACATTTTTCAATATCTTTTCATTTTGTGCCTACAGTATGCCAGGCACTGTGTTGGCAATAGGCTAAGAGGAATCCATCAGACATGGCCCCTGTTCTCACAGAGTCCACAGGCTGATGGAGGAAACCACCCAGAAACAAATAATCACAGTACCAGATCGTGTGAAAAGTCAATCTAGAGCTGCAACAGCTCCAAGGAAGGAATCAAGTTAGTTGGCCTTAGAAGGCTGGGGGAAAAAAATAGTAACTCAGAATCTATTAGTCAAGTATTTTTGCTGTCATAGAGAAGGACACAAAAGCCTCTGAAGCCAGAAAGCAATGGAGGACTTTAAATATCCCCTTCTTAAGACCAACGTTCCTTACAGTGTTTTTGTAAACGTGGGTATATGTTTAAGGATTGCTAATGACAGCTGCTTTTCCTTAAGAGTGCATCTCCTATTACTGAGGGGAAAAAAGCCTCTTCTCTACCTTCTGTAGGCTATGTAAATGCAACTATTTCTCACTGGGGATCTCACCACTAGTGAAAGGATCATGTCCTAAAAAAGAGCCAGCCCTTCTTCCTCAAGCCTTTGGTGGTAGACAAGGAAGTGCTGGCCTTGAAACTGGATCGCTCTCTGGCACTGGCTTCTCTCCAAGACTCACTTGAGCCAACAGGAAGGTCTTCCTAATTGCTCTGCTTGCCACTAGTTTCTTCCATTGCTTGTCTGTGCCCCATATTAACCTCTCATTATCATTTTTCAAAACAAAGCTGATGATAGCATTCTTTTCTAAAAACAAAACATGTTGCCTGCACTATAAAATTGGGACTCTTAAGTTTGACGTAACCAACCCCTAAGAGTCTTTACCCGATCTTATTCCAGCTTCCTTTCTCATTCTCGTCCTCAGGCCTTCCATTCTCTTGATAGAGGGTACTTTTTACTGTTCCCTGGATGTACTAGCATTTTTCATGTCTGCTTGCCTTGGTTCAGCTGATCCCTCTGTGCTTAAAATGCCCTTCTTTCCTTTTCTCAGCAGCTTCTACAAAATATAGATCAGATATCCATCTTCTTTGAAACCTCCTTGGTTTTCCGGCATAGATTAAGTTGCTCTGATGTTAGTGCTCTTGTGCCAATGTGGACTTCTGTCATAGCAATGAACATATATCATTGTACTTCATCTGTTTGCTTATCTGTCTCACCTTTTAAATTCCCACGAGGTAAGGATTCTATTCCTCATCCTTATATGCCCACTACTTAGCAAAATATCTGGCTGAGGGAAACAACAAAAAGGACTTAGAACAATACCTCCCACATTGTCAGAACTCAATAAATGTTAGATATGATTATTTTATAATAAAATATTTTATATTAATTTATTGTTAATATTTTAATATAAGTAATAATTATATTTGTTATTTCATACTTATAAATATTTTTAATATTACATTATTATTTTAATATTAAATTTAATGGTAATTTGTTTCATATTAAAATATTTTCATATTAACAATTTATAATGAAATTAATATTTCATTATAAATCTAAATATATGATTAGTATGATTACTACTATTTATAATGAAATTAGTATTTATAATGAAATTAATATTTAATATTAAAAATATTTTTAATATGAAATAATAACCATATCTATCATATAATCATATCTAACATTTATTGAGTTCTGACAATGTGGGAGGAATTGTTCTAAGTCCTTTTTCTGTATTAACTCATTTTATCCTCACAACAACCCTATGTGATATATAATATTAATATCTTCATTCCCATTTTGCAAGTGGGAGAGAAATTAAGCCACAGAAAGGATAAGTAACTTGCTCAAGGTGACACATAATGGGTACGAAATTAGTGCCTTTTTGAATTGAAATGTGGTGACCCCTCCCACTGGCCCCCCTCCCCTTTTTTTTTTCTTTCCAAGAGACTCATAGAAGACACACTGTTTATTGAGTTGAGAGACTTGGGAGAAGTTATTACACAGGTGCCCAGTCCACAATAAGCCAGCTGAGTGTGGTGTATACTTGGAAACAACATAAGCTCCTTTGGAAGACTTCCTTTGGCCACAAGAGATGCAGGAGATGAGTTATTTTCCTTCCCAAAAATCTACTCAAAACCAGTAAGAGTAGGGACACAAGACATAATAGTCCTGTTATAACTATTTTTTTCTGTAAATAAAAATTATGCTTCATGGGAAAATAGTTAACATGTGATATGTCTGCTTATAGGCTGCAGTCAGCTATTTTATAATGAGTTGGTATATGAGAATCTCTAGAAGTTTATATATACATGTGCATGTCACTGTTTCAGTGCATCTTCACAGGTACCATAAATTAAGTTGCCAGTGCTTACAGCTGAGGTCACCCCCAAAGGGAAGGTATTTTAAAGAAATTGTGAAAAATATTTTGCTTTTACCTTTATTCTCATAGCAACATTTTTATGGACCATCTGAGATCATATTCTCTGGGATCAGTCTAATGAGCATCTGAGCCCTGATTTATACTTACTAAACATGTGACTTCTTGAATGTCACTTCTATGATGATATTTCTTCATTTTGAAAATGAAAAGAATGGCAATTCCTACTTCAGAGAAGTGTTGTAAGGATTACGAAGGATTACAACCAGCTTCATAGGCCTACAACCTGTGCAGTTGCAAAGAAACCCACATTTATATGGGCCCACACTTGGTTTAGTGGTCTTTTGTTACTGATTTGATATTATTAACACTTTTTTTATAAGGCTTCCTACATTTTTATTTTGCACTGGGAACCACAAATTATGTAACCATTTCCAGACAGGCTTGTTTGTAAAGTGTATAGCCCATGGTGCTTGGCACATAAAATAACCTTCAATATAATATGTCAGCTATTACTACTTTTGCAAAGGAGCTTTTAGTTTGTTTGATATAGCCCCAAAGTCCTATTTTTTAAGCTTTTCAATCTGCTGTGGACATTGAAGCTAATGGTAGGGTATGTATTATATGTCCTCATGCATTTGGGCCACATTTGGTTGGTAAACAATACATTAGTGTCCTCTACCTCATTGACCCCTTACTCTGTGGTCATACATCTCATGGAATGTGGGCTTTAATTTGGATTAAAGGTACATTTTCTTCTAAATATGAACCACATAGCTTAATAAAGGATATTAGATTTGTTTTTAATTTGTCTCACACATGATGGCTTTAGCTGATACACTATATCACCGACATTACTCCAGAAAGACACTTAGAATAAATCTAATCTAATAATTGGTTTTTTTTGCTTGTATTTTGCAGACTGTTTGAATTCCAGAAGGACCAACACCAGATAAATTATGAATGTTGAACAAGATGACCTTACATCCACAGCAGATAATGATAGGTCCTAGGTTTAACAGGGCCCTATTTGACCCCCTGCTTGTGGTGCTGCTGGCTCTTCAACTTCTTGTGGTGGCTGGTCTGGTGCGGGCTCAGACCTGCCCTTCTGTGTGCTCCTGCAGCAACCAGTTCAGCAAGGTGATTTGTGTTCGGAAAAACCTGCGTGAGGTTCCGGATGGCATCTCCACCAACACACGGCTGCTGAACCTCCATGAGAACCAAATCCAGATCATCAAAGTGAACAGCTTCAAGCACTTGAGACACTTGGAAATCCTACAGTTGAGTAGGAACCATATCAGAACCATTGAAATTGGGGCTTTCAATGGTCTGGCGAACCTCAACACTCTGGAACTCTTTGACAATCGTCTTACTACCATCCCGAATGGAGCTTTTGTATACTTGTCTAAACTGAAGGAGCTCTGGTTGCGAAACAACCCCATTGAAAGCATCCCTTCTTATGCTTTTAACAGAATTCCTTCTTTGCGCCGACTAGACTTAGGGGAATTGAAAAGACTTTCATACATCTCAGAAGGTGCCTTTGAAGGTCTGTCCAACTTGAGGTATTTGAACCTTGCCATGTGCAACCTTCGGGAAATCCCTAACCTCACACCGCTCATAAAACTAGATGAGCTGGATCTTTCTGGGAATCATTTATCTGCCATCAGGCCTGGCTCTTTCCAGGGTTTGATGCACCTTCAAAAACTGTGGATGATACAGTCCCAGATTCAAGTGATTGAACGGAATGCCTTTGACAACCTTCAGTCACTAGTGGAGATCAACCTGGCACACAATAATCTAACATTACTGCCTCATGACCTCTTCACTCCCTTGCATCATCTAGAGCGGATACATTTACATCACAACCCTTGGAACTGTAACTGTGACATACTGTGGCTCAGCTGGTGGATAAAAGACATGGCCCCCTCGAACACAGCTTGTTGTGCCCGGTGTAACACTCCTCCCAATCTAAAGGGGAGGTACATTGGAGAGCTCGACCAGAATTACTTCACATGCTATGCTCCGGTGATTGTGGAGCCCCCTGCAGACCTCAATGTCACTGAAGGCATGGCAGCTGAGCTGAAATGTCGGGCCTCCACATCCCTGACATCTGTATCTTGGATTACTCCAAATGGAACAGTCATGACACATGGGGCGTACAAAGTGCGGATAGCTGTGCTCAGTGATGGTACGTTAAATTTCACAAATGTAACTGTGCAAGATACAGGCATGTACACATGTATGGTGAGTAATTCCGTTGGGAATACTACTGCTTCAGCCACCCTGAATGTTACTGCAGCAACCACTACTCCTTTCTCTTACTTTTCAACCGTCACAGTAGAGACTATGGAACCGTCTCAGGATGAGGCACGGACCACAGATAACAATGTGGGTCCCACTCCAGTGGTCGACTGGGAGACCACCAATGTGACCACCTCTCTCACACCACAGAGCACAAGGTCGACAGAGAAAACCTTCACCATCCCAGTGACTGATATAAACAGTGGGATCCCAGGAATTGATGAGGTCATGAAGACTACCAAAATCATCATTGGGTGTTTTGTGGCCATCACACTCATGGCTGCAGTGATGCTGGTCATTTTCTACAAGATGAGGAAGCAGCACCATCGGCAAAACCATCACGCCCCAACAAGGACTGTTGAAATTATTAATGTGGATGATGAGATTACGGGAGACACACCCATGGAAAGCCACCTGCCCATGCCTGCTATCGAGCATGAGCACCTAAATCACTATAACTCATACAAATCTCCCTTCAACCACACAACAACAGTTAACACAATAAATTCAATACACAGTTCAGTGCATGAACCGTTATTGATCCGAATGAACTCTAAAGACAATGTACAAGAGACTCAAATCTAAAACATTTACAGAGTTACAAAAAACAAACAATCAAAAAAAAAGACAGTTTATTAAAAATGACACAAATGACTGGGCTAAATCTACTGTTTCAAAAAAGTGTCTTTACAAAAAAACAAAAAAGAAAAGAAATTTATTTATTAAAAATTCTATTGTGATCTAAAGCAGACAAAATTATGTGTATTCCTCAGAACCTGTTTTTGCTGCACTTATTCACTATTTTCCCACATCTCATTCCTCCCTTCCCTGATTGCCATATTTTTCATAGCAGATCTCAATTCCTTAAAGAACTGGTCTAGGAAATTTTGTAAGAATTCTGTTACACTTTGAGATTTTTATGGTGAATTCTAGTGGTGAGATCCAGTCTATTTTGTCTCTCTCTCTTTTTTTAATTTTTTTCTTTTTCCCTCATACCCATATGAAGTAATCCAATGGGGAATGCAATATTAGAAATAGATTTTTAAGAGAGAACAAGGAAAAAAATGCAAGATCTTATATTTTTCATGTGATGACCTGTTCTGTATTTATGAGGAAGTCCATTCTATGGAAAAGAAAAGAAAGTAAGCAAACAACAGATTAATTTACATATGAGCATCTATAAAACCCATGACTTTTAAACAACTCTAGAACCAGAATTTGTAGTTAAAAAGCTAAAAATAAGATTATAAATAAAATATTGTCGGTTTTTCTGTACCTGGACACAACTCATTTGTAGTATGGCTCAAATGTGAGAAACTTGAAGGTAATTAGATTTTCTGCTTTCTAAGAAAGAAAATATGACAGTATTCTTTAGTCACAAAATCAAATCTCTACAGGGTCCTGTTTGACTAGTTGACTTGAGTTTTAGATGTATGTTTAAGGATGCTGTGGTATTTTTTCCTTCTCATTAATTAGGCTTACCCTTTGTAGAATGCTCAGGTTCAAAAATAATGATTTTGTGAAGTAAATTTAATTCTACTTGAAGGAAAGTTTCAGTATAATTTATTTACTGTTTCCTAAACATAATTTCATTGGCCAGATGAACTATAACTGTGAAACATGAAAGTATTCTAAATCATCTAGAGCTGAAAAAGAATATTTGGTGATGAGTGTTAGCAAATTCAGTTCAATTCAATGATAAGTATTGAAGACCTACTGTGTGCAAAATACAGATTTTAGTATTGTGGGTGCACAATTGACAAGATCTGGTTCCTGCTCTTGCATTACTCCCAATCTATATAAAAATGATTAAAGAAATTATCTCAGTTCATTACTGGTTGCCAGCTCTAATTTTACTGTTAGGTGAAAGGCTGTGAATCAGAACCTTAAATTTTTAAAATATTAGATTACTGTTATTAGAGAAAGCTCTTGGTTTTCTGATGGTTTCTTCCATCTTTCTGGAAGAGGTGATTATCTTTTTCTAAATGCAAACTACAGAGCTTTAAGAAGTGTGGGTTTAGATTTGCTCTGAAGGATGAATACATACCAGGAGAGGGCAATGCTAAATCAGTGGTAATTAATTAATGGTATTTTTTAAGGAGCTGGGGGCATTTTGGCTAAGAGACCATACACTAGCTTCCAAGTAAAAAAGGAACTTGCTGGTTATTGTACTTTGGCATTCTCCTATTATTTTAATATATTACGTATATGACTTCTATCTTTATGTGAAACAAGTGAATATATACAGATCTCATTATTGGCCTTGAAACTTGCTACCTTGGTGGTGAAACAAGGACTGACCAAGCTGAAGAAAACTTCAGCTCCTAATGGCTAAGAAGCTTGGATACTCACACTTAATTGTGCAGGCTGAACCTTACTCCATGGTTTTGTGGTCTCCAGGTGTGAAAAAATCAATTATTCCTAGCAAAGTAGGTCAGAGAAATGGGAGAAAAGGACGGGAAATGAATGAGAGCATGCAAGAGTCTTGCTTCTATTTTTTTGATCACCAATTCTCTGGCTTTTTTCTTCCTCATATCTTACCTCCCTTGGTTAGGAACACAATCCACACTTGGTTTCACTGTGGAGAAGACTCAAGAAAAGGGAAAACATATTTTGGCTACTGTTTGTCAAGTTATTCAGTATTGAATATACTTAACATATACCCAAACTGCAGATCACAAAAAACACAAACAAGCAACAATAAAAAACACCAACAAATATCTGTAAAAACAAGCAAGTGCTAGTACAAAGAAAAGTGATATAAATCGAGAGGGAAAATGATCCTGCTTTCTCTACTTGGCTTGTGTTCACCAAACTCTGTCTTTGCTGACTCTGAAGCTTCTTTCATTTTAAGCTTATAATTCTTATAGGTTTAGTCCAAGTATGCAATTACCCTTGGCTGTGAGAGGTGGCTGAGCAGTTAGACAAATGCTACTAAATAGGATGAAAGGTGAACTTGCACTTAAAAAGTTAGGTTGGAATCTAAAGCATACAATTCAGTCTTCTGGGAGGTTATAGTATAGTACTAATGAATATATTTTGGGAAATAAATTTGATGCAAGTTTTAAATAAACCAGACTTGACTTCTATAATAAATTTAGAAACTCTTTTACCAAAGGTCCTCATTGCAGGTTTTGGGGATAAAGGGTAGAGTGCTATAAATCTATTATTTAAAGAAAACTAAAATGAATTCTAGATGTTTCTGATTAACAGTAAGCCTCTATTTTCCCTGCATAACATATTTGACCCTTGGCCCATCAGAACCGTAGCTGCACTGATGTATTAGAGACCATTACACACGTGAATTTACTTGGTTTAGCAGGAAGCCTATATGACTGTTTAAATATTTGCTATATTGTTGTACCAAAATACAATTCTGTGTCTACTGCTCATTGTAGTCTATCCAAAGGCAACTGGGCAGCAGTATTCTGAAATACGTACACCAAAAATACACCACGTACAATTCATCAAGTTAACATAACCCAATGATAATCTGTGTGTGTGTGTGTGTGTGCATGTGTGTGTTTGTATTTCCTGCTAATAGTATGCAGTTTGCTTCCCTAAACATCAAAGATGCTTCAGAAAGAATATTCTCTAACATCTTTTTCTATCTTTTCTATTCAGGAATTTTACTCTTCCATATCTGGCCATGACCTTAGTCTCGAACACTCTTTTGAAAGTGTACAGATGTCTATGCAAAACAATAGAAGGATATGGTGTAGCTCACACACATAGGCTCTGATATAGCTTTAATAATTTCCCCTCATATTTCAAATATTCTGAAATCATGTATCATCTTTTTCAAAGACTGAAATAGGTTATTTGCATATGGAAGAGTGATAAATTTTTTTTTGATAAAGAAAATGTGGCTAGTTCATAATTGCTTTTAGGCCTTATAATCAAAAAATTAAAAATTAGGATATTGTTTGAGACCCGTTTACTATGAAATAAAATTCTAAATATAGATGTGCTGGGGGTAAAAAATCTTGACAATGTAAGGGCTATTTACATGGCAGAAAGAAAAGGAAGAAGGTATATCAAGAATAGCCTGCACTGAAACATGAAAACATATTAAGTAGAGGGCCCCAGAGTATCCAACGTTTTTAAGGTAAAGATTGATCAAGGTGAAAAAAACAAAACAAAACTCAGTCTCTTATCTTTTTGGGATAATCTTCAAGATATTTAGATAAAGTAGAAGAGTTAGATGAGTGCTTACAAATACAATGTGGCACTCTAAAGCAATATAATTTTAAAATATTGTGTTCAACTACTTATTTGTTGTTTCAGCTTGTTTTAATAATAATCTTGAAAATAATGATAGCATTAACTATCACAGACATAGCATGTGAATGCTGGGTAAGCAGTCATACTCTGCTAAGAAGCTGTCTGTTTCTCTTAAATATAGTAGCACAGAATCAAATATCTTATAAAACTTATCCTGAAATTACATATGCATCATTATATTTGATTAGAATGTATTCTGTACAACAGCTACTTCTGATAAAAATGAATCTAAAAAGTTACCTTCCAAAAATCAAGGTCCCTGCGATTCTTTCTCTTCTTTTGCAAGAAGAAATGTGAATTCCTAAAAGCTCTGTATATATTAGATAGGAAGCAGCTGGGACACCACTGTCTTCTCATGCTCCATCGGGATACAGAACAAGATACATCTGGCTGTATGAGAGAAAAAAGAAATCTTCTAGAATTAATGTAGCACACTGTCAATTAGGATCCAAATTTAGATACTGAATGAAGCCTTCTCAAAACACATACCAGTTCACATCCTTCTGTTTCTTAAACTGCTGCCAACAGAACTTCCGAAATTTCAACCTTGAGAAAACTATATAAATTGTATGTAAAATTATATAATTAAATTTTATAATATGTTTAGCAGGAAAATGTAAAACTGCTGTTCATTTTTTGTTTTGCCCAGGATTAAGAAAAAAGAAAAATAGAGAGGAACTTGCTGCAAGGCAGACAATAAATGAAGCTATTTTAATGAAAGCACATAATATTGGAAAACTCTTTGTTTTGTAAATTTTGTTCTATGCAGAAAATGAGCACATCTATCTGTCCCTTGCACCAAAAACAGAAAGGAAGGCCTATGAAAATCAGACCATGAAGTCTTATTTTTCATTCTTTGGTCTAGTAATTTAATTTCATTTTCCAGATTATTAATGCTGCAGTTTATTATATATTTGATGCTGAATTGCTGAATTTGACTTGTCCAAATGACATCAATCCTGCCTTTATCTCATTGCCAGAAGTAGTGAATATATTGCTTTTTATCCTGGTGAAAGGGAAGATTCAAAGTTGTTTGAAGGAGAGGGGCTGATCTGTGTGGTGGCAGTAGAACATATTCTGATTGATGTCCTCTAACCTTGCAAACTTGCCAGAGCATCCACCTAGTTCAACCCTAGTTCAGTTATCATGGTGGAAACCCATTATGGGCACTCTTAGCAACTATTGTGCCTATATATTAATAAGTCTACTGAATAACAATTAGTTCATCCCCTTACTTCTTCAGCCCTTACTTCCACATTGAAAGAAGTAAAAAGTAGAACTCACCAATTGCTATTTAAGCACATTTGCTAGTTTTGTAAAGTCTATAGACTTCTAAGAGGAATATATGAAACCTCAAGTAAATATATTAAAACATGCACAAAATAAATATATTTATGATATATACTTTTTATTGTAACTATCAAATTTTAATCAAAAAATTTGTAATGCTAGGGAAATCTCAGGTTTTACTAATGGAATTATGAAAAAATATTAATCTTAATACAATTTGTAAAATGCCTTAAAAGTTAGATGTTGAAATGGACTTCCAGGTCCTGTAGCTACTTCTATTGAAATTATCATCATAATGTTTTACAAAATGAGAAAAGTAATACAGTTTCTCTTTCCAGTTGCCCTGAAGCAGACTAACTGATGCTTGTAAAGATGTTTCTCAGCATAAATGGATTGTTAGAGAATGAACTTCAGTTAATTTTGACCTTAAAAAAAAGTCACGTAGATATGTATTTTCATCTGAAACATTTTCAAGAGTCTTGCAAACAAGTCACTCTAAAATAATTTATGACAATGTTTATGTGCTCAATTACATTTTGGTTTTTCAATACATATTCTTACCTTAAGTGAAAGTAGATTGTATCCCTGGTTTTCATTTTTCAGCACATTTTCAAGTTTTCTAAGAGAAGTACAAAATCATAATCTGTCACTACATAACATGTCACTACATGTTCAACATTTGTAAAACTCAATTTATTATAAATCCTGAGTTATTAGTAACTGTTATTTGAAAGCCATTTTAGTAATCATAGAAAGCACTAATATTAAGGAGTAAAAAATCAACAATTAATATCAGAAATAAACCATGAGCTCTTAGAAACTAGTGGGATACCATTAGGCATTCATAAGATATAATAATTCAAAAGTAAAAATTATATGCTTTGTAGCTCAAAAGTGCTTTCACCTATTTTCTCATTTGTGTAGCCTTGAAATAGTGGTAGATGAGTATTTCAAATTCAAGCATCAGATATTTCATAAATACTGCATATGCCTGTGTGTGGAATTATTGATGTTTTGAACCTATAAACAGGATAGAAAGGAAGAGATGGTCAGGAAACAATACTGGAGAAGAAAAAGAGGTAAATGGTAAAAGCAGAAAAAATGATTAGATTATGTTTATTTTAGAATAGATTCATTTAGTGAATATGAATTGAGGAACCTACTTAATGCCAGGCACTATTTGCAGCTCTGGATGTACAGCAATGAACAAAACTTTTAAGTCATGCCCACAAGATAAAGTGACCAACTCATCTCAGTTTGCACAGATGTTCCTGGTTTTAGTACTGAAAGCCCTGCATTCCAGAAACCCCTTAGTCGAGGGCAAATCAAGACGGTTGCTCACCATTATCAGAACCTCACTTTCTGGTAACTGTCATCTTGATTTCCAAATTCATATTAATATTTTTATCTCATTGTTAATGACAATGCAAGTTAGCACTGACCACAAGTAACCAATGGCTAGTATACCTGTTTCTAACTGGGGCAAAGTTATGACAAGAGCAAATTATAGTAATATCAAACTTCCTAGAATTATTTCTAGACAACACTCCTTGGAGTGCAACTGAAGTATCAAAAGTACAACTTGCCCTCAAGGAAGAGTTAGTGTCTGGGAATGTGAACGAACAATCATAACCACCATTTGCAAGACACCTACGTATATCATCTCTAGTTCTTACAAAGCCCTCTAAGGTAGTATCATCATCTCCGTTGCAAGGATAAAGACTTTGAGAGTAAACTCTCCCATACACAATAATGAGAAAGAAAACCCAAGGTAAAAGAAGAGAATTGGAGCTTTCAGATGGCTATAGCAAGTCTTGTATAAGCAATAGCATTTATTTTTCAGAACAGAAAACTATTAATGCTCTCAGTGTATTTTACTTCTTGTGTTCTATTGGATTATATTTTCCTGGAAACTGGCTTCTCTTTGGGGTCACATTTTGGTAATCAATGTTAGTCTTATTCTTGTTCAGTCAAGTTTACTAATGAAATGGATAGGACAGTACCTTTGAAGCACTGACTTGGTTAATGTGGCAATGTTTGAACTATTTTTATATTGACTATTATTGAATTTCGTAGAGGAACTTCAAATTGAAGACGTTATGGATCAGCCAGCATTCAAAGATGAAAATAAATCAATCAACACTTTTTTATCACAATTATACAGTTTTAGATATTTTATTTTAGGGTCGCATTATGATTCACTTTTATATTCTAATCAAATGTCATTGATGGATATCCCTGAATACCACAGTAGCTAAACCAGCATATTCTAGTCCCTTTCCATAAGAAAATAAAATTCTCTTTACTAACTTCAATAGTTCTTTAACATCTCATTATGTACATTGTTTTTATGAAGTCAGTAAAATCATCCAATTCATCCTTCTTAGAATACAACGCACTATTTAAAGTTGTCT
The DNA here is from genome assembly GCF_000001405.40 of Homo sapiens. Taxonomy (NCBI): domain Eukaryota; kingdom Metazoa; phylum Chordata; class Mammalia; order Primates; family Hominidae; genus Homo; species Homo sapiens. The sequence goes on along the minus strand of NC_000011.10, from coordinate 40,106,966 downwards.
AAACTTTTTAAGAGGTAACCATTAGGCTGCAACCATTTTTCACTTGCCAAGTAGCTAAAAAAATAGAAAAAACATAAGACATGCCCCTAAAAGCAGGACACTTAACTTCTGAAAGTTGGAGACTCAACTGAAATGAACAATACTAAATTTAAAAAATCTGATTATCCCAACTGAGTGCTCCTGACAAATTTAAGCCCCTATGCTTCATTATTTGTTAGTTATTTTTTGTATTTAGTAAAAGCATTACCTTTGGTAAATAATGAATGCAACCAAAGTAAAAATATTGCCATAATAATAAATGGAGACATGAGATAATTAACTGGTTAATATGGATTCGCATTGCAAAACGGTAGAAAATCTTTCCACATAAAGAAATGCGTGACAGACTTGAGAATGGAACACTAGTTGTAGAACTTTTAATACAAAATGAGTGATTAGTTTTAAATCCTTGACCCAATTCAGTGTCACTTCATTTGTAAGTACATTCATTCATTTATTCGTGGAACATTTATTGAGTGTTTTTGCTACGCCAACAATAAAGTTATTATTAATACAAAAATAAGTGACACAGCTCTTGCCTTCGAAGAGTTAACAATATTGCAAATACAATATGATGAATTGAATGGAAGAGGTAGCACATATTATATAATCAGGGAGAAGGGAAACAGATCTGGGCTGTGTAGTTGGAAGAGGGAGAATCAGATTTGCTTTTTATATGAATAAAAGCAAACTAGATTGAGCCCTACTGGATGAATAGGAGTTAGCCAGGTGGTAGAAGGTGATATGTCAGTTTTCCCAGAACAAATACAGCAAAGTCAAGGAACAAGCAACATCATGATGATAGAAGACTGCAAGTGGCTTGGTGTTTCTATAATAGAACTAAACATTCAATTTGGAGATTGCTAAAGACAAAACGAAGACAATGATTTAAAGCTTTGTATATGGCATGTTGACCCTATTAAATTTAACTTACGGATGATGATGAAGTATTAACATTTTCTAAATGGTTGTGTGGCATTGATATTAGATTTGAGCTTTGAATGGGTTACTAGCATGGCAGAAGAAAAAAAATTTAAGGTTAAAAAGACTAGGACAAAGAGAAATCCATATTGGAGATTGTTTTACTATCCTAACAGAGAGATAATTGGTGGAAGTTAAGGTCCAATTAAAAAACAATAAACCGAGTTAGCCAGACTTGTTTTCTCATTGTATGATGAGAGAAGAGAAGGAAACAAGGCTTCTTACATTTGTTGACTAGTGGAAATAATGGAAGATCAGCAGGTAAGGGGTGATTAGAAGATAATGTTTATAGTTAGTTGTAAAAAAATTGTTCCAGGTGAAGATTGGGAAAGGAAGTGTTGCAGGACTTTTCCGTAGTTCATCTAAAAACAGAGTTCTTGTCCATCCCACGCCCTGAAAATGCAGGCTTGCAGATGGTTTAAAGGGTGAGTAAAGCAGGGTTTTATTGGGTGAAAAGAAAAGAACAGCCACAGTGCGGGGACAGGCAGTGGAAACAGGGACTCTTACAAGGCCAGAGTCCCTCCGCTAGGGCACTTCCTGCCAGGTAGTTGGAATCCTAGTTTCCACAGAGGAAGCAGAGGGGCCAGGTTCAGGCTCCTCCCTGCTGCAAACGTCATGAACTTCCCAGGGCTCCATCTCAGTGGGCAGGCTGGTTGGAGTTTCTTCAGGGACCCCCCTCCCACATGGCTGTCTCATTCCCTCCTTTAAAGAAGTACACCTAACTGCCATTAGATTATGGATAAGGACAAAGACCGATCTTAACTGCTTCCTGCTGACAGGGCTGCTGTTTGGGGAAACAGCAGTCCCCAGAGGCCTATTTAAGGGTTCCCAGCAAAAGGGGCCATTGTCAGAGGCTCTGGTTGCATGAGAGTTTGGAGTTTGATGGCCTGAGGCAAGAACAGACAAACCGGGTTATTAGAAAACATGTATCTAAACAAAACAAGGGGAGGAGTAAAGACAGCTCAAAAATTCTGAGGTCTTTTACCAGTTTACACAGGGAGATGGAGGCCAATAGCCTGACTGGTAAAAAAAAAAACAAAAAAAAACAAAAAAAAACTTTATCCCTTTGCTAGCATGTTGGGCTTCTGGGTTCCCATCTCCTGAGCTCAATCTTAAGCCAATCAGTTTAAGGTTTAGGAAATTAACTCTTTCCAGTTTGGAGGATGCATCTGAGGGGACTGTCTCATAGTATGGAGACATAATTACCTATTAGTGAATAGAGGACCCAGGAGGAGAAAGGAATAAAAAGAAAGCATTTTTTCAAAGGAGTCCCAAGGCTTCAGAATGCATTCTAAAGGGATACAGACTGAAGATGAATGACTACCCATCTGGAAAGAGGGGAGCAGGTATCCCTGGTTCCCTTCAGTTCTTAGGAGATACCGGGGTATGCAAGGGAGACAAGGAAGAGTGTCCTCTTTCCCTTCTTCTGTCCTTGCATCCCTGAGTTCCAGCGACCTTGGCAGGTGCTGCCATGAGTGTTAAAGCGGCTTGCACCCATGAAGCAGGGGGGTCTAGAGAACAGGAATTATCTGCTCTCACTTAGGTCTCTTTTCCACCTACTGTCAGTAGCCTTGGAGTTCCCTAGACCTCATTTATGCCATGGATATTAACGTGGTCTTTATCCATGAAACAGGAAGCTTGGGGTTGGCTTAATCGGTGGGAATCAGCCATACTCACCTACACTGTGCCTTTTAACCTATGTTGTCATTTGCTTCTGGATGCCTCAGATCGTTTTCCTTCCTGGGGCTTTAACCTGAAGCTTGGAATTGAGTTTGGGACAAAAATGTGTCTCAAGAGGGGTTGCATGAACTCCTTATCATAAGCTGAATGGTAAGATGAAACTGTGGAACTGTGTCCTCCTCCAACAAGGGAGAGGAAAGGATGTCTTGTGACACACCCAGATAACTGGCTGTTATAGTTATGCTTGCTAGAATTTGGGTGCATAGTGCTTTGTTTTGGTTACTCCCTTGGTCTTACTTTACCAAAAAGAAACTGCTGAGTAATAGGTATCCTATTTATTCCCATCACCTGGAAAGATTTGCAGGATAATTGCTCAGAACTAGAATACTGGTCCATATTTCTACATTACCCATCCCTTTTGTTCTTTCTGAGCTACAGCTGGAGATTGCTGGTTGGTTCACAGGAACAATCAGGGTTAGTCTAAAATGTAGGCAAAAAAACTTTAAAACAACAAGTTTAGAATTTAATGACAAATATATAAGTTTTGAAGCATGATTTATTTCTCTCCAGACCTCATGTTTGTTAGAAAACAAATTATGATAGGACTGAGTGGTTTTCAAAATAGACTTCCGTCTTATACTGGGCCTGATTATTTGCATAAAGTACAGCAAGAGCAATTATTTCTACATAGGCCTTTTGGATTGGCTTTGATAGAAGTCTGTTCCACAAGGAATCTCAGATAAGACCGTTTAAAGCGGAGCCCAGCCATGGGCTTGCATTCTCAAATACCTGTGAGTTGGGTGATCCTCTCCCCTTAAGGTCCCAAGATAAACTTGGAGCCCTGGACCTGTTAGAAAGTTATACTGTTTATTGACCAGAGGTGAGGAACCCTGCATAGGGACTGTGTAGGCAAGGATATGAGGCCAGTTTCCCCATTGGGTTTTTATTGGCTCTGCAAGTGGAGATTGACTCCTTAAATCAAAGCATACCCTTCCAGTCAAAGCCTTGGTAAAATAACCATTTTCTCCAATTGTGTTCTGTCACAAAGAAAAGTGGATTCTTATTGCACTGATGCAAATATTGCCATAAATTAAGAATACTCACAGAAAGTTTCCAAATTCTAGAGGAACCAGGCAGAGAGAAACAAACATGCTCCAAATTTTGTCCACAGGAGTATGCCTTACTTAATTATTAAAGGCCTTAAGTAGTTCAAAATAAGTTTTCTTGACTATGAAAAACAAAACAAGGATCAGCAACATTCCAAGCAAAAGTCAAAAAGATTTGCTCAGCTTCCTGAGTTCAGTCAAGTTAGTTAAATCTTGTTTTGCTTGATATTCGTGAACACTTCAGCTCTTTATGAGTCCTGTACATTTTCCTTTATTCCAATGTCACAATCTCCAAAGTTATCAGAAACCTGATTTCTCAAACATGATCAGAAATTGTATCTGAGAGCACTTGTCAGGGTCTTTTTTTTTTTTTTTTTTTTTGAGACAAAGTCTCATTCTGTTGCCCAGGCTGGTGTGCAGTGGTGTGATCTCGGCTCACTGCAACCTCCGCCTCCTGGGTTCAAGTGGTTCTCCTGCCTCAGTCTCCTGAGTAGCTGCATGCCACCACGTCTGGCTAATTTTTGTATTTTTTGTAGAGATGGGATTTTACCAAGTTGGTCAGGCTGGTCTTGAACGCCTGACCTTGTGATCCACCCACCTCGGCCTCCCAAAGTGCTGGGATTACAGGTGGGAGCCACTGCGCCTAGCCTAAGATATCAATGCTGCCAGCACCTTGGCCTTGAACTTTTAGCCTCCAGCTCTACGGGCAAATAATTTGTTGTTTAAGCCACACAGTCTGTGGTCAGAGTCTTATAGCCTATTATAAACCATTTTTTGAAAAGGATTAAAACCAAACAACAATTGTCTGTGAATAGCAAAATGTCCAGGGTAGTTACAGTTAGAAATAGGATTGACAAATAAGTTTGGTTATCTCCGTGGTTTACAATAATTTAACATAACAACCTTAATTATGATTGATGGCATATACTTAGACATTAGAATTTTAGAAATACTACACAGTTTGGGAACATATGTTATCATTATTCCCCAAGATATAACCTAAAGAAGATTGAGCATTATTTTGGCAAGACCATGTACCTAAACACGTCAAATAATCCTGTCTCCCTCTCTTCTCTGGACATTTCAGGGGCCCCCTGAAGTATTCGAAAAGCCACGTGTCAGGAAAGACTTTTTTTTTTTTTTTTTTTTGAGACAGAGTCTCGCTCTGTCTCCCAGGCTGGAGTGCAGTAGCGTGATCTCGGCTTACTGCAAGCTTTGCCTCCCGGGTTCACGCCATTCTCCTGCCTCAGCCTCCCGAGCTGCTGGGACTACAGGTGCCCGCCACCATGCCTGGCTAATTTTTTGCATTTTGAGTAGAGACGGGGTTTCACCGTGTTAGCCAGGATGGTCTCATCTCCTGACCTCGTGATCTGCCCGCCTTGGCCTCCCAAAGTGCTGGGGTTACAGGCGTGAGCCACCACGCACAGCCAGGAGAGACAATTTTGAAGCTGAAGTTTGACTTTGGAAAGGCTGTTAAATGTTATAGGTTTAAAACACTTGATATTATGAAATAGAATTCCAGATTACCGTAAGTTATTTTTCCAAAATGACTCAGAAATTTTAAAGAAGCAAAAACCTTTTATAACCCTTTGCAAATTTTGCTAAAAAGTGGATTAGCACCTTAGGAAAACCTTATTATGCTTTTATTTCAATGCTCAATTTACAGAAAAACTATAAATACCTTTTACTGAATTTAGTCAATATGCTTACACAGCCTCTTCTGGAAGATTCATTTCCACCATTCTTCCACCACTTCTTTGAACCTTCAGCTTTTTCCTATTTTAACTTAAAACAATCCTTTTAGTTTACATTTCCATGCCTCCTTATAACCTTTTACTAAAAAACACATTTTACTGTTTTTACACACCTTGCATGTAAATCTATCTCTAGGAGTTTTCAGTGAACTCCTAGCAATTTTAACTTTAAGGTAAAACTTGGTAAGTTGCTTTGTGTGCTAATTGCAGCCAAGGTTTGCCTTCTTAGTTAAGTGTGGTTAGTTCCATCTGTCCCCAGGCCTTACTAATTACGAAGCCGCCAAGTCAAATAGTTCTCAAAACCCAAAAAGCAGTTTGTAACCTGAAAATACTTAGCAAACTTTGCATGTGATCTGCATTTTACTAATAGTTTTTAGGGCTGTTTTTATTTCTGAAAGATTAAAGTCACAGGAACTGAAAGTTACCACAGATTTTATCATCCCTTTAAAAAATATTAGATCCAAGTGCTTATCTTTCTTTAGGCCAAATTAATTAGAGCTCTTTTGACAGACATTACACACAGTACACACATAGGCAGAAAAAAACCCAGTCGCTGGGTGGGGCGCTTTAAGAGACAGGGCTGGGGACCAGGCGCAGTAGCTCATGCCTGTTAATCCCAGCTCTTTGGGAGGCCAAGGCTGGCATATCACCTAAGGTTAGGAGTTCAAGACCAGCCCGGCCAACATGGTGAAACCCTGTCTCTATTAAAAATATGAAAATTATCTGAGCATGGTGGCAGGCGCCTGTAATCCCAGCTACTTGGGAGGCTGAGGCAGGAGAATTGCTTGAACCCGGGAGGTGGAGGTGGCAGTGAGCGGAGATTGCACCACTGCACTCCAGCCTTGGCAACAGAGTGAAACTCCATCTCAAAAAAAAAAAAAAAAAAAAAAAAGGAAAGAAAAAAGAAACAGGGCTAGGAAAACAAACATGCAGACATCTAAGCTGGGAGGGCTCATCCCCTCAGGCTGTATTGCTGAACTAAGCCTTGCCAAGCAGTTACCAGCCATGCCCTCAGGACGTAAAACAAGATGGAAGCTTGATTTCACCACGAAAACTTTGCAGCGAATACAGTGATAGTTGGGGGGTTGGAGGGTGGGCGCTAGCCTAGTAAAACATCTTCTAAAAGAAAAAAAAAGCTTTAAAAGTTAACTTGCTGACAGGGTAGCGAAGGGGAAAGAAAAGAAACAGTTTGAAAATGCAACCTCTTATTCATATGCAAGTGGTTCCTCCACCAGGGAGACAAGTTTAAGCTTAATTACTGTCTGATAGAGTTAAACCCCTTGGACAGGGAAGGGGAAGGCTGGGGCAGCCCACAGTGGCTGGGAACCAGCCAGCCAGCTGTGCAGGACCCCTGGGCCATGGGTCCCCACCCCAGCAGGGAGCGGGGAGCGGAAGGAGCTGCTGCTTACCGGTGGGCCCCAAAAAAGGAAGGAAAAGGCCATGAAAAGGCCAGGGAGCTACGCGGGGTGGAGGCGTGGCTTCCCCCACACTCAGAAGTCTGAAGATTAAAAGGCTGAGAAGCAACAGTGAGAAGCTTTGAGTCCCCATTTCACTCAGGGCTTCTGGAGCCTCCACTTTGCTGCAACAATGTTGCACGACTTTTCCTTAGTTCATCTAAAGATGGGGTTCTTGTCCATCTCATGGCCATGAAAATTCAGGCTCGCAGACCAGTTTAAAGGATGAGTAAAGAAGAGTTTTACTGGGTGAAAAGGATAAAAAAAAAAAAAAAAAAGAGGGAAACAGGTACTCTCTCAAGGCCAGAGTCCCTCCCCTAGACCACTTCCGGCCAGAGGGTTAGAATCCCACGTTCCACATAGGAAGAGGAGGTGCCAGGCTCAGGCTCCTCCCTGCTGCAAACGTCATGACCTTCCCTAGGTTCGACCTCAGTGGGCAAGCTGGTTGGAGTTTCTCCACGGACCCTCTCCCACAGGCTGTCTCAGAAGGTAAAGCCAAATTTTAATTATATGGAGTTTGGATACCTATGGGAAATTCTACTAGAGTTGTCCAATAGGAAGCTTTCCTGGGCTGGTAATATTCATCTCACAGTCATCAATATAAAATTTGTAGTGAAAACTAATAGAGTGGGTGAAATCACCTACTATGCAATACAGCTATTTCAGTGGGAAAAGAAAGAACTGTGAGAAATAACATTTCATAAGTGTGAAGAGGAAGAGAAAAACATTAATTAAACAGCCACTAAAGAAATATTTGTTGTTTTTACTGTAGGTAAGGTCCTATGCTAGGCCCTGAGGTTATCTCTTTAAATATGAATCCCAGGCCAGAAAGAGAAAACAAGTGATACAGATAATTAATTGCAGCTGTGTTAACTGCTCTAAGGTAAAATTGCAGGGTAAGTGATACTGCAAAGAAAGGGAATTTCATCTAGTCTGGGAAGCTTCTTTTAAAGTAGTGGAATTAGAGAAATTAGTGGTGATTGATGTTAATTAGAAGAAGATATAGGACAAGTGAAGTTGCAGTCTAAGGAACTTAGACTTTATAGGCAATAAGGTAGTCATGGAGAAGAAAAATAGATGTGAACCAAAATTCATATCAAAATGATTAATTTATGAGAATTCAATGAGAAATCAGTGAAGTTATAAATCTCTAGCTGGGATTGAAGAAAGAAGAAGATGCCTTAAATTTAAAAAAAAAAAATATATATATATATAGCAACTTTGTATTTTCTGACCTATATCACACAAGCAGCCCACAATTAGTATGCAATAAAGAGAATTTTCTGAAGAATCACGGACTCATGATATCTACATTCGGACTGGTTTATTGTGACTTGAAAAAATAGAAAACAAGTGCCTTTGATAAGTTTCCTAAATAGCTAACTAATCATTTTACGAGGTTCTTTCATCCCTTAATATAAAGTACAAATTGCGTTTAATGGAAGAACAATGAAACATGAAATTCAAAATAATTACAAAGTCCACTATGAGAATGAAGTTAGGTTATCATCTACGGAATAACTTATTAAATGATGTTACAATATCTCAGAGAAAAAGAGTACAGTTGCAGTTTTCCAATGCAGTCAGATAAGAAATATAATGAATAGAAGGAATGCAGGCTTTTATATTTGTGATTAGACCACAGAAGAGAAATTCAAGGAAAGTAGTGGATGCTGCAGTACGAATAAATAAAACCTCTGGAGACCAGATTACAGGCAACCATCTTGTTGTGAACACCAAGGCACACACAAGAAGTGAAGTAATACACCTCTGCCATCTCAGGGGCCTGTCACCCAATATTAGGTGACATCATGTATGTTATTAATCCAAGGCTTGGAAAGCCTTTTAAAATGCTTTGGTATTTGTTTCAAAAAGATAGTATTAAAGTTGGTAAGTAATTGACCATGATTTCTAATTTTCTTTATAAAATATTATTCACAAGCTGTCTGCTTATGCTGGCATTGCAAAACATAGCAGTATATATTTATTACACAATAATAAATTTACTTATGTATTAATAAGTAACATTTTGAAAACATTTATGGAAAGAGAGCTGGAACCTTCTGCTGGGTCATGATGACTGGGTTTATCTTGCTTGTTGTGCAGGACAGAGAGAAACATGTCTATGCTAATCATTAAGCAATGAAAAAAAATAGAGTCATGAGCAGGTAATCTCACCTGGATCAACATAATAAATGTCAGAATTGGGTGGGGGACACAGGAAAGGCAAAAAAGAATATGATTTTGGCCGGGCACAGTGGCTCACGCCTGTAATCCCAGCACTTTGGGAGGTCGAGGTGGGCGGATCACGAGGTCCGGAGATGGAGACCATCCTGGCTAACACAGTGAAACCCCGTCTCTACTAAAAAAGTACAAAAAATTAGCCGGGTGTGGTGGTGGGCGCCTGTAGTCCCAGCTACTCCAGAGGCTGAGGCAGGAGAATGGCGTGAACCCGGGAGGCGGAGCTTGCAGTGAGCCAAGATTGTACCACTGCACTCCAGCCTGGGCAACAGTGCAAGACTCCGTCTCAAAAAAAAAAAAAAAAAAAAGAATAAGAAGTTTTTCGTCACACACAGAATCTTAAAATCACAGTCTTTCAATCTGTAAGTCTAACACTAAATGGTTTGGATTCTCTATCAGTTTCTTTCTGGTTCTTTGATTGGATGTTTACTAGCACAGTATCCGGGAGGAAGACTCTCATCATTCATTACATGCCTTCTGAGTATGTTACAATATGGAAAATTTAGTATTAGAATTTAGATAGGTTTTCTTTCTGGAGTTTATAATCTAGAGTTTCTATATTTTGATTGGTTACTTAGAATTTGGTAAGCACCTATGCTATGTCTGTTTGTATCCAGTGAATCAAATATATATAGTTTTTGCTTTTACCTTTACTTGGGTCCTAAAAACATAAATGCAAACATGTTTGCCGAAAAATTATTTTTATAGTTTTTTATTTTATACCTGGAAACTTTTGTTCAGCTGTCCCACGGCTATGGAAAATATTGTACTTTAAAATATTCACGTGCTGCCTTTAAGCATTTTGACAGATTCTGTCTTTACACAGCCATACCTTCCTTGAATCAATCCACACCCTACTAAGTTTGCCTGTTTGTCATTTTGAAACAGGAACAGCCGGGAAAGGGGTAGAACATCATCAAACCATTACCTCTTTTCTAACTCCAACTATTCACCTTTTCCATTTTAAATATTTTTACTAATTTAGTAGCCACTCAAGACACTAGATACAATATTTTAGCCTTTATTTTTGGGTTCCAAATTTCCATTAAAATTTTTGACTTCTTTTAAACTGCATGACTTTAATATTTTCGTGATTATATACATGTGTGGACATAAATCCATGTGTACTTGTTCCACATTTATAGTCTCCTTTCTTTTGCTACTGCCCAACACACATTTTATAAAAATTTCTTAGTGAATGTGTAGGAGAATAGTTTTTCTCTTCTAGTAGTTTCATAGTTTAAAACTCCCAGTTATATGCTCTTTATTGTTTATTAATTTTTCCACCTGCTTCTGACAGATTCAAAATAATCAAAGTTATAAGGGTACTGACTTTAAAATCACATTATTCATTAATATAGTTTCCCTTTTGTTCTGAAAGAAACAGTTGTTTCTCAATATGTCATTTGTATATCTACATCATTGGTAATAATACTTATTATTCATTATGATATTAATAACATTATTATAGCTAACATTTATTGAATTCTCAGCTCAGACCACTCTTAGCTTTATAAATTTGAGTTTACATTCCTCAACTTTTCCGACTGTCCTCAATATTAAGACTAAGCACTATGAGAAAAATAAAGAATGAGTCTGCAGATTCCACCCAAGGTAGGAAAATGAGGACCAGAGGTACATATTCTTTTATTTCCCTTCTCCAATGCCTATTCTTGAGAAATAGAAACTCTATCATACATTCTACTTACATAAAACAACCCTTTTATTAAATCCTGTTTAATAAATGTCTCTTAAAGAACTGAAAAGAGCCGTTAATAAATCCGTAACATAATTTCACACATCCTTTCTTAGGTCCATAAAAGAGAACATGCTCTACAAAGGTTAATCACACACACACACACACACACACACACACACACACACACATACACACACACACAGTCTGATCCTAAACTATTTCTGTGTCTTGGAAAATGTGTCTCAGAGTTGCAGAATCCTTTCAGTGACCTGAAATAGAGACCTTGACAATGTAGCCCTGAAAATCCATTATGAATGTAAAAAGAATAAATGTAAAAAGCAGAGTTTATAATTCTTGCAACGTTGATGCCAATTTCTCCTCTGTTCACATATTTCTAATGACTGTCTTAGTAAACAGAGCTGAGTTAATATGTGGTCTTGGGATTTCACCTCCTGGCCTCAATCATATTTCTGCCAAGTGGTATGTTTTTTAGTGTGAAGACTCTTAGAAAATGTCTAATATGATGCAGTTTACAGAGTTTTCAGTTCACTTTTTTTTCCTTTACCTTGTGGGGGTCTTGAGAAATGGAAAAAGGAATTACATTATTCTAAAACATAAAGGGGTCTCACGTAAAGATGCAATAAATGTTAAAGTAAAATGCATGCGTCACTTAGTAAATACACCAGAATCACGTTAATCCATTTAAAAGAAAACTTTTGCAAAACTTAGATGTTTTTGTTACATGCCTTCAGGCTCCTAGTGTTTACTCATCTTTTCCCTGAAACCACTTTTTAAGAGTCAGGTTTCAAGAGGCAGAATTTCACTTTTAAACAATTTAATTAAATTAGGGGTTTACAAACTATTAGCTGCCTACCAAAGACCACTGCTAGTAAATAAATTTATTGGAACACAGCCATGCCCATTTGTTTATGCAGTGTCTATGGTTGCTTTAATGCTATAATGACAGAGTTGAGTAGTTGCAACTGAGATTGTATGCTTCAAAAAGTCTAAAATAGGCTGGGCATGGTGGCTCATGCCTGTAATCCTAGCACTTTGGGAGGCCAAGGTGGGTGGACCACCTGAGTTCAGGAGTTGGAGACCAGCCTGAAAAACATGGTGAAACTCTATCTCTACTGAAAATACAAAAATTAGCCAGGTGTGGTGGAGCATGCCTGTAATCTCAGCTACCTGGGAGGCTGAGGCAGGAGAATTGCTGGCACCCCGGAGGTGCAGGCTGCAGTGAGCCAAGATCGCACCACTGCACTCCAGCCTGGGCCACAGAGCAAGACTCTGTCTCGAAAAAAGAAAAAAAGTCTAAAATATTTACTATTTGACTTTTTATAGAAAATTTGCCAACGCTTTGTGTAGAAGATGGAAACTAGTCTCTGTCAATTATGAGCAATTATTAACATATTATTAAATGATTTGTAATAGTTGGGCTTTGAAGTCCCATATCTGCATTCTTTAAGAATACCCTTCTTCAGCTGGGCATGGTGGCTCATGCCTGTAATCCCAACACTTTGGGAGGCCGAGGCAGGCAGATCACGATATCAGGCGATCAAGACCATCCTGGGCAACATAGTGAAATCCCGTCTCTACTAAAAATACAAAGATTAACTGGGCGTGGTGGTGCATGCCTGTAATCCCAGCTACTCAAGAGGCTGAGGCAGTATTGCTTGAACCCAGAAGGTGGAGGTTGCAGTGAGCCGAGATCACACCATTGCACTCCAGCCTGGCGACAGAGCGAGACTCCGTCTCAAAGAAAGAAAAAAAAAAATGGATACCTTCCTTCCACTGGCTACACTGCTTGTTTGTAATTATAAGCTAAAACAGCATGGTATTTATGAGTAAGTAAAATTTCACATTAGACACTCCCCTATCACTTAAAATATTGTCTTTGAGATTCCTTCAGTACTTCTTTGGTTGCAGAATTTATTACCACCTTCAGTATTTTTAATTGTATCTGAGTGAATTAACAAGAATCTCATCAAAAGAAATATAGTCAATGAGCTTTAAGATAGCTTCCTTTTTGTTAAAAAAAAAAAAAAACACACACACACACTGAATGAAGCTGATTTCTCTTGAATGTGAGTGTTCCCTAGAAACTTTCACACCATCCTATGCTGTACTTACATGTTGATTAGATGCTTCACTTGCATGTAATTTTCCTGAAGAAATATTTATTTTGCTGTGTTGATGATTCTTTTTCAACTAGAATTATTAGGGGAATATAGTCAGGCCCTAAAAATAAAAGATGACAGGTGTTCAGGCAACCATGACAAATTTAAATGGCATGATTACTTCTCTGTGGTAGATGATTTGTTTTATTGTCTGAAATAACACAATTACATTGCGTTCTACTTCCATCTATAGTTACATCAAAGAGAAGATAAAAGAATAAATTAAGCTTGTTTCAAGTACATTTTGGATAATAATTGCAGAGGACTTGAAAGTTGGCAGGCCAGTTGAAATGTGCCCAAAATTCACTAAAACTAATATCTAATATTTTGAGGATTTTGACTTGACATATATTTTAACTTTCCATCTATTATCCAAGTGTTTTTGAACAAGCTCCAAATCTCCGTTTAGAATAATGAGGAATAAGGAATGTTTTTCTTTGCCTTATAATCCAAGGGTATAGATAAGAAAAGCTCCTACCCAGATCATTTCCCCCTAAAGATTCTATCCTTAGACTTTGCTTCCCACTTAAATGTCTAACTCATCCTTTCCCAGTTCTGATTCTATATTAGAAGCACCTTGTGATGTTCAAAAAAACAGTGACATTCAAGCCCCATGCATACCTCAGCGGTTTTGATTGAGTTTATCTGGGGTAAGGCCAAAACAGCAATTTTTTAAAAGATCCCCTTGTAATTCTAATGTACACTAGGGTTGAAAACTGCTGCTCTGAATGCATTAGTAACTATATAGGTAGATCCTATGAAATGACAAACCCAGGGGACTATCAGTAGGAGCCAAGTATGAAGTTTCTGATGGAGGTTTGAATGAGCTTGAAATAGCAAAGCAATAGTTGGAAATTTAGTTTCTCATACTGGATGTAAGTAATTAGAATTTACTTCCCAAATTAGTATAATACCACACAGGCATACTATTTGTCATGTGGTTTCACACTTAACCAATACCTGCTTATGGCTTAATGAATATAAATGAATATGAATATAAACTGACTAATTGTGCAGAGGGTAGTAATCATTTGTCCACTATGTGCTTTTATCATAATAATGAATTTAAATGGCTATCATAATTCTTGAGGTTAGAAGTAATTAATACATTTCAGACTGTGAACATAGATGGGACCTAGGATATAAGAATAAAAAAAGTTATTATTTCTCATCAGTGGACATCTTTAAGAATGAGGCAGTCATATGCCTTTCCTGGAATAAGAAAGAAAGAAGCTTCAGTGAAGATAAGAGGTTGAATTTTGTTGGTAACTGTCAAGGGTTCCTCCTATCATGTGTGTCTCTTGGGATAGAGGGAAGATAAACAGTGTGGCAGAGTGAAGTGCTTCACCTGTAGCTTTAGCTGGATGGTCCAATCTTGTGACGAGGCTCTTGGATATTTCTAGGGAACATACAGTGAGAGTAATGACCTAAGGGGATTATAGGCTAGGGGATGGAAATAAGAACTCTCCAAACCAGTTTGATTCTTTCCACAAATGTAATTAGGTAAATTCCAAAATCTTGATATTTTGTCTTTTATCAAGAAAAAATTAATCCATAAGCCTGAAAGTCATTTATTCATTCCTTTATTCAATTCAATCTATAGCTGTTTTCTATAATTTTTTCCCAACTATACGTCATTATCAATATTGAAATTTCTAACATGCTTAATCCTATTATTAGTCTTCTTTCCTTCATTTCTTTGTTCATTTCTTCTCTTTCCCTCTCTTTGTCCTTTTTTTAAAAAAAATCTCTGTTCTCAGTTTTTCTGTTTTTTAAATTACAAAGTTAATACATCCTGTTATAACAGGAAAACCAGTACAATACAAAGATATGTAAAGATGGCAATTATCATTACCCATCTGTCCCAGGTGATCAACATTAGAAGCTTGGCATTTTTCTTTCTGCATGATTAGTTTACTTAAGCTGTTGCCACACTTTTCTTTTTCTATTTCCTTCAGGGGCAAGAATATTTCCTAGAGCAGCAACTAAGCAAACAGCTCTATAGTGAAGTACTAAAATTCAGGCTCCTAGATTTAGAATGCTTGTTTGAATCTTTCCTCCACTATCCACTATAAAGGAAGCAACTTAAGCTTGAAAGATTCCATTTTTTCATCTGTAATATGAAAATAATAGCCTAACTTCATCATAAAGAGGCTGTGAGGATTTATGTGTGGTAATGCATATAAAGTATTAAGATGTGATATGGCATCTAGACAACTACAAATAAAGGATGATTTTTATTACCAATCAGCTTTTATGCTGATTATCTCATGCATTTTAGAAAAGAGAACATTTCCAAGTTGTTTTTCTCCAATCTGTGCGAGAAATATTTTCCAATGTGCTAAGCCTACAGCAAGAGCCCACAGGAGCTGAGTGGGACCAGAGCTGTTACAGATTTATTTCAGGGAATTGCTTGACTTGAAATTGAATGTGAATGGGTAATTTAAAATCATTCTGTGTAGCAGGACATTGAAACTAAAGATAGATATTGGTGCTGATGGCACTGCATCATGACTGTTTTTCAGATATTTTATGTACAAGGGAGGGGTTGGGTGTGTGTGGGTGTGGTGATGTGACCTTCTCACCTGCGTATATAAGCAGGTCCAGGGAGAAAGCGATGACCAGCCAAATCCCAAGTACTCAAGTTATTCTTTTTCTCAAGCCTTTTCTTGAGAAAAGCTTATACATTACCTTTCAGGAGAGATAGGCATCAATTGCTAAGTCACTAAATACTCTGTTTTCTGTGGCTAGGTATATATCTTATACTCAGTGCTAAATATATAGTAGAGTCTCAATAAATACGAATGAAGAAATGGATGAATAAATGGATTAATGACTAACTGGATGTTTGAATAAAAGTTGTGGTCCTCCCATTGCATTCCTCTTGTCTGCTGAAGAGACCAAGAAAGACCACCCAAGGCTGTGCTTAAAACATATTTTTAACTGGCTGGGCGTGCTGGCTCACGCCTGTAATCCCAGCACTTTGGGAGGTTGAGGCCTGTGGATCACAAGGTCAGGAGATTGAGACTAGCTGAGACCATACTGGCTAAACGGTGAAACCCCGTCTCTACTAAAAATAAAAAAACAAAATTAGTCAGGCATGGTAGCAGGCACCTGTAGTCCCAGCTGCTTGGGAGGCTGAGGAGGGAGAATGGTGTGAACCCGGAAGGCAGAGCTTGCAGTGAGCCGAGATCACACCACTGCACTCCAGCCTGGGTGACAGAGTGAGACTCCAAAACAAACAACCAACAAAAAACCACATTTTTAGTGTCAATGAGAATGTTTTTAAGACACCCTTATTCTTAAATTGTCTCTAAGTTTCCTCATCTTTAAATTGAAGCTCATACTTTCTCGGTGTTACAGTGCATGGTGTACTTGGGACAATGTGTGTGTAATTTTTTTTCATATTATACTTATTAAATGGGTAATTATGAAAATAAAATAGAGTGTTAGGATGCACTAAAAGTTAAGCTTTATATATTCTGGCACAATGTGAAAGGTTACAAAATATTTGATGAATGAATGAGTGAATGAATAAATGGGTGGGTGAAAACATCTTGATAAAATTAAATTATGGCCCAGCTTCTGCTAATTCACACAAAGTCCAGAATTACTGGTGAAGGATGACTACACACTTATACGAGGTGTCATCACACAATAGCTGTAGACTAAATCTATCCCCATAACCCTGGTTGGTTTGTTTGCTTTTTGGTATGGCTCCAGACAAAATTAATAGAAATTTGTTTTCTCTCTGGCTAAGTACCTACATTATAACCTCAAATTTTCTTCTTCATTCACAAAGCCTGAAATATTTAATATGTGCTCTGTATAGGAAATGTTTTCTAACTCTCACTGTACTATAGACTCCAAGACTGCTGGGCCAAGTCTGATGTTATCTACTTAATACCTCACTCTCTGCCTGATTTATTATTGAGAAAAGCTTGTACATTACCTTTCAGGAGAGTAAGCACTCCCTCGATGACTCTCTAATGAATGAATAAACAAATATATAAATGTATTCTTCACTCTACTCCCAATACCATAGGCACTAATCTTCAATACAGAAAGTATTTGTTATCAGAGTCCACAAAAACAGACATTTTACATTTTACTAAGATAGAAAAAATAATTTAAAACTTATAACTACGTTATTAAATGCAAATTGTTTAAAAAACATTTTAGAAGCATAGTGTGTATAATGATGAATTATTTTCTTGTTATCTGCAGAGGTAGAATGTACTTCTCCAACTTATGGTTGAGATTCTAGTTGGTCTACTTCCATATGTGGATATTGCAGGAAAGATGATATTCACGGGCTGAAAAGCCTTCTTGTCAAGGATGGAGTTTACCTGGGAGCGTTTCTCTTTTGGCTGGTCCTTTCTTTTGCTCTTAAAAAATTTCAGGTGGGGAGAACTGCGTATCCAACTATGCTAACGAACCCGCAGAGGAGTCTTTCAGCTTCACGCTGTGTAGTGTTCACAGTGTGGAAAGACTTTCACTTAATACAATTATTTGGTCTGTAAGAGCCGTGTGACTTAAAGTTAAGTGCTTTCAAGATTCTCAGTATAAGTAGAACAGAGTCGATTTAAGTGCATGTGCCCTTTATGGCTCTTTATAAACTATTAGCCTACATTTTTATGTTTCTTTCTCCTTTGGTTTTTGTGGTTGAAAATTTCCTTTTGCTATTTTGTCTGATTTCCTGTAGTCTTTTAATATAAATCACTTCAAGTCTTTTTTTTTGAAGTAGGTAGGATAACCAGAATTTCTAAATATGATATAAACTATGTTTATAATCTTACTCATGAGACATTTCTGAATTAAGTAATTTTTTTCTTCCCTGAATCAATCAATGTATGCTTATTTCCCAGTCCCCCTCCACAATATTCATGGTATTCAGGGTAAGAATACTAATGGAAGGCCACAAACCATATTTCTAAATAGCTAAAAGTTATAAATAAGCTAATATACTGTTAAATAAAATACATTCTGTCTCCCTACATTGACAAATATGTGCCTTTATTCTGGCCTGGAAGGCAGGTATGAACTTAGCTTTCTTGAGCTCTCAGAATGGAGTGACTCAGGGAGGGTCATGCCAAACCCTTGCCACCCTTTCTTCTCCTCCTGTTCCATGCAGCTCTTGCTGGAACCACCAAGACACAAAATCTCCCACCTCCACCACAATGCCCCTTGGCCATCCTGCAGGGCTTTGAATGTGCTATAATCTGTCTTAATTTGACCCAGAAATGTTTGGGCAAACAAATCTCAAGCCCTAGCAGACTAGCATGTGGACTAACATGTGGGTACAGGCTCTAGTGGGCATGTTCTTTTGATGCTGTGGTTTCACCCAATTCGTGGCATAACCAGAAGGAGGCCAGGATGGGCCCTCTAAATCCACAGGATTTTGGCACAGTCTTCTTTTATTCATGTAGAAGGGAAGTACTTTGTCACGTAATGGAAAGAACATTGACTTTGAAGTAAACTGTAGCTTGAAATTTCAGCTCAGAGTTTTATTAAGACTGTGATGCTGGTGAAGTTGCCCAAACTGTCCTACCTTTGGTTTCCTTATCTGCCTACTTTATTATAATTTCAGTGAGAGAGTAAACAAGATAATGGATGCAAAGCATTGGCACAGTGTTTGATGTCCAGTAGATGTTTAAAAAAAAGTTGGTTCTTTTTACTATTACACAACTAGTAAATATTTAGTAAATTATTGACTTTTTTTTTGTTGATTTCATTTTATTGATTATAAATCTTTACTCATACCTCTCTGTAATTCACAGGAGGTGGCTTTAGTCTTACTAAATCAAAAGGCTGTTTCAGTTTTTGTAATAATGTGAGCTGAGGTTCTCTTCTGGAACTTCAGTTTTCATGATTGTGTATATAAGTTCTGGCATTTGACTGGCTTCATCTGCTTACTTCTCACTTTTTGATAAACTGATACCTAGTTCAGATTGATATCTGGCTGCATTGGGACCTGTTTGATCTTGGAATAAGAGCCCAATAATAAATCAATATGCCACGGAGTCTTTTGGGTTTGGTCTAGGTGAAAAATCTCTTTTATCATCAGGATTCTTTGATGTAAGTGACCATCTGGTGTTTTGATGTGCCAAATGCCCAGAATGGGAGAGTCTCAACAAATTAGCAAGTCCAATTTTGGCTTTCTGGAGGTGAAGAAGTAAATGACTTTTAGGTAACTGGGAACCGCATACATATGTGAATCAAGACTGTTGTTTCTTTCTTCTTTTGTATCCTCAAGTTGCACTATCAGCATATATCAGTCAGTAAACCATTGGTTTCAGATTTATTTCTTGTAGTTATTTTATTTTCCTGTACCTTACAACTCATTTTGTATATTATATTATGACTAATAACCCCCTTTTAGATTTTGCCAGTACTTTTCACATTTATTAACAACAATGACAAAAAAAGTAATAAATATACATTATGGACTAGGGTGTATAAGGCATGGAGATATAACTGTGAAAAATATCTGTGATCTAGTGGGAGATGCTCATGTTTATATTAGGAAAACTACACAGGAAAGACTTCTGTCTCACACTTAGGGGTACAAAAAACACTCTGAAGAAAATAATACTTAAAGAATAATAGAAGGAGGGTGCGTGGAGAAAGAAAGTGGAGGGAGGAGGAATGAGAAAGTAGTAAATAAAAGGAGTTGGAAAATAGAGGAACAGAAAATGTTACAGGCGGAAGAATATGTTTTGTAAATCCTTGATGTGATGGGCAGTGTATAAGCTCTCTGTGGTTGAGTAACAAATTATGTTTATACTTAGAGGCTAGAAACAGCAATAACAACAAAGACAGTTTTCGTGCATCAAGAATCCAGGCATGTACTGGCTGGATCCTCTGGCTTCAGGGTCTCACAGTGCTACAGTTAAGTTGCTGGGCAGGGCTGCAGTCATCTCTAAGCTGGACTGGTAAGGAATTCACATTCAAGGTCATTAATAATGTTTTCACCAAGTTTCAGTCTTTCATCATTTGTTGGGCTGAGAGTCTCAGTTCCTCTCTATTTCATCTGGCTGTTGATCAGAAAAATTACTTCCTTGCTACATGTGCCTCTCCATAGAGCATCTCACAGTTCAGTAGCCGGCTTCCATTAGGGCAAGAAACGAAAGAGTAAGGCAAGCAAGATGGAAGCTAGAGTCTTCTTGTAACTTAATTTCGGAAGTGACATCCCATCTTTGCCACATTCTCTTTGATAGAAATGTGTCACTAAGTCAAACCCACACTCAAAAGAAGGGAATTATACAACATCATGAATAGCATCAGGCAAAGATTTTTAGGGGCTGTTTTAAAGACTGCCTACTATAGGCAGTAGAGTATATTTAAGGAACTGACACTACTACTGTATATTTGGAGCATAATAGTGATAAAGTGAAGGGAAATGAGACTGGATAGCAAAGCATTAGCCAGATTGCAAAGGGATTTAGAAGTCATGTTAAGGATTTGGTGTTTCATTGTAAGAGCAAGAGTTTAAGCTGACAATGATATTATCATATCTGCATTTTAGAAAGTTACTTTGGTTGTAGTGTGGAGACTGGGATGTGCTGGGTTGTGTTTGAGGCTGCTATGATAATCTAGCTGATAAAAGTGAGTGGCTGTTTAAAGCATTAGAGTAAGACTAGAAAGAAGTTGTTGAACTCAAGAGATTATCTGGTCACAAATTCAAAAGATACAGCAGAGTATATATTAGGTGGCAAGGGAAAGGTGAATTAAGGATGAAACTATTTCTTACTTGAGGAAATTATTGAAATGTAGTTTCATTCATTAATTGTGTTTGGGTGGTAGGTAAAGTCATTACTCTTTTGAGGTCTGTACAAATTTGAAAAACTGTGAGACATCAAACTGAAGATGGCCAGTAAACATTTGAAAACATGATCTGGAGCTCAGAAGAAAAAACTGGGTTACAGTTAAGGGATATAAAGGTCACATGAATCTTAGTTGGTACTTCGTTGATTAGAGTGTATGAAATTCTAGAGAGAGGGATCAGCACCAGACAGAGGTGTTCCAGCGTGGAATGTTTTGACAATAGCAAGTAAAAAGGTGGATTCATGTGGGAAGTAACAAGAAGGAGGCTGAAAAGGGGCCAGGTTATGCAAAGCTTTGAAATCAGCAGTTAGACGTTTGGACATTTTTCCTTAATGAAAATTGGAGACGTCATTTTGTTTGTTGATATGTGTTTTAAGAATGGGAACGACATAATTGCGTGTATTATAGATAAGCAGTTTGTGTGTGATTTGTGTGTGTGTGTGAGGTGTTATAGGAGTCTCTGTTCATGCTCATATAGGCCAAGTAAAGACTAGATCAACCATATATCCTCTTTTGATGTTGCTAATGTCTGAATAAGCTCATTGGAACACTGGTTCTCTAATTATTGACTGTTTCATCAAAAGAGTTGTTATCTTCAATATAGAAAATGTCACAATATTTTTAAGATATTGAACGAAAACGCATTTGCTATCAGCTTATTTTTCTGAAAAAAAAAAAAAAAAAAATAGAACACAGAATTCCTGTATACCCTTTACTCACCTTTTCCAAATGATAACATTTTATATGAATGTAATTATCAAAACTAGGGAATTAACATTTATGCAGTTTTATTTTAAATTTTGTCAATTACTCATGTAATTTTTTTTTGGACCAGGATTCAATCTGGAATCCCAATTTTATTTGCAGATACAGTGATTAAATAGTATCATAATAATAATTACATTTTTTCTTTGAGTCATGAAGAGAAAATTTCCATTTTAATGTATATACTGATATCGTAATGTAATAAAACAGTATATTTGTTTTGGATGCAATTTTGCTTTTCTTTAAGCAAATAAATTCCAGTAGTATACAATTGACTTAGCCTAACTAGAAGCCTTAGAAATATAACCAGTGCCCAGGGCTAATGCAAAGAAAACAGAGAAAAGGCAAGGATAATCCAACAGGACCAACCACAAAATGTGCTTAGGGTTTTAGATTTAGTAGTATGAGAATGGTTAATACCTTGAATAAATGAACACAATACTTCTGGGAAAGCAAAGGTTTTGGCAAGGAAATTGGGAGTATTTCTGTTCAAGTTTTTGCTTCTCAAAATTGGTGAATTAGCTTTTAAAATTTATTTTTGTTATTTATTGCTTTTTAACTTTTCATTTTGAAATAATTTTATACAAAAGTCACAAAAATATAACAAGAAATTCCTACCTCTAGTGTTGAGTGCTATTGCTGCCATAGGGGGTTAGGCTTCTCTGGCTTGCTAACTGCTCTAGGCGGTTCACGCATAACTGATAAGGTACCTCCAAAGAAACTGTGACCAGGTGGGCACAAGTTACCACCACACATAACAAGAGACCCTTGCCTGCAGCATCATGGGAGGATACAAAAAGTCCTTTGAGGGACAAAATCTTTCAAAGCACCAACAACTTGAAGCCAATAGGCTCTCCCTTCAAAATGACGCACCACAAGCAAAACAGAAAAAAAAAGAGTACCTAAGTGGAGATGTGAATGGATTCATGGAATACCTAAGGCAGAACTCACAGATGGTTTACGATGGGGAGATGATAGCAACGATGGGGAGATGATAGCAACGATCAGGCAGTAAGGGAATAAATTGCAGTTGCTTTAAAGAAAGACAGTCTTATGGGAAGGAAAACAATGAATGACAAGCAGCAAAGAGAAAGACAATAGTATGTTTCCATTGCAGAAAACCTGGTCATACAACTGCAGATTGCCCAGTTGCCCTAGAAAATCAACATACGGGCACTGGAACGTGTTCTGGGTCTGGGTCCGTGGAGCGCAAAATGATCAAGGGCAGGGCTAAAGTAGCCCTGGCTCTTAATTAATTTCCTTTTGCGAAATGTTTGTTTGTGGGGAAATGAGACAGCTGTCCAGATCTTGTCCTGATCATCCCAAAGGACTCTGTGCTTATGGTGGTGGTTGCAAACTTTGTGGCTCTGTGGAATATTTTAAGAAGGATTGTCCTGAAAGTCAGAATTCAGATTTTGGAATGGTCACAGTTGATTGCTGGTCAAAGGGAGTGAGTGGAGACTCTGAAGAAACTGGATGACTTAAATTACAGAAATCCAAAACAAAGATACCTAAAATTGTTATTTTTTGATAATGAGTAAGTACTGTTGCTACTTACAACCTCATTGTTACTTTCCAAACAGGACATACTTCACAAATTAGAGCTGGGCACCCTTGGAGTCAAGCCTTTATTGTAGGTGTCAGTATGATCGAGATGTAGTCAAAAACAGTTTTGTGTATTCTGTCCATTGAGAAGTACTTCTATCACTGTTTGGAGAAAATCACTGAAGGAAATAATAATATTAAATAGAATTTTCTAAAGGAACATATGTTTAACTGATACAACTTAGACATAACTAAGTGGCGATATAACTGATTGTAACAATCATCTTTTTGAAAATGCAAAATTACACATAAATGTGAATCACCCCTGAGCAAAGATACTGCTTTGCATTTGGAAATGAATTTTTCTTTGTATTATTTTCTTGCTTCAAACTATCAATTTATTATTATAATAGTATAAGTTGCACAAAATCTTTGTTTAAAATATATTGAGTGAAAATCCATTTATCTGATTATTCTGGGAAAAAAAAAAAAAAAGAACAAAGAGTTCCCAATTCTCAAATACTCTTTACTCAGCTTTTCCAAATGGTAACATTTTATATAAACACAATTATTGAATCTAGGAAATTAACATTTATTCAATTCTATTTCAAATTTTGCTAATTATCCATGTTCATTCATTCTTTCTCTCTCTCTCTCTCTCTCTACCCCCCTTTCCCTCTCTCTCCCCCCTGCTTTCTCTTTCTTTCTTTATTTAGACCAGGATACAATTCTGAATTCCAGTTTCATTTAGTTTTCATGTACTTTTAGGCTCTTTTAATCTGGAAAAGATCTTCCATCTTCCTTTGTCTTTCATGACTTTTATACTTCTGATTGGCTAAGAATTTGGTAAAATATTTTCAATTTGTCTGATTTTTCTGGTAATTCATGTTATTAATTTTTGGCAAAATATACCAAGAATGATGTGTTCCCTTAAATGCTGGGATTTTTGAAGGATCCCATTTATTAATTATTAGTCTTTTTACCATCAGACTTTTAACAAATGGAGAAATAGTCTTTGGAGTTACATAGGGATCAAAACATATGCTTTGTTATTTATAAAGCTGAATTAGATAATAAACCTTAGACTTGATTCCTTTCTCTTCTGAATTGAGTTAGTCATTCAGGCAATGGCATAGCAGATAAGTAAACCCAGATGCCTTCTTATGCAGAGGCAGGGACTCTCCAGGTATTTTATTGTAAGGAGGAGAAGAGCAAACTCGAATACATTACACTTACTCAGTAAAATCTATGGGCCAATGCAAGTTACACCATGGTTTTCATAGTCTTGTTGGTGCTGCTATAACAGAATACCACAGGGTATAAATCAGAGTATGTCATCCAGTTTTAGGGAACAGAAATTTATTAACTCATGGTTCTGGAAGCTGGGAAATCCAAGATCAAGCTGCTGGCCTCTGGTGAGGGCCTACTTTCTATGTCATGTCATTGGAGAAGGGCAAAAAGAAAGAGTGAGAGAGGCAAAGGGGGCCAAACTCACCTTTCCATAAGGAACTAGGTACCATGATAACAAACCCACTCCAACAATAGCATTAATTTACTTTGCCCTTGTGGCCTTATCACCTCTCATTTGGCGCCACCTCCCAACACAGTTGCATTGGGGATTAAGTTTCCAACGCATGCTTTTTTGGGGACACATTCAAACCATAGCCTTCTGCCCCGGCCCCTAAAATTCACGTCTTTCTTATGTACAAAATACACTAATTGCATTCCAATAAATTCAAAGTCCTATTTTATTCCAGCACCATCTCAAAAGTCCAAAGTCCAGAGTGTCATCTAAATCAGATATAGGTGAGATTCAAGGCACAATTCACCCCGAGGCAAATTCTCCTCCTCTTGTGAGCCTGTAAAATCAAAACAAGTTATCACTCCCAAATGACAATGGCGGGACAGGTATAGGAAAGACAATCCCATTTCAAAAGGGAGAAATAGGCAAGAAGAAAGGGATAACTAGTCCCAAGTAACAACATTAAATCTTAGGGCTTTAGAATAATATTCTTAGACTCCATGGCACAGTGGGGTGGGGGTTGGGCTCCCAAAGTTGTGGGCAGTCCTGCCTTTATGTCTCAGCTGGGCTCAGCCCATGCAGCAGCTCTCACATGTTGTAGTATTGTGCCTGCATCTCTCCCAGTCCAACACTGCATACTGGTAGATCTATAGTTCTGAGTTCTTGGGGGTGGCCCCACTCCCATGGCTCCATTAGACATTGTCTTTATTGGGACCTGTCTGAGCTTAACTTGTTCTCATGACTCCACCAGGCATTGCCTTAGTGGGGATTCTGTGGTGGCTTGTACCCCACAGTTCTGCTGGGCACTGTTTTAGCAGAGGCTTTCTGCAGCAGCTTTACCCTTGTAACAAGTCTCTGCCTGCATCCCCAGGCTATCTGGAACATCCTTTAAAATCTAGGTAGAGGAAGCCATGCCTGCACAGCTCTTGCATTCTATGCTTCTGCAGAATTAGTACCACGTGGACACTGCCAGGCTTTATGGCTTGTACCTTATGCAGTGGCTGGCAAAGCTGCACCAGGTCCACTTGAGCATTGGCTGTGGCAGCTGAGAAGCACTGCACTGGAATTTGGAGAACAGAGACTTGAGATGGCTTTGGACAGCAAGCCCCAAGTTCCCAGTGGTGTCCTAGTGATATGGCTCCAATGAGTGGAGGAACACCAGGTTCTTCGTCTCACGTCAAATTGGAAAAAACAACACTGACACATGTGGAGTGGTTTTAAGGAGTGGAGAGTTTAATAGGCAAGAAAGAAAGGAAAAGAAGGAGGAAGAAGCTCCCCTTCACAGAGACAGAGGGAGGGGAGCTCCAAAGCTGAGAACAGAGACCCCAGGTGTGGCAGAAACCAGCCAGGTATATGTAGAGGCTGGAGAAAGTGGTGTCTGATTTGCATATGGCTCGGGGGATTGGTTTGACCAGGCATATCATTCATGTAGCCCGTGAAAAAACTGTCCCTCCCACCCTAGCCTTGAATATGCAAATTCAGGGCTCCATGATGTTCTATATGCTTGGCGATATGTGGGGGCAGCCATGTTGCCAGGCAAGGGCAAAAGGACAACGGTGGGAGTCACCATGTTGGGTGGACCTAGTTTCTAATGGTCGGCATTTGAATATCAAAGGTTTCCAGCCGGAGTCTAAGAGCCAGGGCTTTTCTGCTAGACAAGAAACGTTTCTGGAGCTGCTTTAAAAAGAAATAAAAACTTTCCAAGGGCCCCTTTTTCTTTCTATCTGCCTAAAATAATTTCTTAATAATTCCTACCACACTAGTTCTCTCTTTTGATACATTTCCTTCTCACAGGCCTTGGCACTCTGGGCCTTTGATAGTAGGGACAGCACTGGTGATCTCCAAAGTGCCTTTGGGGTCATTCTCCCATTGTCCTAATGAATAGCCTCTGGCTTTGTTCTATCTAGATTAATTGCCTTATCAAACAGTCCTTGGCCACACTGTTTCTTCTTCTGAAAATGCCGTTTCATTTTCACAGGGCCAGTCTGAGAATCTCTCAAATCCCTAAATTATATTTCCCTTTCAATTATAAACTTCATCTTTAAATCATCTTTTTCTTCTCTCATTTTACTATATGTAGTTAAAAGAAGTATAGAACACCCAGAAGGCCTTGCTGCTTAGCTCTTTCTTCTATCAGATATCCTCGTTCATCACTCTTAAATTCTGCCTTCCACAAAGCCATCAGACGTGGACAGCATTCAGCCAAATTCTTCACCATTTTATAACAAGGATGTCCTTCACTCAAGTTTCCAATACCTTGTGCCTCATCTGTGTCTCAGACCTTATCAGAATTGCCTTTACTGTCCATATTTTAATAAATGTTTTGATTACAACCACTTAAGTAATCTCTAAGAAGTTTCAGACTCCCTACAGCTCTTCTTCTAAGCCCTCACCAGAATCACCCATAATCCTACATTTATGGTAATCTTGGTCTTTCCTAGCTTGCGCTTCTAAATTTTTCTATCCTCTGCCCATTACCCAATTCCAAAGCTGCTCCTATATTTTCAGTTGTTTGTTATAGGACAGCCCCACTTTGCAGTACCAATTTTCACCTTTCTCTATTTTGTGCTGCTGTAACAGAGTACCTGAGACTGGGAATTTATAAAGAGCAGAAGTGTATTATTGGCTCACAGTTCTGGAGGCTGGGAAGTCTAAGATAGAGGTGCCAGCATCTAGCAAGAGCTTTCTTGCTTTGTCATCGAGTGTTGGAAGGGCAGACAGGATGAGAGATAGAAAGGCAAAAGAGGGCCAAACTCATCCTTTCATAAGAAACCTACTCCTAAAATAATGGCATAAATTCATTTATTTTGCCCTCATGCCTAATCACCTCTCATTAGGCCCCATCTCCCAAAGCTGTTGCAATGAAGATTGAATTTTCAACACATGTTTTGTGGGAGACACATCCAAACTATAGCAGTGGTCATCAGGAATGTTTATCAAATATGTTTTATTTTGCATTTGGCATGTGGTGGACTTGCATTTTTTCTGCATCCATGGCCCTGTTGTTTGCTTTGGCCAGTGGTGTGTTAGAAAAGGCGTTTTGTATTATTCCTTGAAGGAAGATTTCTTACTCTCTGCCAAAGAGATGGTAGTTACTAAATCAACCTGAGTCTCTAAGAGCAGGAAACATGAAAAGAGCTGATCTGCAACAGTCAGTTAAGATGGGTAAGAAATTAATCCTTGATGTTTTATACCTCTGAGGTTTGGTGGGTGGATTGTTACTATATCATGGCCTTAGTTCTACAAGATGAATCAATTTTTAGCCTATGGAGCAGTTTTCTCCCCAAAAAAGGGAAGAAAAGTATTGATGGAAGTTCCAATTTTATAGGACACTAAGGACTTTTCAAGAAAAAAGTTTTCCCCACAAGAAGATAATAATACATAGTAATTATAACATCACTGGCAGCTAACATCTATAAAGTGTCTATTATGTATCAGTAATTGAGAGACATACACATTATCTCTTTTAATTACAAGAATGTTATGAGGTATTGTTATTTATCCATTTTGTGAATGAATAACTGAGGCTTAATGGTGTCAGTTATTTTACCCATGGACTCAGATAACAAGAGGTCAATCCTGAATTTAAATCCAGTTCTATTTGACTGCACTGCCTAAGCTTTTATACAGTATGCTATACATTTTAAAATATATATAGGTTTGGAGTGAAACATATGTGGTATTAATATCTGGGTATTTAACTTTTATTTAAAAATTTCTTTAAAAATTGTAACTGATATGGTTTGGCTGTTTCCCCACCCAAATCTCATCTTGAATTGTAGTTCCCATAATCCTCATGTGTCATGGGAGGGACCTAGTGTGAGGTAATTGAATCATGGAGGCGATTTCCTCCATGCTATTCTCGTGATAGTGAGTGCTCATGAGATCTGATGGTTTTATGAAGGGCTTCCCCCGTTTTGCTCAGCACTTCTCCTTCCTGCCGCCATGTAAAGAAGGGCATGTTTGCTTCCCGTTCCACCATGATTTTAAGTTTCTTGAGGCCTCCCAGCCATGCTGAACTGTGAGTCAATTAAACCTCTTTCCTTTATAAATAACCCAGTCTTGGGGTATGTCTTCATTGGCAGCATGAGAACGGACTAATACAGTAACCAACAAATATTATCTAGGAAAACACATTGTAATTTTTTGTCAAAAACTGGATTTTTAAAATATTATAATATGGTATGTTCAGAAATCAGATT
Source organism: Homo sapiens (assembly GCF_000001405.40). Taxonomy (NCBI): domain Eukaryota; kingdom Metazoa; phylum Chordata; class Mammalia; order Primates; family Hominidae; genus Homo; species Homo sapiens. The sequence goes on along the minus strand of NC_000011.10, from coordinate 40,077,971 downwards.
ATCTCCCTTTTTCTGGGTTTTTGTTGCTACTTGTGGCTTGTAGTTTGTTTTATAAGCTTATTTTGTAAAGACTGTTTTTTTGTGTGCATGTCCATTGAAATGACTGTTCCATTAGCTTAGCAGTGACTTGCAGAGATTTCCTTAAATGTCTGTGCTCCTCCTCCTCCCCACACTCCTCGCAAATAAATGTCCCATTCTTCTAAAAATAATAATGAAATAAAAACAAAAGTAAGAAAAAATGTCTAAAAAGAGTTAATAATTTCCTATGATCCTTGTTTTTTAAAACATTAAGTAGTGCACTTTTTTTTTTTGTTGGGCTGCTGTAACAAATTACCACAAACTGGGTGGCTTAAAACAAGGGGAAATTGCTCTTTTACATTTCTGGATCCTACAAGTCTAAAATCAAGCTGTCTGCAGCATGATGTTCCCTGAGGGTCCTAGGGAATATTCTTTCTTTGATTCTTCCTAGCTGCTGCTGGTTTCTGGCAATCCTTGGCATTCCTTGGTTTATACTTGCATCTCTCCAATCTCTGCCTCCATTACATGACCTGCTTTTCTCTGTGTGCTTTGGTGTGCCTTCTGTTTTTCTTATAAACATACCAACCATTGGATTTAAAGCCCACTGAAAACAATATTAACAGCTTCACTATTCCTGTTTCTACATTTGAGATACCCTTGCCAAGCATCTATCAGAGGCTACTTTAGGAAAAAGTAGCCCATGGCAAAAAGTTTATATTACTTACCATGACTTGATAGTTTCCCCTAAATCTTAGGTCCACCCAGAATTTCAGAATGTGACTTTAATTGGAAATAAAATTTTTTTCAGGCGTGAAAGGGATATTATGGAATTTTCTTCTCTCAGGAAGAGTCCATGTTTGTAGATTTTACATGTTTAAGTGAAGTAGATTGCTTTGTGATATTTCATTTTATATTTTATTTTATTTATTTTTGTTTGAGACAGAGTCTTGCTCTGTCATCCAGGCTGGAGTGCAGTGGGATGATCTCAGCTCACTACAACCTCTGCCTCACAAGTTCAAGTGATTCTCCTGCCTCAAACTCCCAAGTAGCTGGGATTATAGGCACCTGCCAGCACAACCAGCTACTTTTTGTATTTTTATTAGAGACAGGGTTTCACCATGTTGTCCAGGCTTGTCTCGAACTCCTGACCTCAGGTGATCCACCTACCTTGGCCTCCCAAAGTGCTGGGATTACAGGCATGAGCCACCACGCCTGGCCTATTTTATTTTATATTTTGAGATGGAGTCTCACTCTGTCACCCAGGCTGGAGTGCAGTGGTGCGATCTTGGCTCACTGCAACCTCCACTGCCTGGAACTCAAGTGATTCCCCTGCCTCAGCTTCCTAAGTAGCTGGGATTACAGGTGCTTGCCACCATGCCCAGTTAGTGTGGTCTCAAACTACTGACTTCAAGTGATCTGCCTGCCTTGGCCTCCCAAAGTGCCGGGATTACAAGCGTGAGCCACCATGCCTGGCCTGCTTTGTAATATTTTAGAGTGACTCAGGAGGACTCGGAAGTTATTGCAAACAATGTTAATATCCTTTAAAATATGTTATAAAATTTACTTTAAAACAACTATATTATATGCAAAATCTGTAACAGAGATGCAACTTCAGTATTAGATAATTGAGAAGATAATGCTTCTGGTGAAAAGATCTAAGATTGAAAGGTCTCAAAAGTAGAGAAAGGGGTTCATGAACTTGGATGGAAAGTTTATAACCTTATTTTATTAACTTCTAACTGAAACTTAGTATTTATTTAATATTTTTTGGTTCTCAATGGAAGTGACAAACCTACTATTTATAATCTATAAATGTAGGTGACAAGTTACAGCAGTATTAGCAGAACCTGTATTTGTCAATGGTATAACTAACAAGATATTTCCATTCCCACTACTGTAGTTATAGATATCTCACCATAACATTTATATTTATCACCATTTCAAACTTACAGCCATTATTAATAGATACATAGCTAGATCTTGTTATTTAATGTGTTCATAAAGAAACATTTAATTTTTTCTATATCACAAATTTGCTTTTGCTCTTCAACTAATTTTAATAATTTTGGCCTTCTTTGTTACATATATATTTTTTACAGAATTTTCAGAATGATGTTAAACATATATTGAAAACAAAATTTTAAAAGACTGTAAACCACAAATAATTAACTGACTTTTAGAAGCTGTTAGTAATATCCTTGCTTATATTTCTGGTTTTAACTTACTTATTTCCACATGCATGTAACCAGTGATTACTATATATGGTTCACTGTGCAAGGAAGAAGAAACAAAAATGGATGAAACATAGTCCTTATCCTAATTTGGAAAAAGGCAAGAATATAAGACAAACACAAATGAAGAACAAAGAATGTTTAACAGAAGTAGGATGCACATTTTAAGGAAAATAGAAATGTGTTAACAAAGAGATTCACCTGTGAGATTAATGGATAGGTAAGGGGGTTTTGGCCACAGTTTGATCTCTGTTTGGCAGCACCTTGTAGATGCTGTTGGGAAGGTAGTTCAACAATATCTTGGAGGCCTGGAATAAAAACACAAGAAATTCATCCCTAATTTGGTAGATATTGAAGAGCTTATAAGTGTGCGAGCAGGTTATTGTCAGAGCTATAATTTAGGAAGATTAATCTGGTTGCAGGATGTTGCCTTGGAGAGAAAGAAAGCAGTAGACCAGTAAGAAGGCTATTACAATGACAAAGTAGAAGTGTTCTAAAGACCTGTATTAGGGTAATGTGGGCGAGAATGAACAAAATGTGAAGGGCACTGAGAATATAGAATCTATGTGGCTTGGGTAACTGATTTAGATAAGGTAGGTGCAGAAGAATTAAATCTGTGAGACTGGTGTTATTAACAGCCATTTTAAAAGAAATGTGACAAATACTATTTTGGGTATGTTGGGTTTATGGTATTAGTAGCCTTTGGGCACGATATCCAGATGGAGAAGTCAAGCTGTCAGAAATGCAGGACTGAGATTTCCAAAAGGAGCTAATATCAAGAAAGAGAGATTCAAAAGTCCTGAGGAGCATACTTTGAATTAATAGATAGACCACATTCAAGTAATCAGGCTTTCAATTTTATTGAAAGCTTGGTTTCTTTCAATTGGCTGTGATTTCTAGTTATATCTTTGTGGTCTCTTCACAGCTTGTATCTGATTTAATAAAGACCAGCATTGCATTATTTGCAGTTTGACCAGGGTAGGATGTATGTTTAGCAGAAAACCTGTTCTTGGGAAATTTTCCAGTCCAATTTGAAAACCCAAGAAGTTCTGATCTGCTTTCTCAACTTTAGGTACTCATCCTTGCAAACAGGAATAGATACACTGCCCGTTAATCTTCATACTCAACTCAGCTGTTCTTTCTTCCTTAGAGCAAAATGATTTAGGGTAGTAATATGAAAGGAAATGAACTAACATGATATAAAAAATGGTGCATAACTTGAAACCTTAACTAAGTTCGGAGTTGCTGCTGATTACTTTCCGATCTTATTCTTTATTTGCAAATGCCACTGCCTCATGGCCACTGAGTTCTTATTATATTATTGCATCATTAATCATTATAGGAATCCCAATACAGCTCTAGGATAAACACAAGCATGCTCTATCTTTCACTCCTGTCTTGCAATGTCTCTCCTTTTCTTCATTATCATATTGGAGCTTGCATTTAAATAACCACTTGTTTCTGAAATATTTTCAAAGTGCTTTATGACCACTGATGTGCAAGTCTCTGGGGAGAAAAGCAACAAATATTTGGAACTGCATTGGAAGGTGAGTTTAGAGATATAAATATACAACCTCATCTCCCTTAGAATAGAAGACAATTCATTAGGTTAATCAAAATGATGTTTGTGTTGAACAAGGAAGTAAAACTGCAATACCTCAGTGAAAAATGAAAGTTAATACTAAGCAAAGTCTTCTGGTCACTTATACACTTTAAGTAAATTAATGCTTTGTAATTTGGGCCTAATGAAAAATAAGATACCAAGGACAATATTTAGTCAACAAATATTTATTGACAGTGTGTTATGTACCAGGTATGATATTAGGCATCTGTGATACATTAGCAAACAAAATAGTCAAAAATCATTTTTATCAGGGAAAGACAGGCATTAAATTATAGGTAAAATAAATAAACATACTGTATTTCATAAGGTAATAGCTAGGGAGAAAAAATTAGAACAGTATAAAGGGGATTGGTCAGGCAGTGATGGTGGAAAAGTTGTAATTTTAAGTGAGTGGATAAGGGTAGATCTCACTAAGAAGACTTGATAGAAGGTAAGAAGAGCAGGAAATTTGCTGTGTAGATATGAGAGTTGGAGGAAGCATTTTAAGAAGGGACTAGCCAATGAAAAAGCACTAGTATAAAAACCACAATTCATTATGAATTATACCTTCCAGGAATAGTCTTTGCCTATGCACAGAGATTACCTTCATTCAGCTAAACAATTTCACAGAAGAATTCCCTATATTTAAGCTCTTTTCTCCTAGAGCAGTACTTGGTAAGCTATGCCCATTAGCTAATTCTGGCCTACCACCTATTCTCAGTAAAGTTTTATTGGAAAATAGCCATCCTCTTTAATTTACATAGCTTCTCCAGTTGCTTTCATGTTATGACAAAATTGAGTGCTGCAACAGACAACATTTGGCCTAGAAAGCCTCAAATATTCACTGTGTTACGATTTTTAGAAAAATTTGCCGACTCCAACATAGTATTCAAAAAATGATAAAATTAGTAACTCAGGCTGCCCACGGTGGCTCGTGTCTATAATCCCAGCACTTTGGGAGGCTGAGGTGGGTGGATCACTTGAGGCCATTAGCTTGAGACCAGCCTGGCCAACATGGTGAAACCCTGTCTCTACTAAAAAAAAATCAGCCAGGTGTGGTAGTGGGCATCTTTAATTCCAACTACTCAGGAGGCTGAGGTGGGAGGATTGCTTGAACCCAGGAGGCAGAGGTTGCAGTGAGCCAAGATCGTGCCACTGCACTCCAGCCTGGGCAACACAGTGAGACTGTATCTCAAAAAAAATAAAATAAATCAGAATCCACTAACATCTTTGAAGACAAGGACTATGTCTTAAATAGTTCATCATAGACTTTTAGACAATATTTGAATATCTTCTCCACCAATTTGTATGTGACATTTAGCAAGTTACTTCACTTCCTTAATCTTGGGTTTTTTTCAATACCCACTTCATAGAGTCAAGAGAATTAAATGAGATGGGGTATTTAGTGTGCTAGCACAGAGATGATTTGAATCATATAGCAAAATACTTGAATCTATAATTAATATAATTGAGTATAAAATTATATCAATTTCCTAATTCTGCTATAACAAATTACCACAAACATAGTGATTTAAAACAGTACACATTTATTTCCTTATGATTCTGGAGTTTAGAAGTTCAAAAGTTGTCTCACTGGACTAAAATTAAGGTGTTGGCAGAGCTGCTTTGCTTTCTGGAGGCTCTAAGGGAGAACATGCTTCGTTGCATTTTTTAGCTCTTAGAGTTCTCCTGCATTTCTTGGCTTGTGGTCCCTTCCTCTGTCTTCAAAGCCAGCAGTGTAGCATCTTCACATCTTTTTGACTCTGAGTCTTCTGTTTTTCTCTTTCTCTTGGAAGGACCCCTGTGGCTACATTAGGCCCACCTAAGCAACACAATATAATCTCACCATCTCAAGGTCAGCTGATTAGCAGCCTGAATTCCATCTGCAGCCTTAATTGGTCTTTGCCCTATAACCTAACATATTCACACGTTCTGGTGATTAAGACCTAATAGATTCAGAAGGTCTTTATTCTGCCTGCTACACTAAGGCCCACAAACTATCTTGCTAAAGCCCATGACTATGTAGCTAGCTATGTGTAGTCAAGAGTTCCCTAATATTTGTTGAATGTTGAATGCCCTTTCAATTTTTTTTTCCTGCTTTCAGTAGTAGAAGACATTTGCTTAATTTCACAGAAGGCATTGAAGCTAATACTAGATCAATAGGACAAGTGTCTTCCTAAAAAAATCTGATTATTTATTTTAAGCGTCTCATCTATCAGGACTTCATTAGCACCTGGAGAGATGACACAGTCAAAGAAGAAATGTTGGCCAATGCTTTTGGATTTCTATTCTAAGCTTTGGCTTGAATACGTTTTCTTTCTGAAATTCTAACTGGGGATTAGATAGGTCAAGTATTGGCATGAAGGTGGAAAAAAATTTATCTGTATCAATTCTGAATACTACAAATGTTTACCATTCCAAACAATAGGGATCTTCAAGATGGTGGCAGAGGCTGAAAATTGCCTCCCCTGTCATACCCACTCCATTCTTATACGTAAGTCCTACCCTAGAATGTGGCTGCATATCCAGGTTCATATTGCACAATCTCCCATGTACCTATGTGTGGCTATGTGACTAGGTTCTATTCATTGGTATATGAGCAAAAATGATGTAAGCAACTTGTGGATCATGGCCTTCAAAAAGAGAGGTGCACTCCCTTTTCCTTTTGACATTGGCCTGTCTGCAAGTCTGGGTGAGCAGAATCCTTAAACTGTAATCTGCACACTGCATGTCAAGAAAGGCAAAGACCAAAAGTTAGAAGGAGCTAAGGAGATTCTTAATCTCTTTAGCTCTCTGTAATTGGTCAGAAGGGCCAAGTAAGCTGTGAATAAACCTCTGTATTATATAAGCCACTGCAGTTTTGGGTCTCTCGTTACAGAAGCGTGATCAGCATCTTTATGAACGTAAGGCTAAAGAATCCCCTTGGTAACTATAACTAACCTCTCAAATATTATTCCAAGTTCATATCATCTCCAGACCTGTGTTTATGTCTGGTGAGTCAGTTAAAATGGAAGCCAAGAAATCAAGACTGAAAAACAATGCTTGGAAGTGTTGGATTCTTATGGTGATAAGTAGCTTTCTAGATGGAAAGGGGCCTTTACTGTTTTTATGTCTGAATATCAGACAAACAAAAAGATGCAGAGGTTTTATGAACATTTCATTGTTTTTAAAGTTTTGTAATAAGCTGTGTAATGTGTATGCAATTTTAAAAGCTGCAAATATGTTGGCACTATAAATGGAACAGAAAGAGGAATTATAGGGAATCTACCCATCATTTCAGATGGATTTGCAGTTTGGAGCATATTTCTACCCATTGCTCAAAATACAAAGAAGATGTACTCAAATGGCTTTAGTTGTTATGGGACTGCTGAATTCCACAGGCAATAAATTAGAAGAGTTTATTCACAGTGTTTTTAAAGGGGCTGTATATTGTACTGATTAAGATTGCTGGACTGGATTAGGAGTCAAGGAGACCTGGAGTTCAGTACTAACTGCCACCACTCACTCTTGTCAATTTGGATGAGTTGCTTTATTTTGTGCCAGTGTTTCTCAATCTGTCAAATGGGATTAACCTTTCTTTCTAAAATGGTGATATGGTTTGGCTGTGTCACCACCCAAATCTCATCTTGAATTATAGCTGCCATAATTCCCACGTGTTTTGTGGGAGGGACCCGGTGGGAGATAATTAAATCATGTGGGTGGTTTTCCCCATACTGTTCTGGTAATGAATAAGTCTGACAAGATCTGGTGGTTTTATAAGGGGTTTCCCCTTGGCTCTCATTCTCTCTTGCCTGTTGCCATGGAATATGTGCCTTTCGTCTCCCACCATGATTGTGAGGCCTCCCCAGACACGTGGGACTGTGAGTTCATTAAACCTCTTTCCTTTATAAATTACCCAGTCTCGGGTATGTCTTTATCAGCAGCATGAAAATGGACTAATACAAATGGTTAACATTTTTTCTTTCTAAAATAGCATTAGTTTTTCTTTCTAAGGTTTTTGTGAGACTATGACATATATTGTTCATAGCAAAATTGCCACGCACTGTAAAAAAAGTAAAAAATCATGGTTAAAATTGGTGTTGATACCAGCAGGTTCTTTTTTTAAAAAAAAAAATTAGGTTCAAGGGGTACGTGTGTGGCTTTCTTACAGGGTAAATTGCATGTTGATAAGATTTGGTATACATGATCTTGTCACTCAGGTAGTGCACATAGTACCCAATAGGTAGTTTTTTAGTTCACACCCCCTTCCTGCCCTCCCCTCTCTAGTAGTCCCCAATGCCTATTGTTGTTATCTTTAAGTCCATGATTACTCAGTGTTTATCTCCCACTTGTAAGTGAGAGTATGCAGTATTCGATTTTCTGTTCTGCATTAATTTGCTTAGAGTAATGGCCTCCAGTTCCATCCATGTTGCTGCAAAGGACATGATTTTGTTCTTTTTATGGCTGTGTAGTATTCCACAGTGTGTATGTGCCATATTTTCTCTATCCAGTCCACCTTTGATGAGCATCTAAGTTGATTCCATGTCTTTATTATTGTGAATAGTGCTGTCATGAACATATGAGTGCATATGATTTTTATATAATGATTTTTTTTTCTTTGGGTTTGTACCCAGTGGTGGAATTGCTGGGTCAGATGGTAGCTCAGTTTTAAATTCTTTGAAAAATTTCTGTGCTGCTTTCCACAGTGGCTGAACTAATTTACATTCCTACCTGTAGTGGTTGTGTTCTCTTGTCTTCATAACCTTGTCAACATCTGTTATATTTTGAATTTTTAGTAATAGCCATTCTGACTGGTGTGAGATGGTATCTCAGATGGTTTTGATTTGCATTTCTCTAATGATTAGTGATGCTGAGCATTTTTTTCATGTATGTGTTGGCCATGTATATGTCTTCTTTTGAGAAATATCTATTCATGTCCTTTGCTCATTTTATAATGGGGTTGTTTGGTTATTGCTGGTTGAATTATTTAAGTTCCTTCTAGATTCTGGATATTAGACCTTTGTTGGATGCACACTTCACAAGTATTTTCTCCCATTCTATAGGTTGTCTTCTTATTCCATTGATAGTGTCTTTCACTGTGCAGAAGCTCTTTAATTAGGTGCCACTTGTCTATTTCTTTTGTTTGCTGCAATTGCTTTTGGGCACTTCGTCATAAATTCTTTACCAAAGCCAATGTCCAGAATGATATTTCCTGTGATTTTTTTCTATGTTTTTTTTTTTTTTTTTTGGAGTTTGAGGTCTTTCATTTAAGTCTCTAATGCATCTTGAGTTAATTTTTGTATACAGTGAAAGGAAGGGGACTAGTTTCAATCCTCTGCACATGGCTAACCAGTTATTCTAGCGTAATTTATTGAATAGGGAGTTCTTTCTTCATTGATTATTATTGGTTACTTTGTTGAAGATCAGATGGTTGTAGGTGTGTGGTTTTATTTCTGTGTTCTCTGTTGTGTTCCATTGGCCTGTGTGTCTGTTTTTGTACCAATAGCATACTGTTTTGGTTAGTGTGGCCTTCTAGTATAGTTTAAAGTCTGGTGATGCCTCTGGCTTTGTTCTTTTTGCTTAGGATTGCTTTGGCTATCTGGGCTCCTTTTTGGTTCCATATGGATTTTAGAATAGATTTTCTGATTGTATGATGAATGCCATTGGTAGTTTGATAGGAATAACACTAAATCTGTAAACTGCTTTGAGCAGTATGGCCATTTTAAAAATATTGATTCTTCCCATCCACAAGCATATAATTTTTTTTCATTTGTTTGTATTGGCTTTTATTTCTTTCAGCAGTGTTTTTAATTATTGTTATAAGAATCTTTCACCTCTTTGCTGAGCTGTATTTCTAGGCATTTTATTATTTTCATAACTATTGGAAATTGAATTGTGTCCTTGATTTGGCTCTCAGTTTGGACACTATTGATGTATAGAAACGCTACTAATTTTTGTACACTGACATTGTATCCTGAAATGTTACTGAAGTAATTTATCATTTCCGAAAACCTTTTGGTGAAGTCCATGGGGTTTTCTAGTTATGGAATCATATAAGTGAAGAGAGTTAGTTTGACTTCTTCTCTTCCTATTTGGATGTTTTTATTTCTTTCTCTTGCCTGAATATCAGCAATTTTAATGTTTTTATTCACTAAAATCCAAATTTGGCCATCTATCAGAATTGCCTGAATCACTTTAAAATAAATTCACATTCTCGGGTCTTCTCCACAGAAGTTTTGATTCAGTAGGTCTGGGTTAGGTCTGCGTTCAGTAGGTCTGAATTTATATTTTTCTACATTAAATAATTGAATTTTCTACCGCTATCCTGAGTCCATCTAACATTCGGTAGTCTCTTGTTTAAACACCAACCCAGAGAGAGCTTCACATTAGTTTGCATTGCACTTTACACAACGCATAAGGTTAAAAACATTTTTAACCTTCTCACCCACGCTTTGAAATAAGCTTAATGTCATATTCATTTTACAGATAAGATAATTGGAAGTATTGTTTATTCATATAGCTTATAAACTGTATCTTTTGTATTTACTAACATTCTCACGGATACACATAATATCTCATATAGCTCTAAATAAGGAGAACTAGGCCAATTTGAGAACTTTTAATACCTCCTTGTTTCAAATTCTTCTTTACAGTGGTACAAATCTTGAGCTTTTAGGAAACTAAATATTGTGTTTACTACTCATCAGGAATCCTTTAAGTCAGTATAAATTTCCTTCTAATATCCAAGCTGAACATGAAAAATTGAAGATGAAAGCAAACAATCAGTGTGACTTAGAAATGTGGAGGCAACCAGAGATCTTTCTGAACCAAGATCAGGAAAGAAGCAGAGGATTGGCTGTGCCACAGCGAGTCTGTTTTGGGGAATTCTTACCATTTCTATTTTGAAGGGAAAGTCAAATTCTAAAGAGGCATTTACAAGAAACAGAATGAGAAAGCCTTTTCAGGCTAATTTGGAAGTTTGTGGGCTGAATCAGAGAAGAGCAGCATCTTGTTCTTAAGGTTTCAGGACCAGAGAATATATATGCCAAGTGGAAAACATCTTTTTAGAAAAGTTGCCAAAGATTTTGCAATATATATAGTGATTAAAACCCTATTATTGCAAGTCAAAAAGTGAAAATTATTAATAATTATTTTAAAAGGTGTACCATAAATCACTGTGGTGTTACATATTAAACCCAATCATGACTACCCACAGCCTTTAATCTAGCTAGTCTAGGACCTGTAGTGGTCAGCCCATTACTTTTCTTGTTTATTGCTGCCAGGAACAGCCTGGGGCATCTAGTACTTTAAAAGACAGACCTAGTGCTCATTCTAACACTTCTAAAGCCCCCTGCCCCAGCCAAAATACCTCAGGGCTTCTTCACTCTAGGACACACTTTCCCAAGCTTGGTAGCCCTAGCCAACTAATATATGTTTGGATGCTACTGTCTTGCCGCTCTTGACTTCTCTGAAGAAGTTCTTCCTTCTTCAGCCACTAACCCCATCCTCACCGTACCCTCCCCCATGGTCTAATGTGTACTTCTCAGTTTATATTTGGCCTTGACTAGACACTTGATTGATCTGGGATCTCTAAGTAATCTGACTCTCTTAAGAAGTCAATACTGAATATAGCTTGACCAGGGAGAAAACTTATGCAGCCTGCTTGCTTCTGGCCTGTGGTTTTGCTGAACTCTGTAGTCAGTGTAGTTAACACTTTAGGCCCTATCTTTGTCCATCTCTTCTCCTGCCTCATTTTGATCAAATTAGGTACCATGATCTTTTCTCCTTCTGCCTCCCTTCTTTATTAAGGTATAAGGTTTTAATGCAAAATCTTGGAAAATGTGTTGGACTAAAGGAAAGCTCAAATCCAGTTTTACATTCTGTGTGAATTTTTCCTGAACCCCTGGAATGATGGTATCTGATTGAAGGTCATTTTAAAACCATTTATGTAGAGTTAAAGCCATGGAGAAAAATTCGCTACTACCCGAGGCAGTAAGATACAAAGAAAATCCACATTGTTATGAATTCTTTGGGTCATATAACTCCAGACTTACCTTAAAAACCAATTTAGCTAGCAAATTAAATTGCAAGGCTGCTGGTTCCACCTTCAGTTTTCTACTGAAAATTAAATAACTCTAACCTAGCCAACCCTAAGTTTAATTTTTCTTCAATGTATGGAACAGGTTTAATCTGACACTGAATGGGCCCAAGGGTAAAATTAAATGAACAGGAAAGGGGAGATAAAATTACGTGTTCTTCCTTGACACTTAGCAGCTTGTGTTCTTGAGTAAGTCCTCTCAGTTGCTTCTTCTATTCAATGAGCACATTGTACTTTTAAATGTCTTACACATGTATAAGCAATTTTTTAGGTAAAAAAAAAAAGGGATATTTTCATTAGGAAAATTAACATGTGAAAAGATAAACGTCAAAAAATTTAAAAAGCTATCTCTAGAAATGTGTTTTTAAAATATCTCACCTTGCAATAAGGGACATGCCACTGAAACATAAATAGCATAAAATCTGACTAAAATAACAATGATAACAAAGGGAGCTAGATGATACTCCAAGAGTCAAAATCATTGGGAATTATACTCATATTCAGAATTAGAATTTATGATTCTCCCTGTAGTTGGTGCCAATGAGGTGGTCTTCTTGGACCACACATACACTGCATTTTAAGGTTTTTTTTTTTTTTGGATCCACCTTAATGTACATTTTCTGTAAAATATAAACAAATCCTTTGGTGATTTTTAGTTATTGACGTGGTATCTAATATATACTAAATCAGATTCCCTTCCTATTACAAAAAGATTAATTGCTCTATGAGTAGCTGGATATGTAACACATTAAATGGAGAGCTTACTGGGGAACATACTTTCTACCATATATACACAAAAAAATGGAGAACAGTTTCTAGAGATGAAGAGAAGAATGCACATGCTTACACAGAAAACTGAGAGATTGGAAAAAAATACCTTGACAACATTCAAATTACTCTTTTGTTTATTCTGGAAGCCCAGCTAAATACCCCATACAGAGTTTCAGGAGGCCCCAGGTATGGTGAGGAGTAGAAAATAAAAGAAAACATGTAAAAACTATGAAAGTTTGCAAACTTTCCACTTTTCCTCCCTCCATTGAGATAGATTTCTCTCTTTTTTCCTCTTTTTGTTCACTTTCTAAAATTTATTCTCATTTTTTTAATGTTATTTCCTTGGTTTTGTGCTCCTGATTTTAGCTCATGGGTAGATAGAGCTAAACATTGGGAAGAAGAGACTTTTACTTTACATTGGAAGAAAGGTTTTAACCTCTTTTTAAAGAGACAAAATTATGAGAATGTTAAAAAGAGGAGGAGGGGAAAAATAAGGAGGATCAGCCTACGGTGGGTTTTGGGATACCATTTGGTTATGAGTTGACTCTAAAGGAATTGAAGGAAGGGCTATAAGATGGTTTCAGTAAATAAGAACTCTTGAGAATAACAAGATTGAAATGGAGAATTTTATGAACCACTTCTATTGCTTATGTTGTGACTTCTTTGAATTTGAGAGACTTCAGTAAAGATTTGAATTGTTTTTATTAATAATTAAATTTAATTGCGAGGCTATTTCTTTGACTGTGCCTTGATGGGCCTACCTGATATTTCAGATTTTACTCAGGTCATACTTATGAAAGAACTAATTTAAGACATATTTTGTTGTTTCCAACCAGAAGAATACAAATTAATACAGGTTCTGTCAATGCTCCGGTTATATACTTGCCTAGGTAAACAAATAACATTCTATACAGGTAAAATAAAGGGAGAATATTACATTTATTTATTTATTTGACAGGGTCTTGCACTGTTATCCAGGCTGCAGTGCAGTAGCACGATCACAGCTCACTGTAGCCTTGACCTCCAAGACTCAAAAGATCCTCGCACCTCAGTCTCCTGAGAAACTGAAACTACAGGCACATGCCACAAACACTGGCTAATTTTTAAAAAAATTTTTGTAGAGACAGAGTTTCACTATGTTGCCCAGGTTGGTCTTGAATTCCTAGGCTCAAGTTGATTCTCCTGCCTCGACCTCCCAAAGTGTTGGGGATAGAGGCGTGAGCCAACATGCCTGGGCCTACAGGGCCTGCATTCATTAACAATATATTGTTATGATGGTAATGGTCAGGACAGAATAGAGGGATCTGCAGACTCCTCTCATTCCATGGTACTAGAATGGGTAAAGCTAAGTGAGCCTATAAACATTATACATCAGTCCCAGAGATGTGGAGACTTATTTCAATGTTGTTTCATAGCTTGGATTAGAAACCAAGGTGATGAGTGCCTACCCTATGTCTTTTTCCAGTATGCCATACTGAAACGTTAAACTTTGGTTTTCTTGGTTTTAGGAAAAAAACATTCACTTAGGAATGTTGGAAAGATACAGTTACCCTTCTGAAAAACATTTCAGGAATTTTGGAAGAAGTATGTTCATGCCATTACATCATGGAGGAAGTTTTACTTGCTACCTGGGACTAGGATGTGGCATTATTTTCAGAAATAACTGCTAAGTATGGCTACTTCATGCCTTCTAAGAGCCATAAGTTTGCTACTGGCTAGGTACTATTGATTACAGTTCTGAAAATTTCTAAGAAAATTTAGAAATTGTGATAAATATAAACATTGAAACCTTTTACACAATTGGTTAATTATGTTCCCAGTAATTATTTTGTTAGATAATAGCTTAAAGGTGAAATGTACACTCCCTTTTCAGAGTAGTAAAAATAAATTACTTGAACTGTCTATGGCTAGGTTGAAATCTTGGAGCCTATACAGTGAATTCTAAGCTGAAATCAGTAAGGCATAAAAAGTGTCATGTCTTTGGCCACTATTCCAGATTTTTCAACAGTCCCAATTGCAAATATTACCTCAGCAGACCACTTCTAGATTTTTGGACTTGACAGTCATTGTCAGTGCATCCATCCTTCATTTCAAACCAGTAAATCCACTGGCTTTGAAGGAGAGAATAAGTGATGTAACTTTTACAAATGTGTTCTCCCTCATTTCATTTCTCCCCAAACCTGAAATAGTTTCTTGCCCAAAGATCCTCTCTGGAAATGTTGAATATAAAAAGCACGTACTTTTTCTCACTTTAGAAAGGTTTGTAGTGAGTACAAAATATGGGTTTTGAATTCTTCCCAGATTCATTACACTCAGCAACCATTATAAAAATACTCAGTTTCTGAACAAACTATATGTGGTTACAATACTGGCTGAGTCAAATGTCTTTGTGTGACAAATATGAAATCTCTGGTAAATACATTAGGCATAATGACTCAGGCTTGAAAGGAAATGTTTAGCACATTCTGTGCATGAAACACTACATTTTGCCCTAGGTGGGCTGCAAAGGAAGCGTCTTCAAGACTATTTGATCTACTTGGGGAGCATCAAACTACATCAAGATTTTAAAATATTGTTGGACAATATAATCTGGTGTTTCTGACCGGGGAGGTAATCAGTATAGAATTGGGTTCATCTGTGAAGGCTTTGTGGAGGTGGCCAGCTAGAAGGGTGTGTGGACAAAGCCTTTGCACACAGGAGTATCTTGGTATGATGACTGGCTTCATCAGGTGATCTTCAACACATTTGGCCAGGACAACACAGAAACTTTGGTTTTTTTCTGCCTTGTTTAGTCAAGGTATGAGTAAATTATGTCCTCTCAGTTTACACTCATTTTTTTTTTTTAAATTACAATATGTGTAAAGATTTGGCAGGCATAAAATTTAGGGAGACACTTGAAATGTTGTTTTTAATCTTTCCCTTTCAGTATGTTTATAAATAGCATGGTAAACTGAACCTCTTTCCTTTAGAAATGCTGATATCCCGAGGGCTTAGTCAGTTTCAAGGCTTTTAAAGAGAATTGCATTACTCAGGTTTCTTTGAAATGAATGCAGTTATTAAAATAGCAATGACTGTAGTTATATGGGCATTAAAAACTGGCACAGCTTGGAGCTTGTTTTTAAAATTCACACTCATATAAACATGTCTATGTAAAGATGTCAATAGATTGGCGTTACAACAGATGAAAGCTGCCCAATTTACTCAATTCTAATGTAGCTTTACTTGGTTTGATATTGTCTTTTAAAACACACACACACACTCACACACATAACAACTTGCTTTTGCAGTAGTGCTTGTCGAAGTAATGAAGTTCTCAAAATGTAATATTCCTTCTGAATTTAGGGTAAGAAACATAAATTTTATAAGAACAGGGTGCTTTATGATGATTCCAGTTCTTTGTTTCTTCAGGGTAGGATTTTAACTCTGAATAAAGATTGTTATCTTACACTGGAAATGATACTTCTTCCATAGAAAGCCAAGGAGTGGTATCTTAAGAATAATCTTATTATTTCCAACACTTCCTACACACCAGGACAAAAATATGATTAGAACAGAGTTCCAAACTCAATTCTCATCCTTCTACTTTTGGCTGCAGCTACAAAAGTGGGTGGGAGGAAGACAACAAAGTGTTCACATCCAGCCCATTTGTCTGTTTAGAAAATTGCAAATCCCTCATGCAGGGGTCTTCATGCTTATGAGCTACATATCCTCAGCTAACTACGTCTCCACCGCACATAGTTTTAGTGTTGATCCTTTTGCTCTCTTTTTCTACTTCTGATTCTGCCACTTCCTAACTCTAGTTTCTTTTTTTGTTCTCACTTTTCTCCGTGTCTCAATCTACATTTTCCCTTCTGGTCAATGTTGCTGCCTTATGGCTTCCCAAATGTGGTTTTCTCTTTTTTCTTAAACTTTTACTAAACTGTTGGTTATATTCAAGTTCCTTTTCTTTTTCTTTGTAATAAAACACTATGAATATACCTAAGAAGAATTCAGAGCATGCTTTCTTCTAGAAAATTTTCCCACTATCAACAATAGTCCCAAATTGTCAGCATAATACTCCCACACTCTCACCATAACCTGTCTACTCAGTTTTGCTCTCATCAGATTGTAATCATATTTTTATGGTACATGTATCGTTTGTCTTGACCAACATATTATAAGGCAAGGATTCTATCTCTTTCAGTTATATGCTAAGTTTCCAATTCATTACTTTATACCCAGTAGACACTCATTAATACTAATATTCCATAAGTGGTCAATTAATTTTTTGAAATATGAAAATAATTTAAGAGGTATACAATGTGAATACAGAAGAGTTTGATCTTTATGTGACATGTACTGACTATCCGCTTGTATCTGTTCATATATTTGATTATAATACTCTTTAAATTATATTATACTTTTAGTGTTTGAAATTAATATTTCTAAATATTTTAGTTCTCAAAAATTTTATATAGATCCATGCTTCTCAATCTTTAATCAGAGTACAAGTCACCTGGAAACCTTTGAAAAAAACAGATGCCTGGGCCTAACCCTTATATATTCTGATTTTATGTATCTGCATGGGATCCATGATTTTATGTTTTAAACCAGGTCCCAGTAATGGCAATGCTTTTGGTCTGAGGGCTATGCTCTGAACAGAACAGACATACACAATTACACAACATGCATAACTACCTTTTCTTGAGCCATGCACTAGTTTTATGTGCCAGGTATGGTACTACATGCGTTAGTAGTGAATAAAACAGCCTCAGTCCCTGATTTTGTGAAGCTCAGATCAGCAGTGCATAAACATTGTTGATGGAGGACTATGACTATGAGTTTAGCATACGATTAAGGAAATGTGACTTCATAATGTGCAGGGCTATAAACAGAATGTGTGAGGAGACAGAAAGCCCTGGCATTCCCGGAAAACATATTCACCATTTTCTAGCTTTTGTTCTGATCAGAAACCTACAGCAATATGAACAGATAGAATTGCACTAGTTAACACCTAATAAAACCAAAGGAGGTTGCATTTTCTTTTGAAGATCAAAGAAAGAAATTCATTGAAAAGCAAAACAAACAAACAAACAAAAAAAACTCACCTTTTGCCAAAAGTTCATGCTCACCCTTTGCCAAAAGTTCATGATGAAATGAAAACTGCTGTAACTTCTGTCTCTTCCTGACTACCTTGAGTATAAGAGTGGGTCCTTCATTAGTAGGAACTGAATAGTAACAAGGGAATAGGCTTTTGAGCTGCCGGACACTAAATACGAATGAATATCCTAA